>NC_000005.10:156973445-157276475 GCF_000001405.40 Homo sapiens
CCATTCACCACATTCACGCCAACATCTACTGTTTTGTTTTTTTTCTATTTTTTAATTATGGTCATTCTCACGGGAGTAAGGTGGTATCTCATTGTGGTTTTGATTTGCATTTCCCTGATCATTAGTGATGCTGAGCATTTTTTATATAATTATTTGGCCATTTGTATATCTTCTTTTGAGAATTGTCTATTTATGTCCTTAGCCCACTTTTGATGGGATTTTTTTTTTTTTCTTTCTGATTTGAGTTCATTGTAGATTCTGGATTTAGTCCTTTATCAGATGTATAGATTGTGAAGATTTTCTCCCACTCTGTGGGTTGTCTATTTATGCTGCTGACTGCTCTTTTTTGCCATGCAAAAGCTCTTTAGTTTAATTAGGTCCCAGCTATTTATCTTTGTTTTTATTGCATTTCCTTTTGGGTTCTTGGTATGACTGGTTTAGACCAATCAGGCCTACGCCTTGAGCCTGGGGTAGGGATCTAGGGTCCTTCAGATTGGGAGATGAAACCTGCTGGTTCCCTGAAGAAAATTAGAGTCCTGTTAGAAGAAGAAAAGGCTGTTGCCTGAGCAATGGACAGCAGAGCACAGAGACCAAGTACATACAACCCTGTGGCTGATTCAATGCCAGGCTTCTAATAGATAATAAGTACCTGAAGAATGAATGAATGAATGAGTCAACATTTTGATTCATTAATAGGAGAAAATAACACAAAGTGGAAAGAAGGTAAGAGTGGCTGTCAGAAGATGTAAATATTTCAGAAATCTTCGTGAGACCCTGTCTCACCTCTGAAATTTATTTTCTTTATTTGTAAAAAAGGATTGAATAATGCCTTCAGTGTAGAGTCTATTTGAGAATTAAGTGAGATTACTTATGGGCAAGTTCTTTAAAGTCATAAGACGTAGGAAAAAGTTTCAACTTATAAGCAAAGGAAAAAAGATGGGAAGAAGCTGGCATGAGTCAATTGGCCTCATAAATCAACCTGACAAAGGGAGGATCCACAAATAGAAAAGGAGAAATGGAGCTTGGGTGGATACATGTTGCAGTTGCGTCAAAAAGTCATTGTTACATTAGTTTTAGTCTCGGAAGAGGAAAGAGTTTCCATCTGAAGAAATACAGAAAGTACTGAAATATTGGAAACCCAACTTTTATTCTGCCGGCAAGGCCAGATGTTTGTTAAGAAATTGAAAGTGGATCACGCATGGTGGCTCATGCCTATAATCTCAGCAACTTATGGAGGCTGAGGTGGGAGGATCGCCTGAGCCTGGGAGGTTGATGCTTCAGTGATCTATGATTGCACCACTGCTATCCAGCCTGGGTGACAGAGCAAGACCCATTCGAAAAAAGAAACAGAGAGTGAGAAGAAAAGAGAAAAAAAGAGAGAGAGAGAGGAAGGAAAGAAAGAAAGGAAGAAAGAGTGGGGGGAGGGAGGGAGGGAGGGAAGAAAGAAAGAAAGAGAGAAAGAAAGAAGGAAAGAAAGAAAGAAAGAAAGAAAGAAAGAAAGAAAGAAAGAAAGAAAGAAAGAAAGGAGGGAGGGAGGGAGGGAGGGAGGGAGGGAGGGAGGGAGGGAAGGAAGGAAGAAAGAGAAAGAAAGAAAAGAGAGAAAGAGAGAGCGGGAGGGGGAAGAGAGAGAGGGAAAGAGGGAGGGAGGAAGGAAGGAAGGAAGGCAAGAATTGAAAGCGGAAGAACTGGATGTAAGAATCAAAAAGTACAGCATTAAACTCCCCTGGAAATATCCTGGTTGGTGCAAATATAGTGAAATTACTTCTTCCAGGTGCCATAGTGTGGGACCTCAGATGCATATAAATGGCTGCCATTGGCAATTGAGTTTAATTTTATTTCATATAGCCTTAATTATTTTTACAAATATTCTAGTTTTCTTCTAGGTACATAATAGTGTAATATGCCCCCATCACCATGATGCTCATTATGGACACATGACTGAATTTGGCAAGTGCATGTAACTAAAAGTGTCATGGACCACTTGCAGGTGGAAGCCTAAAAGAATTGGTGTACAATTCACTATGTTTCCTTTGTCTGGCTTCAAATAGTGAAAGACTCCAAACCTGGGTCTCTGATTAAGGATGATGTTAAGTAGAGCCCCACCCTCCACCCCCATGATCCTCAATGGAAACATGTAAAAATAAAAAGCAAACTTTGTTATTCATTTTTTTTTTTTTTTCCCTGAGATGGAGTCTCACTCTGTTGCCAGGCTGAAGTGCAGTGGCACAATTTCAGCTCATTGCAACCTCTGCCTCCCGGGTTCAAGTGATTCTCTTGCCTCAGCCTGCAGCTGGGACTACAGGCACACCCCACCACGCCCAGCTAATTTTTGTATTTTTAGTAGAGATGGGGTTTCATCATGTTGGCCAGGATGGTCTGGATCTCTTGACCTCGTGATCTGCCACCTCGGCCTCCCAAAGTGCTGGGATTACAGGTGTGAGCCACCACGCCCGGCCCAAACTTTGTTATTCTAAACCACTAAATTATTGTTTGTTTAACCACAGCATAATCTTACATATTCTGACTAATACCTCAGTCATGTGGAACCAGTAATGAGAAGTGGTTAAGAACATTCTTTGGAGTGAGACAGTCTGGGATCAACGACTTTGACACCAGGCCAGCTGTGGTGGCCCACGCCTGTAATCCCAGAACTTTGAGAGATCAAGGCAGGCAGATTGCTTGAGCTTAGGAGTTTGAGGCCAGCCTAGGCACCATAGCGAGACCCATCTCATTATTAAAAAAAAATTAAAAGGTTCTGACATTAGCTACATCTCCAACCATTCTGCACCCTTGTGCCTGGCTCCTGTTTCTCTCTCAGTCCAGAGCTGTGGTTCTCAGATCTGGTTACATCTTAAAATCACAAGAGGGATGCAGATTCCACCCCTAGACATGACTTCATTGGTCTGGGCGGGGGCCTAGGCATTAGCATTTTTTTTTTTAACTTAAATGTATAGCTAGGTCTGAGAACCACTTGCCTAAAATTCCCTAATCTTATTTAATTGGTTCACCCTTCAAACTCAGACTGAATCTTCTCCAACACATCTTCTTCAGTGCAAGTTCCCACTTGAGCTCCAGTGGGAACTTCAGCAACCTGGGCACACCTTGTCTCTGTAATTAGAACATTATATTAAGATTATCCATTTTCATATCTTTTTTTTTTTTTTTTTTTTTTTTTGAGATGTAGTCTTGCTCTGTTGCCCAGGCTGGAGTGCAGTGGTGCAATCTTGGCTCACTGCAACCTCCACCTCCCAGGTTCAAGCAATTCTTCTGCCTCACCCTCCCCAAGTAGCTGGGATTACAGGTGTGCACTACAATGCTCAGCTAATTTTTGCATTTTTGGTAGAGATGGGGTTTTGCTGTGTTGGCCAGGCTGGTCTAGAGTTCCTGACCTTGTGATCCACCTGCCTCAGCCTCCCAAAGTGCTGGAATTACAGGCGTGAACCACCATGCCCAGCCTTCATATCTATTTTCTAACCACAGTGTGATCTCCTGGAACACAGGAACTGTAGTGAAATCATCTCATAGCCCCAGCACTTAACATAGACCCTGCCATCATATATCAAAGTATATACCCAATAAATACTTATTGATCTCAACAGAGAAAAGACCACGTGATTAAAAATTAAGAAACCATTGATGACCTTTGAGAAAATAGCTTTAAGGGAAGGGTGGAAGAAATGACCATTGTTGGCCAGGCACGGTGGCTCACTCCTGTAATCCCAGCACTTTGGGAGGCCGAGGCTGGCAGATCACGAGGTCAGGAGTTCAAGACCAGCCTGAACAACGTGGTGAAACCCCATCTCTACTAAAAATACAAAAATTAGCCAGGCGTGGTGGTGCCTGTAAAAAAATAAAAATAAATAAAAAATAAGATAAGAAACTGTCAACAGGTGCGTTTCAGAAGAAAAGTAAAATTATTTTAATCAGGATTCAAAATGGGAGACAGAGGTGGAGAAAAGAGCACAGGTGTACAAAATGTCAAATATGGTTATTTTTATGTGGTAGGATTTGGGTGGTATGTTTTTTTCATTCCAGCAGGTGCTCACTAAGTAATAGTCAGATGAATAGATTTTCCTTGCATGAGTGAATGCATGTATTTTCTTCACAGGTGTAGAACTAAGTTCATCATACATTTTTTTTTTTTTTTTTTTTTTTTTTGAGACGGAGTCTCGCTCTGTCGCCCAGGTCGGACTGCGGACTGCAGTGGCGCAATCTCGGCTCACTGCAAGCTCCGCTTCCCGGGTTCACGCCATTCTCCTGCCTCAGCCTCCCGAGTAGCTGGGACTACAGGCGCCCGCCACCGCGCCCGGCTAATTTTTTGTATTTTTAGTAGAGACGGGGTTTCACCTTGTTAGCCAGGATGGTCTCGATCTCCTGACCTCATGATCCACCCGCCTCGGCCTCCCAAAGTGCTGGGATTACAGGCGTGAGCCACTGCGCCCGGCCTCATCATACATTTTAAGGCACAGTGTCATCATGGGTCTGGTAAGCCTCCTCAGATTTTTCCTGATATCTCAATACATAATGCAAATTTTTGCTAATGTATTAAATCAATGTCACTGGATATATAAGTAACCTTGAAAGATGCACAGTATTGCTTTGTATATTATGTTTTCAAATTACTAAACATTTTGCTGTGGATCTCCTTCTGCTTCCTTTTCCACCCAACTCTATGATCTTAAAATCTAACTGTGTCAACATATGTATATTTAGCTTATAGCTCCTAATTGCTGCATAATATATAATACCACTGTGGACATATCCCCTATTTTATTCATCCATTCTCTTTTTTTTTGAGACTGAGTCTTGCTCTGTCCCCGAGGCTGGAGTGCAGTGGTGCAATGTCGGCTCATTGCAACCTCCACCTCCCGGGTTCAAGTCATTCTCCTGCCTCAGTCTCCCAAGTAGCTGGGATTACAGGCACACGCCACCATGCCCGGCTAATTTTTGTATTTTTAGTGGAGACGGGGCTTCACCACGATGGCCAGGCTGGTCTCAAACTCCTGACCTCAAGCAATCTGCCCACCTTGGCTTCCCAAAGTGCTGGGATTACAGGCGTGAGCCACCGCGCCCTACCTATATTCATCCATTCTCTTAATGAGGAATGTCTAAGTTACCTACTAACACAAAAAGTGTTTCATTGAATAACCTCATACATGTCCCTACATGGACCTGAGAAAGAGTTTATCAGAGTAGGCACCCAGAAAGGGAACTGTTACATCATAGGCTAGCCACACACTTAATTTCACTAAGTACCATCAAATTTCTCTCCAGAGCAAACTGGCCAGCTTTACTCCAACCCCCCGCACATGAGAATTCTGTTAACCTGGGTACTGGCTAGCACTAGTACATCTCTTTATAATTTTTGCCAAGCTCTTGGATATAATGTGTTACTTTGTTGTTGTTCTCTTTTGATTTTTTTGATGATTTTGAGGGTTTAATGATTTGTTCACATATTTGTTAACTGTTTATGTTTCCCCTTCAGCAAACTGACTTCTCACATTTTTGCCCATATTTCTATTTTTCTTCCTCTCCTCCTCTTCTTCCTCCTACTTTTCTGTTTTTCTTTTCCTTTCTCTTTCTCTCTCTTTCTGCCTGGGTATCTGTATAACGTCTTTTCTAAACATTAAAAGTAATTTCTTCTACTCCATCATCCCTCTGCCAAATTTGTCCATTGAACACTGAACAGAAATCCTTAATATTGATATATTAATATTAGAAATCATCCATCTTTATCCTATGGCTCCTGCTTCGGAGATCTTGTTTAAGAAATCTTGGCTGGGTGCAGTGGCTCACCCATGATCTCAGCACTTTGGGAGGTCAAGTTGGGAGGCTCACTTGAGCCCAAAAGTTCAAGACCAGCCTGGGCAACATAGCGAGACCTTCTCTCTACAAAATTTTTTTAAAATATTACCTAGGTGTGGTGGCAAGTACCTGTATTTCCAGCCAATCAGGACACTGAGGTGGGAGGATTGCTTGAGCCCAGGAGGTCAAGGCTGCAGTGAGCCATGATCATGCCACTGTACTCCAGCGTGGGCAACAGAGAAGACCTTGTGTCTATTTTAAAAAAGAAGAAAGAAAAAAAAATCCTTTCCCACTGCAAGATTACCATAATATTTGTCTATAGTTTTTCTATTAACTTCTAGGTTTTGCTTTCCCAATTAGTCATTAATCCCTCTGGAGTTCGCCTTTGGATATAGTATGAGGTATGAATCCAGCTTTATTTTTTCTATGTAACAATATAGTTTTCCCACTACTTTCTGCTAAAAATCCATATTTTCCTCATTTTTATATGATGCTATGTCAATCATATGTGATGAAGGATATTAGATAGGTAGATAAAGGTATGTGATGTATGCATGTCCTATGCTGTTTATTCTGTGGCATTGGAGTTTGTTCTTGCACCAGTATCTCATTATTTATTATGAAGGCTTTGTAACAAACTTCAATATTAATAAAGGGTGAGTCCAACCCTTTCCACTGCTTTTGGTCTTTTTAAACAATTTTTAAAGCTATTTTATACGTTATACTTCCATGAAAATTCCAGAGTCAGCTGTTGAGTACCCCAAAAAATCCTATTAGATTTTCTTATTGGAGTTTCCTTGACTGACCCTATTGACCCAAGAAGAATTTACATCTTTACAAATGTTAAATCATGCCATCCATAAACTCAGCATATTCATGTTTTCTTATGATTCTTAATAAAGTTTTAGATTTTTTGCCATAAAGATTCTGTATACTCTTGATAAGGTTAATTACTACATACTTTAGGCATTTTATTGCCAATGTGATTTGTATGTTATTTTTACATTTTCTAGAAAATTATTGATGAGATAAAGAAATGTTGTATATTGACTTCTTAACTATTTTCTACTTTGTATTTAATCAGCATGGGTTGCTTTTCCAAAAACATTTTATGAAACAAATGGAAAAAAGAAAACACAAATGAAAAGTTTGCCTTTGCAAAGGAACAAGGCTATTTCTTCCTCTAAAATAAGGAGTGAAACAAGAAAGATTAAAGATACAGAAAAATGTAGTCAATTAAGTGGAGAAAGCCAAACAGTTCACTCCTTAAGTTGAAGTAGTCCTGAGGGGTTTAAACCTCATCCCCTGAAGAGGAAAATACTTTCCTGTTAGAAAACTCAGTTCAGTCATTATGAATTAGAGAGTTACTAGTTACTAGGGAAACAACCCTTTTCAAAAATGGTTACAAAGACCAGGTGCAGTGGCTCACACCTGTAATCCCAACATGCTGGGAGGATCACTTGAGCCCAAGAGTTCAAGACAAGCCTGGGCAACGTAGTGAGACTCTGTCTCTACAAGAAATAAAATAAAATAAAAAATGGTTATATAAACCAAGAATTGAAGAGCCAAGCCTTTACAGCAAAAAGAAAACAAAGATCAGAATGAAATCTAAACGATATATTCTCCACATACTCCCTCATGTAGAAAGAAGAAGAGTCTGTACTAAATGATACCTAAACTTCCTTTTGTCTCAAATCTCTGAAAATAGTCTTTTTAGAAAATGAACAAGTGGGGGTAGACAACAATTTTGTGTGAATTAATCTCCACCATTGAGTTTTCTATCATTTTCTTTGTCAAGAAGGCTTTGAGAACAATTCTTCTACTTTTTTTTCTTTCTTTCTTTCTTTCTCTTCTTTCTCTCTCTCTTTCTCTCTCTTCTTTCTCTCTTTCTTTCTCTCTCTTTCTTTCTTTCTTTCTTTCTTTTTTTGAGACAGGGTTTTGCTCTGTTGCCCAGGCTGGAGTGCAGTGGCCTGATCACAGCTCACTGCAGCCTCAACTTCTCAGGCTCAAGCAATCTTCCCACCTCAGCCTTCCAAGCAGCTGGGACTACAGACATATAACACCAGGCCTGGCTAATTTTTTAATTTTTTTATAGAGACAAGGTCTCACTATGTTGCCCACGCTGGTCTTGAACTCCTGGGCTCAAGTGATCTGTGCACCTCAGCCTCCCAAAGTGCTGAGATTATAGGCATGAGCCACCACACCTGGCCAAGAACAGTTATTCTTTAAGGGAACTTGAGGGGAATAAGTTTAGTCTACATAAGTGCACAGATACAATTCAGGAATGGATATTTTTGGACAGGAATTATTTTTACCATTGTCATTTTGGCTAGTTACTGAACTGGCTCTTTCCCTGTCATCAGCTTATCAGCTATATCACCCCCCAACCCCCCACTCTAATACTGAAGCTCTTTTCAACTGGGCCCATGCAATTTAAGTGTTTCCTAGTTTGAAAAGAAAAGAGGAAGAGGGAGAAATGAAACTTCTGGAGTTGTATTGCTAAAGGAAGCTTGTCCTTTCAGACACTTTTCTACCAAATTTTTACTCAAACTTCCTCTTTTGTGGGCTAAGAGAGTTTTTTTCATATTCAGATAAAAAATATATTAGAGAAAACATGCAAAATCCACCACCTGAGTGTCTTGCATAACAGATGTATTTCTTCACTTACATGAAGTTCATTTCTCCATCTATGCACCAGGTCCAATTTCTTCCCCAACATCTCTAGGGTACCTGGGAAAGAAACCAATGTTATACTTTTAAAGAACAGCAGATCTTAAAATCAAATGATCATCTCAAAATGCAAAAGTATGGTTTAGAAGTAGGTGGAGGTACAGTAAATTTCTTAAAAATGAATGCAAGACTAGTGTTAATATCATAAAATTGCAAATAATCTAAGTCTCATGTGCCATCAACATGCATCAAATAAAGATTCTGAGTAATCAAATAAAGATTCAGCAACCATTTATAAGAATATTGTATCACTGATCATTAGAGAAATGCAAATCAAAACCACAATGAGTACCATCTCACACCAGTCAGAATGGCTAATACTAAAACGTCAAAAAGTAACAAGTGCTGATGAGGTTGCAGAGAAAAAGGAACACTTATACACTGTTGGTGGGAGTGTAAATTAGTTTCCGCTATTGTGGAAAACTGTGTGACTATTTTTTGAAGACCTAAAAACAGAACCATCATTCAACTCAGCAATCCCATTACTGGGTATATACCCAAAGAAACATAAATTGCTGTATCATAAAGATATATACACACATATGTTCATTGCAACACTGTTCATAATAACAAAGACATGGAATCAACCTAAATGCCCATCAATGACAGATTGGATAAAGAAAATGTGGGCTGGGCACGGTGGCTCATGCCTGTAATCCCAGCACTTTGGGAGGCTGAGGCAGGTCAATCACCTGAGGTCAGGAATTCGAGACCAGCTTGGGCGACATGGTGAAACCCCATCTCTACTAAGAAACTACAAAATTAGTAGTGCATGCCTGTAATCCCAGCTACTCGGGAGGCTGAGGCAGGAGAATAGCTTGAACCTGGGAGGCGGAGGTTGCAGTGAGCCAAGATTGTGCCACTGCACTCCAGCCTGGGTGACAGAGCAAGACTCTGTCTCAAAAAAAAAAAAAAAAAAAGAAAAGAAAAGAAAGAAAAAGAAAAGAAAAACAAAAATGTGGTACATACAAACCATGGAATACTATGCAGCTATTAAAAAAAAGAATGAGATCATGTCCTTGGCAGGAGCACAGATGGAGCTGGAGGCTATCATCCTTAGCAAACTAACGCAGGAACAGAAACCCAAATAACTCATGTTCTCACTTGTAGGTCGAAGCTAAATGATGAGAATGCCTCGTGGACACGTAAAGGAGAAAATAAACACTGGGGCTTATCAGAGGGTGGAGGGTGGGAAGAGGGAGGGGATCAGGAAAAATAACTAATGGGTACTAGGCTTAATACTTGGGTGACAAAATAATCTGTATAACAAACCCTCATAACACAAGTTTACCTATGCAGTAAACCTGCACATGTACTCCTAACCTTAAAATAAAAGTTAAAAAAAGTAATAAAGAATGTTGTAGGTGCATATTTATTGATGTGAAAAGATCCCCAGGATAGAAGTGAGGAAAATGATCTTCATCTTGAGTGTGACAATTAAAATACAAAAGATCAACAACCTTAACCCACTCTTGTAAGAAGGAGCACATACATACACAGACAAAAGCCTGAAAGGTTATATTTTTAAAATTGTTTAACAATGTGTCTCTTCTGGGCAAAGGAAACAGGTGATTTTTTTATCCTTTTTCTTTTATATATATACATCTTCTAATTTTGTATAACAATTTTATTTTTGAGACAGGCTGTCATTCTGTCACCCAGGATCGAGTGCAGTGGCATGAATATGGCTCACCGCAACCTCCACTTCCCAGGTTCAAGTGATCCTCCCACCTCAGCCTCCCAAGTAGCTGTGATTACAGGTGCACACCACCATACCAGACTAATTTTTTGCATTTTTGGTAGAGACAGAGTTGTGTCATGTTAGTCAGGCTAGTCTCAAACTCCTGAGCTCAGGTGATCCACATGCCTCAGCCACCCAAAGTGCTGGGATTACAGGTGTGAGCCACTGCACCTGGCCCTGTATCTTGAGTGTGTTGGTAGTTATACAATTGTATATATTTGCCAATCTGAGGTATACCCGAAATGGGTGAGTTCTACTGTATGTAAATCATACCCCAATATAGCTGTTTTTACGAAGCATGCAACAAAACTTAAGAAAAAAACACTATCAAAGTATGTGGAAATATAAAATGTAAAGCTCTATAGAAATATAAAGAATTTTTCTTTAGTGCTTTTCTTTGAAAACAAAACAAAGAAGTGGCTGGCAACATGGCCAAATAGGAAGAGCTCCGGTCTGCAGCCCCCAGCGAGTTCACCGCAAAAGGTGGGTGATTTCTGCATTTCCAGCTGAGGTAGCCAGCTCATCTCATAGGGACTGGTTAGACAGCGGGTGCAGCTCACGGTGGGCGAGCCAAGCAGGGTGGGGTGTCGCCTCACCCAGGAAGTGCAAGGGGTTGGGGAACTCCCTCCCCTAGCCAAGGAAAGCCTTGAGGGACTGTGCCATGAGGAACGGTGCATTCCGGTCCAGATACTAAGCTTTTCCCATGGTCTTCACAACCAGCAGACTAGGAGATTCCCTTGGGTGCCTATGCCATCAGGACCTTTATTTAAAGCACAAAACTGGGCGGCCATTTGGACGAACACCAAGCTAGCTACAGGAGTTTTTTTTCATACCCTAGTGGCACCTGGAACACCAGTGAGATAGAACTGTTCACAACCCCCTGGGAAGGGGGCTGAAGCCAGGGAGCCAAGTGGTCTAACTCAGCGGATCCCACCCCCATGGAGCCCAGCAAGCTGAGATCCACTGGCTTGAAATTCTTGCTGCCAGCACAGCAGTCTGAAGTTGATCTGGGATGCTCCACTCCAGCTTGGTGGCAGGAGGGGAGTCCACCATTACTGAGGCTTGAGTAGGTGGTTTTCACCTCACAGTGTAAACAAAGCTGCAGGGAAGTTTGAACTGGATGGAACCCACCACAGCACTGCAAAACCACTGTAGCCAGACTGCCTCTCTGGATTCCTCCTCTCTGGGTAGGGCATCTCTGAAAGAAAGGCAGCAGCCCCAGTCAGGGCTTATAGATAAAACTCCCATCTCCCTGGGACAGAGCACCTGGGGGAAGGGGCAGCTGTGGGCGCAGCTTCAGCAGACTTAAACATTCCTACCTGCCGGCTCTGAAGAGAGCAGGGGATCTCCCAGAACAACACTTGAGCTCTCCTAAGAGACACACTGCCTCCTCAAGTGGGTCCCTGACTCCCGTGCCTCCTCACTGGGAGACACCTTCCAGCAGGGGTCAAGAGAAATCTCATACAGGAGACCTCCAGCTGGCATCTGGCGGGTGCCCCTATGGGATGAAGCTTCCAGAGGAAGGAACAAGCAGCAATCTTTGCTGTTCTGCAGCCTCTGCTGGTGATACCCAGGCAAACAGGGTCTGGAGTGGACCTCCAGCAAACTCCAGCAGACCTGCAGCAGAGAGGCCTGACTGTCAAAAGGAAAACAAACAAACAGAAAGGAATAGGATCAACATCAACAAAAAGGACATCCACACAGAAACCCCAACCAAAGGTCACCAACATTAAAGAGCAAAGGTAGATAAATCCGTGAAGATGAAGAAAAACCAGAGCAAAAAGGCTGAAAATTCCCAAAACCAGAATGGCTCTTCTCCAAAGGATCACAACTCCTCTCCAGCAAGGGAACAAAACTGGACGGTGAATGAATTTGATGAATTGACAGAGGAGGTTTCAGAAGATAGGTAATAACAAACTCCTCTGAGCTAAAAGAGCAGGTTCTAACCCAATGCAAGGAAGCTAAGAACCTGAGAAAAGGTTAGACAAATTGCTAACTAGAATAATCATTTTAGAGAAGAACATAAATAACCTGATGGAGCTGAAAAACACAGCACGAGAACTTGTGTATGCTTTGTGAAGCATACACAAATATCAATAGCAGAATTGATCAAGTGGAAGAAAGGATATCAGAGATTTTAAATCAACTTAATGAAGTAAAGCATGAAGACAAGATTAGAGAAAAAAGAATGAAAAGGACCAAACAAAGCCTCCAAGAAATATTGGACTGTGTGAAAAGACCAAACCTACATTTGATTGGTATACCTGAAAGTGATGGGGAGAATGGAACCAAGTTGGAAAACACTCTTCAGGATATTATCCAGGAGAACTTCCCCAACAGAGCAAGGCAGGCCAACATTCAAATTCAGGAAATACAGAAAACACCACAAAGATACTCCTTGAGAAGAGCAACCCCAAGACACATAATTGTCAGATTCACCAAGGTTGAAATGAAGGAAAAAATGTTAAGGGCAGCCAGAGAGAAAGGTCGGGTTACGCACAAAGGGAAGCCCATCAGACTAACAGCAGATCTCTTTGCAGGAACCCTACAAGCCAGAAGAGTGGGCCAATATTCAATATTCTTAAAGAAAATAATGTTCAACCCAGAATTTCATATCCAGCCAAACTAAGCTTTATAAGTGAAGGAGAAATAAAATCCTTTACACACAAGTAAATGCTGAGAGATTTTGTCACCACCAGGCCTGCCTTACAAGAGCTCCTGAAGGAAGCACTAAACATGGAAAGGAACAACCACTGCAAAAACATACCAAATTGTAAAGACCATCGACACCATGAAGAAACTGCATCATCTATTGGGCAAAATAACCAGCTAGCATCATAATGACAGCATCAAATTCACACATAGCAATATTAACCTCAAATGTAAATGGGCTAAATGCCCCAGTTAAAAGACACAGACTGGCAAATTGGACAAAGAATCAAGACCCATCAGTGTGCTGTATTCAGGAGACCCATCTCACATGCAGAGACACACATAGGCTCAAAATAAAGGGATGGAGGAAGATCTACCAAGCAATGGAAAGCAAAAAAAAGCAGGGGTTGCAATCCTACTCTCTGAAAAAACAGACTTTAAACCAACAAATATCAAAAGAGACAAAAAAGGCCATTACATAATGGTAAAGGGATCAAGCCAACAAGAAGAGCTAACTATCCTAAATATATATGCACCCAATACAGGAGCACCCAGATTCATAAAGCAAGTTCTTAGAAGCCTACAAAGAGACTTAGACTCCCACACAATAATAGTGGGAGATTTTAACATGCCACTGTCAATATTATACAGATCAATGAGACAGAAAATTTACAAGGATATTTAGGACTTGAACTCAGTTCTGGACTAAGCAGACCTAATAGACATCTACAGAACTCTTCACCCCCAAATCAACAATCTTCTCAGCACCACATCGCACTTATTCTAAAATTGACTGCATAATTGGAAGTAAAAGCAAAAGAATGAAAATCATAACAAACAGTCTCTCAGACCACAGTGCAATCAAATTAGAATTCAGGATTAAGAAACTCACTCAAAACCACACAACTACATGGAGACTGAACAACCTGCTCCTGGATGACTCCTGAATGAAAATGAAACTAAGGCAGAAATAAATAAGTTATTTGAAATGAATGAGAGGAAAGACAAAACATATCAGCATATCTGGGACACAGCTAAGGCAGTGTTTAGAGGGAAATGTATAGCACTAAATGCCCACAGGAGAAAGCGGGAAAGATCTAAACTCGACCCCTAACATCACAATTAAAACAACTAGAGAAGCAAGAGCAAACACATTCAAAAGCTAGCAGAAGACAAGAAATAACTAGGATCAGAACAGAACTGAGGGAGATAGAGACACAAAAAACCCTTCAAAAACACAATGAATCCAGGAGCTGGTTTTTTGAAAAGATTAACAAAATAGATAGACTGCTAGCCAGACCAATAAAGAAGAAAAGAGAGAAGAATTGAATAGACACAATAAAAAATGATAAAGGGGATATCATCACTGATCCCACAGAAATACAAACTACCATCAGAGAATACTATAAACACCTCTATGCAAATAAACTAGAAAATCTAGTAGAAATGGATAAATTCCTGGACACATACACCCTCCCAAGACTAAACCAGGAAGAGGTCGAATCCCTGAATAGACCAATAAGAAGTTCTGAAATTGAGGCAGTAATTAATAGCCTACCAACCAAAAAAAGCCCAGGACCAGATGGATTCACAGACAAATTCTACCAGAGGTACAAAGAGGAGCTGGTACCATTCCTTCTGAAACTATTCCAAACAATAGAAAAAGAGGAACTCCTCCCTAACTTATTTTATGGGGCCAGCATCATCCTGATAACAAAACCTGGGAGAGACACAACAACAACAACAAAATTTCAGGCCAATATCCCTGATGAACATTGATGCAAAAATCCTCAATAAAATACTGGCAAACTGAATCCAGCAGCACATCAAAAGGCTTATCCACCACGATCAAGTCAGCTTCATCCCTGGTATGGAAGGCTGGTTCAACATATGCAAATCAATAAATGTAATCCGTCACATAAACAGAACCAATGAGAAAAACCACATGATTATCTCAATAGATGCAGAAAAATCCTTTGACAAATTCAACAGCCCTTCATGCTAAAAACTCTCAATTAACTAGGTATTGATGGAACATATCTCAAAATAATAAGAGCTATTTATGACAAAAAAAAAAAAAAAAGCCAATATACTGCATGGGCAAAAGCGGGAAGCATTCCCCTTGAAAACCAACATGAGACAAGGATGCCCTCTCTCACCACTCCTATTCAACATAGCATTGGAAGTTCTGGCCAGGGCAATCAGGCAAGAGAAAGAAATAGAGGGTATTCAAATAGGAAGAGAGGAAGTCAAATTGTCTCTGTTTGCAGATGACATGATTGCATATTTAGAAAACCCCATAGTCTCAACCCAAAATCTCCTTAAGCTGAAAAGCAACTTCAGCAGTCTAAGAACACAAAATCAATGTGCAAAAATCACAAGCATTCCTATACACCAATAATGGACAAACAGAGAGCCAAATCATGAGTTAACTCCCATTCACAATTGTTACAAAGAGAATAAAATACCTAGGAATACAACTTACAAGGGATGTGAAGGACCTCTTTTCTTTTCTTTTCTTTTCTTTTTTGAGATGGAGCCTCACTCTGTTGCCCAGGTTGGAGTGCAGTGGTGCAATCTCGGCTCACTGCAACCTCTGCCTCCCGGGTTCAAGTGATTCTCCTGCCTCAGCCTTGTGAGTAGCTGGGATTACAGGCGCCTGCCACCAAGCCAAGCTAATTTTTGTATTTTTAGTAGAGATGGGGTTTCACCATATTGCCTAGGCTGGTCTCGAACTCCTGACCTCGTGATCTGCCCACCTCAGCCTCCCAAAGTGCTGGGATTACAGGCGTGAGCTCCCATGCCAGGCCAAAGGACCTCTTTAAGGAGAACTACAAACCACTGCTCAAGGAAATAAGAGATGACACAAACAAATGGAAGAACATTCCATGCTTATGGATAGGAAGGATCAATATTGTGAAAATGGCCATAATGCACAAAGTAATTTATACATTGAATGCTATTCCCATCAAGCTACCATTGACTTTTTTCACAGGATTAGAAAAAAACTACTTTAAATTTCACATGGAATCAAAAAAGAGCCCGCATAGCCAAGACGATCCTAAGCAAAAAGAACAAAATTGGAGGCATCACGCTACCTGACTTCAATCTATACTACAAGGCTACAGTAACCAAAACAGCATGGTACTGGTACCAAAACACGTATGTAGACCAATGGAACAGAACAGAGGCCCCAGAAATAATGCCACACATCTACAACCATCTGATCTTTGACAAACCTGACAAAAACAAGCAATAGGGAAAGGATTCCATATTTAATAAATGGTGTTGGGAAAACTGGCTAGCCATATGCAGAAAACTGAAACTGAACCCCTTCCTTACATTTTATACAAAAATTAACTCAAGATTAATTAAACACTTAAACGTAAGACCTAAAACCATAGAAACCCTAGAAGAAAACCTAGGCAATACCATTCAGGACACAGGCATGGGCAAGGACTTCATGACAAAACACCAAAGGCAATGGCAACAAAAGCCAAAATTGACAAATAGGATCTAATTAAATTAAAGAGCTCCTGCACAGCAAAAGAAACTACCTTCAGAGTGAACAGGCAACTGACAGAATGGGAGAAAATTTTTGCAATCTATCCATCTGACAAAGGGCTAATATCCAAAATCTATAAGGAACTTAAACAAATTTACAAGAAAAACACAAACAACCCCCATCAAGAAGTGGGTGAAGGATATGAACAGACACTTCTCAAAAGAAGACATTTATGCAGCCAAAAAACATATGAAAAAAAGCTCATCATCATTGGTCATTAGAGAAATGCAAGTCAAAACCATAATGAGATACCGTCTCACGCCAGTTAGAATGGCTATCATTAAAAAGTTAGGAAACAATGGATGCTGGAGAGAATGTGGAGAAATAGGAAAGCTTTTACACTGTTGGTGGGAGTGTAAATTAGTTCAACCATTGTAGAAGACAGTGTGGCGATTCCTCAAGGATCTAGAACCTGAAATACCATTTGACATAGCAATCCCATTACTGGGTATATACCCAAAGGATTATAAATCATTCTACTATAAAGACACATTCACACATATGTTTATTGCAGCACTATTCACAATAGCAAAGACTTGGAACCAACCCAAATGCCCATCAATGATAGACTGGATCAACAAAATGTGGTACATATACACCATGGAATACTATGCAGTCATAAAAAAGGATGAGTTCATGTCCTTTGCAGAACGTGGATGAAGCTGGAAACCATCATTCTCAGCAAACTAACACAAGAACAGAAAACCAAACACCGCATGTTCTCACTCATAAGTGGGAGTTGAACAATGAGAACACATGGACACAGGGAGGGGAACATCACACACCGGGGCCTGTCAGAGTGTTGGGAAGTAGGGGAGGGATAACATTAGGAGAAATGCCTAATGTAGGTGATGGGTTGATGGGTGCAGTAAACCACCATGGCCTGTGTATACCTATGTAACAAACCTCCACGTTCTGCCATGTCCCAGAACTTAAAGTATAATAAAAAAAAGTACAAAGAAACAACCTTAGAATATATTCAGCTAATGATGATCTTCCTTTGATGAAAGGAGAAGTGGGTGTAAGCAAGGAGACAAAGAAATAATTGTTATCTGTTCCATTGATTTCTTTTACCTGTGTTAAATTTTATATAACAGTTCAGAGGGAAATATATATCCTCTAAGTTATTTTAATACTGTTCTCTGATAAATACTTAGAAAATAAAGGGAAAAAAAACTTCCTCATCTCCAGCACAAAACTCCGCCAATGGAAAACTTGCGAAAGAGCCATCAGGTGTTAAATATTTGAAAAATCTTCAAGTCCACATTTTCTGCCTCCAGTGACACTTTGTAAAAACTGAATCTAAGAGGATTTTTCTGTTTTTATTTTTATTTTTATTTTTTATTTTTAGAGAGAGGGTCTTGCTCTGTTGCCCAGGCTGGAATGTAGTGGTGTGATCATTGCTCACTGCAGCCTCGAACTCCTGGGCTTAAGTGATCCTCCCCTCAAGCCTCCTGAGTAGCTGGAACCACAGACATGCACCACCACTCCTGGCAATTTTTTTTTGGTAGAGACAGGGGTATCTCATGATGTTGCCCACTCTGGTCTCTAATTCCTAGGCTTAAGCAATCTTCCTGCCTTGGCCTCCAAAAGTGCTGGGATTACAGGTGTGAGCCACCACACCTGGCCTAAGGGTTGTTAAATACTTGCATGATAATGTATATTAATAAGTGGTAGTTACAGTCACAAGGCTGTTTGAAAAATAATAAGTGGTAGAGCCAGATTCTATAGTCTGATGGAGCCTGAATGCCTGGTCATCACCCTATACTGCCTCAAAGAGAAGTTCCCTGCAAACGAATAGACAGTAAGAGTCAATGAGGGGATGGTAGCTATGAAGGAGAAGGAAGTCCTTTGGAAATAAGAAGTGGTAAAGGTGGTGGCCACACAGGGAGGAGGAACCCGACGGAGAAATGGCAAGGAGCTGAATCAGGTCCTCCTTTCATAGCGGTGGCCTGGCTGGCCTCTGGTGTCCCTTTCCATGGACATGGGGGGAGGGGTGACCACATGACACAATTGGGACTGTGTTCAGGGTGACTGCTCAGTTTGTCTGAGTCAGGGATGAGACATTTGTGTGCTAAGAACTCTGAATCTCTGGGCTGAAAGGAGTAGCTACAACCCTAATTGTTAAGCTACTCTATATTCAGCAGACCATTGACTAAAATGAAACACAAAAATAAAAAACAGGCCTGGCATGGTGGCTCACGCCTATAATCCCAGCACTTTGGGAGGCCAAGGTGGGTGGATCATCTGAGGTCAGGAGTTCGAGACCAGCCTGGCCAACATGGTGAAACCCCATCTCTACTAAAATACAAAATTAGCCGGGCTTGGTGGTACACGCCTGTAATCCCAGCTACTTGGGAGGCCGAGACATGAGAATTGCTTGAACCCAAGAGGTGGAGGTTTTTAGTGAGCCAAGGTCATGCTACTGCCCTCCAGCCTGGGTGACAGAGTAAGACTCTGTCTCAAAAATAAAATAAAATAAAATAAAATAAAATAAAATAAAATAAAATAAAATAAAGTACAAATATAAAACAAAACTACTCTACATTTACATTTTGTTTCTAATGTGTCTTGTCTTCCCCCTTTCACAGGTTTCTGGGCTCCTAATATTGGTAAGAGAGCCCTGAATCCATCATCTCTGCTTCGTCACAAATTCCTTTATTAAAGACGGTAGTCTGGAAGAGTTGAAAAACCTACAGACCACAAAGGTTTACACTGCCTTTATACCATTTAATTTCTGGGGGATGTTTTTATAGATAAATTCCATTGGTTTTATATTAGTATTATTACAAAATAAAGCATGGTTATTATTCATCTGTTTATTTCCTACAAAGAAAAAAAAGGTAAATTGCATATGGTCCCACCACTAATCAGTAGTTTGTGATGTAGATCCTGCCAGTCATAATCACAAATAGTATACATATGCTTTCTAATCAGCTTTTTTTTCAGGTACTGCACCTGAACATGTTTCAAATTCACCATATGAACATGTTTCATATTCTTAAATTTTAATTTAAACTTTACTACGTTTTTTTTTCTTTTAATTGAGACCAGAGTCTCACTCTGTCACCCAGGTTGGAGTGCAGTGGCACAATCTCAGCTCACTGCAGCCTCAACCTCTCAGGCTTAAGTGATCCTCCCACCTCTGAACCTCCTAAGTAGCTGGGACTACAGGCACCCACCACCACACCCGGCTAACTTTTGTACTTTTTTGTAGAGACAGAGTCTCACTATATTGCCCAGGCTGGGTCTTGAACACCTAGGCTCAAGCGATCTGCCTGTCTCAGCCTCCCAAAGTGCTGGCTTACAGGCGTGGGCCACCACACCCAGCCTTACTAAGTATTTTTTCTTTCTTTTCTACAGATGGGGTCTCACCATGTTGACCAGGCTGGTCTGAAACTCCTAACCTCAAGCAATCCTCCCATCTCAGCCACCCAAAGTGCTAGGATTATGTGCATGAGTCACTGTGCCCGGCCTTTACTAAGTATTTTTAATATCATAATGATTGTTTGCATTCTGCATGGGTATGTTATAATTGACTTTATATAAGTCCCCTTTATGGGATAGTTAGATTTTCCCCCTCCCCAAATTTTTACTATTAGAAACAATATTTAATAACACCACCTGAGGTAATTTTTTCAAAAATATTAAAACTTAATCTAATATTTCCTAGCAAGCAGAAAAAAAACTATTTGAAGGAAATTAAAAATAATAATAATAAATAGAAAATTGTAAGGCTGAATCTAATAAACCGTCTAGCTCCAACTTGAAGGTTATAGGAAATGAAACCATATGAAAAGTCCACGATGTGGGACATTTTATAGAAAAATTCATCTAGTATCTTCAACAAGTCAATGGCATGATAAAAAGGGGGAAGTCACTATTCTAGATAAATACTTAAATAATACACCATGTTGAGTGGTATCCTGGTCTCTAAAAATGTCTACAATTTGTTTTATTTTTATTTTATTTATTTATTTTATTTTTTTTATTATTTTGAGAGATGGAGTCTTGCTCTGTCACCTAGGCTGGAGTACAGTGGCTCGATCCTGGCTCACTGCAACCTCCACCTCCTGGGTTCAAGTGATTCTCCTGCCTCAAGCTCCAAAGTAGCTAGGAGTACAGGCGCACGCCACCACGCCTGGCTAATTTTTATACTTTTAGCAGAGACAGGGTTTCGCCGTTGTTGGCCGGGCTGGTCTCAAACTCCTGACCTCAAGTGATCCACCCGCCCTGGCCTCCCAAAGTGCTGGGATTACAGGTGTGAGCCACCACAACCAGCTGAATTTGTTTAAAATACTGCAGGAAAAAAAATAAGGGAATCAAATTTAATAACCACCACTAAGCCTAAATCAAGGTGATGAATAAATGCAGGCTTACTTCGGTGCTTTCCATTTCATCTGTGCTTAAAAGAAAAATATCTGAACTCTTTTATTTTAACAAATTCCAAACATGTAAAAGTAGAAACAATATTAAATGAGCTCCCTTTTATCCATTACGCAGGGTCAACAATCATTAGTTCACGGTCAATATTGCTTCCTCTGTATCACCTCCCATTTCTCTATCCCAGATTGTATAAAACAAATCCTACACCTCATATCATGCCATCTGTAAGTATTTTAGAATGTATGTCCATAGAACAAGAACTCTTTTTTTTTCCCTTCCATGATACAGCCTCAGGAGGTCCTGAGAACGTGTGCCTGAGGACTCTTTTTTAACATAATCAAAATGCCATTATTATGCCTAAAATCATTCAATAATAATTTCTCAGTATCATCGAGTAAGCATAAGTGTTTAAATTTCCCTAATTGTCCTAAAATATTTTTCAGTTTTATGATTTGTCTGAATCAGAATCAAAGTAAAATTGATATACTACAATATGCTTTTTAAGGGTCTTTTAATCTACAGATGCTCTACCACCTCTTTTTCTTTTTTTTCTTTAAATTTTTGTTGAAAAAACAGGTTAGTTGTGCCCTAGTGGTTTCTAAAATCTAGATGTTGCTGATTCTGTTCTCACAGTGTTGTTTAACATGTTCATCTTTCCTTTGTATTTCCTATAAATTGATCATAATCTACGAACTTGATAAAATCTGATTTTTTTGGCAGAGTTGGGAATGTGACTTTCTGTCAGGAGGCACATTATGTCTGCTTGTTTCTCTTTTGTGATGTTAAGAACTATTGGTGATCATTGCTTAGCTCCATTAAAATGCCTGAAAATTTTTATTATATAAAATCAAAAAATAAATTTTAACACTTAATAGTAGAAAATGCAAATAGGAAAGAGGTATTCCTATATTTACTAACATGAAAATAACTGAGATATATTGGCACATGAAAAAAAAGTTGGGAAATATTATGCATAGAATAATCCCATATATTATTACAATTATGTGTATGTAAATATGCACATGGGAATATAAATGTACAGAAGAAAATCGTTAGGCAGTGGGTGAGTGGGTGTATGAATAGTGAAAGGACATTTTTTTTTTTTTTCTATTTTTTGAGACGGACTCTCACTCTACCACCCAGGCTGGAGTGCAGTGGTGTGACCTCGGCTCACTGCAACCTCCACCTCCCAGGTTCAAGTGATTCTCCTGCCTCAGCCTCCAGAGTAGCTGGGATTACAGGCATGCACCACCATGCCTGGCTAAATTTTGTAGTTTTAGTAGAGATGGGGTTTCACCATGTTAGCCAGGCTGGTCTCGAACTCCTGACCTCATGTGATCTGCCCACCTTGGCTTCCAGGAGTTCAAGATCAGCCTGGGCAACATGGCAAAAGCCTGCCTCTACCAATAAATAAATAAATTAGCTGGGTGTGGTGGCATCAGCCTGTGCTCCCAGCTACTTGGAAGGCTGAGGTAGAAAGATTACTTGAGCCTGGGAGGTCAAGGCTACAGTAACCCATTATCTCCCACCACTGCACTCCAGTCTGGATAATAGAGAGAAATTTTGTCTCAAAAAAAAAAAAAAAAGAAGAAGAGGCCAGGTACAGTGGTTCATGCCTGTAATCCTAGCACTTTGAGAAGCCAAGGCAGATGAATCACTTGAGGCTGGACATTCAAGGCCAGACTGGGCAACATTACAAAACCCCATCTCTACAAAAAATTAGCTGGGCATGGTGGTGTGCACCAATAGTCCCAGGTACTCAGGAGGCTGAGGCAGAAGGATCATTTGAGTCCAGGTGGAGGCTACAGTGAGCCAAGATCACCACTGCACACCAGCCTGGGTGACAAAGTGAGACCCTGTCTCAAAAAAGACAAAGAAAAAGGGAATGCCATTAATTTTTATATGTTGATTTTGTATCCTGCAACTTTACCGATTCGTTTATCAGTTCTAGGAGTTTCTTGGTTGAGGTTTTAGATTTCTCTCTATATAAGATCACATCATCTGCAAAAAATAAATAAATGACCTTTTCTAATCTGGATGCCTTTTATTTCTTTCTCTTGCTTGATTGCTCTGGCTAGGACTTCTAGTACTGTGTTCAACAAGAGTGGTGAAACTGGGCATCCTCACCGGGGCAACAGAGCAAGACTGTCTAAAAAAAAAAAAAAAGGCAGCCTTGTCTAATTCCCGTTTTTAGAGAAAGGGCTTTCAGCTTTTCCCCATTCAGTATGATGTTAGTTAGTATGATGGGTTTGCCTTATATGGCCTTTATTATATTGAGGAATGTTTCTTCTAAGTTCCTAGTTTGAGAGTTTTTATCATGTAAGGATTTGGATTTTATCAAATGTTTTTTCTTTGTATATTGAAATGATCATATGGTTTTTGTCCTTCATTCTGTTGATGTGATGTAGCACATTTATTCATTTGCATATGTTGAACCATCTTTACATCCCTGGGATAAATCTCAATTGATCATGGCATATTATCTATTTGATGTGTTGTTGGCTTTCGTTTCCTAGTATTTTATCGAGGATTTTTGCATCTATGTTCATCAAAGATGTTGGCATGTAGGGTTTTTTTTGTTGTGTCCTTGTCTGGTTTTGGTTTGAAGCTGGTATCACCTTGATACCCAAACCAAACAAAGATGGTATGGAAGAGAGTATCACCAATATCCCTCATGAATATAAATACTAAAATCCTTAACAAAATATTAGAACATAGAATTTGGCATTGTATAAAAGAAATTATACAACATGACCCAGTGCTGTTTATACCTGGCATGTAAATATGATTCAACATTCAAAAATCAGTCAGTGTAATCTACTATAGTAACAGACTGAGGAAGAAAAATCATGGAATCATATCAATTAAGGCAGAAAATATTTGATAATATTTAGAACTCTTTTATGAGTAAGATTCTCATAAACATAAAAATAGAGAACTTCCCCAAGAATATAAAGAGCATATACATGAGAACCTACAGCTAGCATCATATTAAAGGTGAAAACTGAGTATTTTCCCCTTAAAATTGGTAAGGAGACGAGGATGTCTTTCTCCTCTCACCATCCTTATTCATGAGGATGAGGGCTGCAAGTTCTATTCAGGTCAATAAGACAAGAAAAGGAAATGAAAGACATACAAATCAGAACAGAAAAAATAAAACTGTTCCTGTTTCTATATAACGTGATTGTCTACATAGAAAACCTTAAGAAATCTTCAAAAAAAAAAAAGACCCCTCCTAGAATAAGAGAGTTCAGTAAATATGGAAGATGTAAGATAAATACACAAAAATTTATTGTATTTCTATAAAAATGCAATGAATATATAGACACTGAAATTAAAAATACAATACCATTTTAAATTGTTCAAAAAGAAAAAAGAAATACTTAAGTGTAAGTCTAACAAAAATGTATGGGACTTGTATGCTGAAAACTACAAAATACTAAGGAAAGTAACTTTAAAGAAGATCTAGGCTGAGCGTGGTGGCTCACGCATGCAATCCCAGCACTTTGAGAGGCCAAAGTGGGAGAATTGCTTGAGGCCAGAAGTTCAGGACCAGCCTGGGCAACATAGCAGGACTCTGTTCCTAAAACAAGGAAGAATAATAAGAAGAAGATCTAAATAAATTGAGACATACTGTGTTCATGGATTGTAAGATTTAATATAGTAAATATATCAATTATCCACAAATTGATATATATGTTTAAAGCAATTCCTATCAAAATCTCAGCAAGATTTTAATAATATAGACAAAATTATTCTAAAATATGTATGAAAAAACAAAGGAACTAGAATAGCTGAAATAATCGTAAAAGTAAAAAAGCAGAACAATTTAGGAGGAATCATTCTACCCAATTTCAATATTTACATAGCTATGGTTGTCAAGATTGTGTAGTATTGGCTTAGTGACAGAGTCGTCAATCAATAGAACTGAAAAGAGAACCCAGAAATAGACCCACAAATGCCCCCAATAAATTGTATTTATTGATACAAAATATTTGTATGTATTTATGAGGGGCATGTGATATTTTGTTACATGCAGTGACCAAGTCAGAGTATTTGCTATAAATTTGTACAAAGTTGCAAGCATAATTCAGTGAAGATAGCCTTTTTAACCAATGATGATGGAGCAATTGAATATATATTCATAAGCAAAAAATAAACCTCAACCTAACCTCAGACCTCATATAAAAATTAAACCTCAAATGTATCATGGACTTAAGTTTATATATAATATAAAACTATAAAACATTTAGGAAAAAACATACTAGAAAAATCTTCTGGATCTAGAGCTCAGCAAGGAGTGTTCAGACTAGACACCAAAAGCATGATCTGTAAAAGGAAAAATTGAGGTACATCAAAGTTAAAACTTTTTCTCTGCAAGAGACTCTGTTAAAAGGAAGAAAGGCCGGGTACGGCGGCTAATGCCTGTAATCCCAGTACTTTGGGAAGCCAAGGTGGGCAGATCACCTGAGGTCAGGAGTTCAAGGCCAGCCTGGCCAACATGGTGAAACCCTGTCTCTACTAAAAATATAAAAAATTAGCCAGATATGGTGGTGCATGCCTGTAATCCCAGCTACGCAGGAGGGAGGCATGAGAATCACTTGAACCCAGGAGGCGGAGGTTGCAGTGAGCTGAGATCCTGCCACTGCACTGCAGCCTGGGTGACATAGTGAGTCTCCGTCTGGGGAAAAAAAAAAAAAAAAAAAAAGGAAGAAAGATAAGCTACAGACTGGGAGAAAATATTTGCAAACCACATATCCAGCAAAGAACTGAATCTATAGAATACATAAAGAACACATATAGAATAAATAAAGAGCTCAAAACTCAACAGTTAAAAAAAATCTAGTTAGAAAAGATATAAATGGAAATTTCACTGAAGAGGATGTACAGGTGGCAAATGAGAGTGTGGAAAGATACTTACCATTGTTAGCCATTAGAAAAATGCAAGTTAAGGCTGGGAGCGGTGGCTCACACCTCTAACTCCAACACCTTGGGAGGCAGAGGTGGGCAGATTGCTTGAGCCCAGGAGTTTGAGACCAGCTGGGCAACGTGGCAAAACCCCATCTCTACAAAAAAATACAAAAAAATTAGCTGGGTGTGGTGACATGCACCTATAGTCCCAGCTACTTGGGAAGGTGAGACAGGAGGATGGCTTGAGCCCTGGAGGTGGAGGTTGCAGTGAGGCGAGATTGCATCACTGTACTCCAGCCTGGACAACATAGTGAGAAACTGTATCTACAAAAATAAAATAAAATAAAATAAAATAAAATTAAATTAAATTAAATTAAAATAAAATACAAAAATTTGCAAGTTAAAACTGCAATTAGGTAACATGACACATCCATCAGATTGGCTAAATTTAAAAACAGTAACAATATCAAATGCTGACAAGTGTCCAGAAACACCAAATCACCCATACTTGCTAATGGGAATATAAATGGTGCCACCATTCTGGAAAATTGTTTGGTAGTTTCTTAAAAACCTAATGCACAGGTAGATCCAAAATCAATCGTTAAGTAACAAAACAAGTTACAGAACAATATGCATAATTTGGTCTTCTTTTAAAATTTTATTTCAATCGTTTTGGGAGAACAGGTGGTGTTTGGTTACATGGAAAGGTTCTTTTGTGCTGATTCCTGAGATTTTGGTGCACTCATCACCTGAACAGTGTACACTGTACCCAATGTGTAGTCTTTTATTCCTCACCCTCCTCCCACTTCTCCCCCCAAGTCCCCAGAGTTCATTATATCATTCTTATGCCTTTGCATCTTCATAGCTTAGTTCCCACTTATAAGTGAGAACCCATGATGTTTGGTTTTCCATTCCTGAGTTACTTGACTTAGAATAATGGTTGCTGTGAATGCCATTATTTTGTTCTTTTTTATAGCTGAGTAGTATTCCATGGTATATATATAAAACACATTTTCTTTAACTTGTTGGTTGATGAGCATTTAAGACTGGTTCCATATATTTGCAATTGTGAACAGTGTACTATAAACATGCTGTGCAAGTGTCTTTTTCATATAATGACTTATTTTCCTCTGGGTAGATACCCAGTGGTGGGGTTGTTGGATCAAATGGTAGTTCTACTTTTAGTTCTCTGTGGAATCTCCACACTGTTTTCCATAGTGGTTGTACTAGTTTATATTCCCACCAGCAGTGTAGAAGTGTTCTCTTTTCACCACCTCCAAGCCAACATCTGTTATTATTTATTTTTTAATTATGGCCATTTTTGCAGAAGTAAGGTTGATCTTATTTTTAAAAGCACAACACAAAACAAAATGTATATGGGTATTTATATTTGTATTTGCTTAGGAAAAATTGTGGAAGGGATACACAGGCAACCATGAATTGCAGTAATCACTTCACTATGGAATAAGAAATGAGATTGAAGAAAACACATTTTCTAGATGTGATTAGAAGTAGTCTCTATAGCAGCACTATACAATAAAACATTTTGTGGTGCAGAATTAGAAAAAACTATTTTAAAATTCATATGGATCCAGAAAGGAGTCTGTATAGCCAAGACAATCCCAACCAAAAAGAACAAAGCCGGAGTCATCACTCAACTGAATTTCAAACTATACTGTAAAGCTACAATAACCAAAACTGCACGGTACTGGTACAGAAACAGACACACAGACAAATGGAACAGAATAGAGAACTCAGAAATAAGATCACACATCTACAACCATCAGATCTTTGACAAACCTGACAAAAACAAGCATTGGAGAAAGAACTCCCTATCTAATAAGTGGTGCTGGGACAACTGGCTATCCATTTGCAGAAAATTGAAACTGGACCCCTTCCTCACACCTTATACAAAAATTAACTCAAGATGGATTAAAGACTTAAATGTAAAACCCAAAACTATAAAAATCCTAGAAGAAAATCTAGGCAATACCATTCAGGACATAGGCATGGGCAAAGATTTCATGATAAAATTGCCAAAAGCAATTGCAACAAAAGCCAAAATTGATGAATGGGATCTAATTAAACTAAAGAGCTTCTGCACAGCTAAAGAAACTATCATCAAAGTGAACAGGCAACCTACAGAGTGGGAGAAAATCTTTGCCCTTTTTTTTTTTTTTTTTTTTTTTGAGACAGAGTCTCACTCTGTCACCCAGGCTGGATAGCAATGGCACAATCTCAGCTCACTGCAACCTCTGCCTCTCAGGTTCAAGCGATTCTCCCACCTCAGCCTCCTGAGTAGCTGGGATTACAGGCATCTGCCATCATGCCCAGTATTTTTGTGGAGACAGGGTTTCACCATGTTGGCCAGGCTGGTCTCAAACTCCTGACCTCAGGTGATCTGCCCACCTCAGCCTCCCAAAGTGCTAGGATTACAGGCTTGAGCTACTGCACCTGTCCGAAAACCTTTGCAATTTATCCATCCGACAAATGTCTAATATCCAGAATCTACAAGGAACTCAAACAAATTTACAAGAAAAAGACAAACCCATTAAAAAGTGGGCAAAGGACATGAACAGACATATCTCAAAAGAAGACATTCATGCAGGCAACAAACACATGAAAAGAAAGCTCAACATTACTGATCATTAGAGAAATGCAAATCAAAACCACAATGAGATATCATCTCATGCCAGTCAGAATGGCCATTATTAAAAAGTCAAAAAACAACAGATGCTGGTGAGGTTGTAGAGAAATAGGAATGCTCTTACACTATTGGTGGGAATGTAAATTAGTTAAACCATTGTAGAAGATGGTGTGAAAGAATGATCAAGCAAAATAAAAATTAAGAATACTTGTTTACAAAAAAAAAAAAAATGTGTGATGATGGAAAGGTTCAACACTATGTTGTTCAACAGGGTAGCTCCTAGCCATCTGTGTTTATTGCACACTTTAAAAGTGGCTAATGCAACTGAGGACTGAATTTTTAATTTAATTCCATTTTAATTAATTTTAATTTTAAAATAGCCATATATGGCTACTGGCTGGCTTAGTGAACAGCACAGCTCTAGAATCAAAATGAATATATCCACAGCCTATTTCCACCACTTTCAAGTTATTTAAACACAAGTACATTTCTGAATGCCTCAATTTCTTCACCTATGGAATCTGGATGATAGGAATATTTTACTAGCAAAGTTGTTGTATAATCTCCTCAGAACTATACTTATATATTGATATAATTATTTCACCTCTTATTTAATACTTTGTGTACTTTTTAAATTTTGTACAATAAACATGTATTTCCTTTGTAAGTTTTATAAAATATATTTTTGAAAGCTAAAACTTCTCTGGTTTTGTACAGTCTTTCTTCCATGAATAGAAAAAAATTCACTTTGAGTCCCACTTTTCCCTCTACCCAGTTACAAGTTAAGGCTGACATTATTACATGGGCAATGGTGTAAAGTCAGAAATGGCTGACCTGTGGGTTCCTAAGAAGCCTGAGACTTCTCCGGCTTAAGCTCACATTTTTGCAGTGAGGCACTACTGGATACCTTCCTGGGCCTCTAAGGCTATTTATTTCCTTGAGCTATTTTCCTTCCCCTCTCACATACCTGAGATGTTCCACCCTTTAGAACTATCATGACCTGCTGTCTTCATGGAGCTTAGCATCTAGAGGTGGAGAAAGAGAAAACAAGTAATCAACTAATGTTGTAACAGATGCTATGAATAAAAGAAACAAAGCTGCAGATTAAAAAAAAAAAGGTTGGCAGAAATATTGATCAGAAACAGTCTTTCTGAGAAAATGACTATGACGGTGAATTTTATGTATCAACTTGACTTGGTCACAGGATGCCTACATAGCTAAACATTATTTCTAGGTCTATCTGTGAGAATATTTCCAGACAAGATTAGCATTTGAATTGGTGGACTGAGTAAAGCAGCTGGCCCTCCCCAATATGAGTGGACACCCTCCAGTCTGTGAGGACCTGAATAGAACAAAAAGATGGAGGAAATTAACTCTGCCTGACCACTTGAACTGGAACATCAATCTTCTCTGTTCTCAGTGAATCTGGTTTGCAGGCCTTTAGACCCAGACTATCATCTACACCATCAGCCCTCTGTCTTTCAGGCCTTTGAACTACCCTACCAGTTTTTCTATGTCTTCAGCTTGTAGAACAGCAAACCAAGGGACTTCTCAGCCTCCATAATTGCATAAGCCAATACCGTATAATAAATCTCTTCCTTTATAGGTAGAGAGAGAGAGATGGCATGAAATGAGCCAAAGGCATAGCCTTGCAGATAGAGGAAACAGAATGTGCAAAGACACTAAGTTGAGGAATAACTTGGAATTTCCTAGACATATAAAGAAAGCCGGTATGACCAGAAAGCAGTGAGTGAGAGAAAGATGGTGTGGACCATATTTGAATAACTACCAGAAAAAAGCCATATGACACAGGCCAAAGGAAGAACTGGGGGTTCATTCTAAGGACTATGTATAGATGGATTGTGTAATATAATTCACATTTTAAGGATATTGCTTTATCAGAAATGGAAGAATAATGGCCCTATAGTGCATCAAGCCTTCCTCTTGTTGGCTATTATTAAAAATGGCATCAGTGAGGCTGGGCATGGTAGCTCACATCTGTAATCCCAACACTTTGGGAGGTCAGGAGTTTGAGACAAGCCTAGGCAACATGTAAGATCCTGTCTCCACAAAAAATTTTTATAAAATGAATTTTTTAAATGGCATAAGGGCTCTTTTCACTCTAAGGGGTCATTTCAGTTACCTATTGCTACATGCAAAACACATTAAAACTTAGTGGCTTAAAACCACATTATATTATTATCTCTTATGTTTCTGGAGCATTCTCATTTGGGGTCACTTAAGCAGTTGCTATCAGATGATGGCTTGGACTGTAATCATCTGAAGGCTTGACTGGGCTAGACATCCAAGATGACTCCCTCCCATGGCTTGCAGTTGATGCTGGCTTTTGGTAGAAAACTCAGCTGGGCTGTCAACTACGGTATCTACCCAGCCTCTTCATCTGGCTTGGGCTGCTTTCATTATGACAGTTTGGTTCTGAATAAGAGCATCAAACAGAGAGCATCTTAAGAACAAGTGTTCCAAGAGGTCCAAGTGAAAGCTGCAAGCCTTGTTTTTTTTTTAGACAGAGTTTCACTCTTGTTGCCCAGGCTGGAGTGCAGTGGTGCAATCTTGGCTCACTGTAACCTCCACCTCCCAGGTTCAAGCAATTCTCCTGCCTTAGCCTCCCAAGTAGCTGGGATTACAGGTGTGTGTCACCACACCTGGCTAATTTTTGTATTTTTAGCAGAGACAGGGTTTCACCATATTGGCCAAGCTGGTCTTGAACTCCTGACCTCAGGTGATCTGCCCACCTCAGCCTCCCAAAGTGCTGGGTTTACAGGTGTGAGCCACTGTACCTGGCCTGAAAGTTGCAAGGCTTCTTATGATCTAACTTCAAAAGTTCCCGTAACATCACCTCTGCCACATTCTATAGGTCGAAGATCACTGAGGCTAACCCAGATTCAAGGTGAGAGGAATTAGAGTTCACCTGTCAATGACTGGACACTGTATTAGTTATCTACCACTGGTAAAAACAAACAAACAAACAAAACCCACACAACTATACTGACTTTAAATCACATATATTTATTAACTCATAGTTTCCAGGGGTCAAGAATCTGGGCAGGGCTTGATTGGGTCCTCTGCTTTAGGGTCTCTTACAAGGAAGCAACCAAGGTATCTGCCAGGGCTGGGTCTTATCTGGAGACTCAACTGGGAAAGGATACACTGCTCATTTGCATGGCTGTTGGCAGATTTTAGTTCCTAGTGAGCTATTGGACTGAGGGCCTCATCTTCTTGCTAGCTGTCACACAAAAGCTTCCCTGAGTTCCTTGCCATGGGGGTCTCTCCATATGATGATACCTTACTTCATTAAAGCCAAAAAGGAAGAGAGCCATTAGAGAAACTGGTAGCAAAACAAAAGCTGCAATCTCATTTGCTTCATTCTGTTGGTTAGATGCAATTCACTAGGCTGGTCCACACTCATGAGTAGGGGATTTCACAAGGATGTGAATATCAGGAGTGTGAATCATTAAGGACTCTCTGAAAGTCTGCCCACCACAAGTACAAAAGAATGCAGGGCTGTCTTTAATCTACCACAGAAGCTTGCTGCTAAAGACTAAAAGGAGACTGACAAATATTAATATATTCAACAGTATTTACTGAGTGCCAGCTATGTGCCATCCAGACATCAGAGCAGGCCCAAGAAATACAGGGATGAATAAGACATCATAACTGCCCCCAAGGAGGTCATAGGCCAAAAGAAGAGAAAGACCTTTAAGGAAATTGCAGTGTAATAAATGCAAGAATAAAAACACATGCAATGCGGCTGGGCACGGTGGCTCACACCTGTAATCCCAGCACTGTGGGAGGCCAAGGCAGGAGGATCACCTGAGCCTGGGAGTTCAAGACCAGCCTGGGCAACATGGCAAGACCCAGTTTCTATAAAAATAAAAATAAAAAACACATGCAATGTATAGAATGGCAAAGAGGATGATATAGAGAGGTCTATCAGGAAAAGATGAAGCCTGACCAGGGTACTGAGAGGTGAATGGGAGTTTATGAGATAAACGAAGTTATGCTAAGCCATGGAACTGGCATTGCAATAGAGCAAAATGAGAAACAGCATGGTGTATGTATAGGATAATGAACCTTTTGGCTTGTCTGGAGGATAAAGTAAAAGAAACAGGAAGAACCAAGAGTGGACAGTGACCCAAGAAAAGGTGTAGTCCTAGGGGCCACATTAAGATGCATCAATTCTCTAGGTCATGAGGTAAAAGACAGAATCCTCAGCAGGAGAGAAATATGACACATACATACTTTAAGGTCATCTCTGCAGGCGTTGCATGGAGAATTAGCTGAAGGAAAGTGAAGGGAGAGAGAGAGTAGACAGGTGAGGCTAATGCAGTAATCTAGTCCAAGTTAACCAAATTAGAACTGAAAGTGCAGCTGTGGGGAATGGAAGGGTAGTTATGCATTAAAGGCAGTCATGGGATATAATCAATAGACTGTACTTATTGCTTGCAGTGGATGGAAGAAGAGCTTTGGGAAAGAATGAAGCAAGATGGAAAAATCCAGGCTACATCTGGTTTTTGGACTCAAAGCTGTTTGTGGAAGAAGGAGGGGCTTTAAAAGGCTAAGTTCACGTCTGGACACAGAAGGCTGCAGCTGACTGTGAAATACCCAGGTGGAAATGTGAAGCTAGCAGTTAACAACTGGTTCTGAAGCTCAGGAGAGACATCTGACTGCAATAGAGATTTAGGAATCTCCAGTGAGTAGGGAAAAGATGCCTAGAAAGAAGTATGCACTAGGTTGAGTCCTGAGGGACATAAACACGAAAGGATAGAAAAAGAGGAGCCAGCCACTGCTGCTAAGAACAAAAGTAGAGGATGTGTTAGTTTGTTTTACGTTGCTATAAAGGCATACTTGAGACTGGGTAATTTATGAAGAAAAATGTTTATTTTGGTTCACCATTCTGCAGGCTGTACATAGCACCAGCATCTGTTTAGCTTTTGGTGAGGCCTGAGGAAGCTTTCACTCATGGCAGAAGGCACAAGGAGAGTAGGCATGTCACATGGAGACAGAAGGAGCAAAAGAGCTGCCAGGCTCTTTTAAATAACCAGCTCTTGCATTTACTATTAGAGCAAGAATTTCCTCATTACCACAGGGAGGGCACTAAGCCATTCATGAGTGGTCTGCCCTCATGATCCAAATACCTCCCACAAGGACCCACTTCCAACATGGGGATCACATTTCAACATGAGATTTGGAAGGGACAAAAATCAAAATGATATCATTCTGCCCTGGCCCCCCAAATGTCATGTCCTTCTCACATTGCAAAATGTAATAATGCCTTCCCAATAGTCCCCCAAACTCTTAACTCAATGCAGCGTTAACTCAAAAGCCCCAAGACCAAAGTTCAAAGCCTCATCTAAGACTCAAGGCAAGTTCCTTCCACCTATAAGCCTGTAAATCAAAAACAAGTTATTTACTTCCAAGGTACAATGGTAGAACACACATTGGGTAAATATTCCCATTCCAAAAGAGAGAAATTGGCCAAAAGAAAGGGGCAGCAGACCCCATGCAAGTCTAAAACCCAGCAGGACAGATATTAAAGCTTAAATATCCAAAGTAATCTCCCTTGGATCCATGTTTCACATCCTGGGCACACTGGTGGGAGAGGTAGGCTTCCAAGTTTTGGGCAGCTTCACCCCTATGGCTTTGCTAGTTATAGCTCAAGTGGCTGCTCTCATGAATTGGAGTCTGATGTCTGTGGCTTTTCCACACTAGGGTTGCCGGCTGCTGGTGGTGCCACCATGCTGGAATCTGGACAGTGGCAGTCTTATTCCAACAACTCCACTAGGCAGTGCCCAACTGGGGACTCTGTATGAGGGCTCCAACCCCACATTTCACCTTGGTATTGTGACAGTAGAGGCTCTTGCAGGGAAGGGCTCCACCCCGCAGCAGGCTTCTGCCTGGGCACCCAGGCTTTCCCATTCAACCTCTGAAACCCAGGTAGAAGCTGCCAAGCCTTCTTCACTCTTGCATTCTGTACACCTACAGGCCTAACACCACATGGGAGCTATCAAGGCTTATGGCTTGTGGCTTCCAGGCTGCATGCTCTGAAGTGGCAGCCAGAGCTGAACTTGCAGCCCTTTGAACTCTCTTTTAGTCATTCTAGTCTCTCTAGCAAGCAATCACTTTGTAGCCTGTTTGAATTCCTCCCCTAAAAAAGCTCTTTCCAGGGCCAGGCGTGGTGGCTCACACCTGTAATCCCAGCACTTTGGGAGGCCAAGGCAGGTGGATCACGAGGTCAGCAGTTTGAGACCAGCCTGACCAACATGGTGAAACCCCATCTCTACTAAAAATATAAAAAAAAATAGCTGGGTGTGGTGGCAGGCACCTGTAATCCCAGCAACTTGGGAGGCTGAGGCAGGAGAATTGCTTGAAACTGGAAGGCAGAGGTTGCAGTGAGCCAAAATTGTGCCACTGTACTCTAGTCTGGGCAACGAGAGCAAAACTCCATTCTCAAAAAAAAAAAAAAAAAAGCTCTTTCCTTCTATACCACATAGCCAAGCTAAACATTTTCCAAACTCTTACACTCTGCTTTCAACTATAAATTCCCACTTTAAGTAATTCATTTGCTCCCACATCTGATCATAGGCTGTTAGGAGCAGCCATACCACCTCTTGAATGCTTTGCTGCTAGGAAATTTCTTCCACCAGATGCCCTGTCATCACTCGTCATTTTAACCTTCCACTAATCCCTAGGGCACAGACACAATGCAGCCAAACTCTTTGCTAAGGTGTAACAAGGGTGACCCTTGCCCAGTTTCTCATAAGTTCCTCATTTCCATTTAAGACTACATCAGCATGGCCTTCACTGTCCATAATTCTATGAGCATTTTGGTCACAACCACTTAACAAGTATCTAAGAAGTTCCAAACATTCCCTGGTCTGCCTGTCTTCTTATGAACCCTCCAAATTCTTCCAATCTCAGCCCAGTACCCAGTTTCAAAGCTGCTTCTACATTTTCAAGTGTCTTTATAGCAACACCTCACTCCTTGGTACCAATTTTCTGTGTTAGTCTATTTTGTATCATTATAAAAGAACACCTGAGACTGGATAGTTTATAAAGAAAACGGTTTATTTTGGCTCATGGTTCTGCAGGCTGTACGAGCATAGCACGAGCATCTGCTTGTCTTCTGATGAGGCTGCAGGAAGCTTTTATTCATGGCAGAAGGCACAGAGAAACAGGCATGTCACATGACAAAAAAAGGAAAAAGGATTAAGAGAGATGCCAGCCTCTTTTTAAAAACCTGCTCTGACATGAACTAAGAGTGAGAACACACTCATTACTGTCGGGAGGGCACCAAAGCCATTCATGAGGGATTTGCCCCATGACCCAAATATTTCCTACCAGGCCCCACCTCCAACATTAGGGATCACATTTTAACATGAGATTTGGAGGGGACAAAAATCCAAACAAAGGCCAGGCATGGTGGCTCAAGCCTGTAATCCCAGCACTTTGGGAGGCCAAGGCAGGATTGCTTGAGCCCAGGAGTTTGAGACCAGCCTGGGCAAAATAGGAAGACCCTGTCTCTACAAGAAAATTTAAATAAAAATTTTAAAAAATCCAAACTATATTAGAGGGGTAGAAAGAAAACCAGGATAAGTGGTGTCACTTCATGAGAGCAAAAGGGAAGACAGAGTTGAAAGAAAGATGGTTTGGTCACTGGGGTCAAATGTTACTACGAGATCAAATATAACAAGGAATGACAAATAGCCACTGCACTTATACTGAACTTTTGTTGGAGGGCTTCATTGGAAGGGGAGGAAAATTTTTTAAATCCTTTCTCTTATAGTGCCTAAATCACACATATCCATCTATCAATCAATGCAAGTTCTTTTCCTACTCTTAATTTTGTTGAAATGCAAAAACCATAAAATGCACCAATTTACACTAGTTCTTATATATCCATAAAGTTGTACAATCATCACCACTATCTAATATAAGAACGATTTTATCATCCCAAAATGAAACCGCATATCCCTCCATATTTCATTAACAGTCACTCTCTATTCTTTCCTCTTTTCAGCCCCCATAAGCCAGTAATCTTCATTCTGTTTCTGTATTTTCCTATTCTGGATATTTTATAGAACATAACATATACTACATTGTCTTCTGTGTCTGGCTTTGTTCACTTAGTACAATGTTTTTGAGGTTCACCTATGTTGTGGCATAAATCAGTATTTCATTTCATTTTATGGCTGAGTAATATTCATTAGATGGATATGCCAAGTTTTATTTATCCATTTATCAGTTTTGGACATTTATTTCTGTTTTTTTCCTCCTATAAGTAATGCTGCTATAAACATTTATGTTCAAATTTTTGTGTGAACAGATGTTTTTAATCCTCTTCGGTATATACCTAAAAGTGGAAGTTCTGTATCACATGGTGACTCTACATTGAACTTTTTGAGGAATGACCAGACTAGACTGCTTCCCAAAGTAGCTGCATCATTGTACATTCACAATTAAAGTGTACAAGAATGTTATCTTCTGGTTTTTGTTTGGTTGGTTTTGATTTTCCTTAATTACAGCTACCTTAGCAAGTGTAAAGTAATATTTCATTGTGGCTTTAGTTTCTAGTTACCTAATAACTAATAATGTTAAGGAGTTTTTCATGTAATTATTGGTCATTAGTTTTTTGGTTCGGTTTTGTTTTGGTTTTGAGGCAGAGTCTCACTCTATCACCCAGGCTGGAGAGCGGTGGCAAGAGCTCAGCTCACTATAACCTCTGCCTCCCAGGGATCAAGCGATTCTCCTGCCTCAGCCTCCCGAGTAGCTGGGATTACAGGCACCCACCACCACATCTGGCTAATTTTTATATTTTTAGTAGAGATGAGGTTTCACCATGTTGCCCAGGCTGGTCTCAAACTCCTGGCCTCAAGTGATCCGCTCGCCTCAGCATCCTGGAGTGCTGGGATTACAGGCGTGAGCCACCGTGGCTGGCCTGGTCATTTGTTTATCTTTTTGGAGATGTGCCTATTCAAGTTTTTGTCCATTTTTAAATTAATTATTTATCTTTTGTTGTTGAGTTATGAGTTATTTATATTATTAATTAATTAATTAATTTTAAAAATTGTTTTCTTGTGGATACAAGATCTCCCTATGTTGCCCAGGCTGGCCTCAAACCCCTGGGCTCAAGTAATCCTCCCACCTCAGCTTCCCAAACTGCTAGGACTACAAGCATGAGCCACTCTGCCTGGCAAGAGTTCTTTATATATTTGGGATAATAAACTCCTATCAGATGCCCTCTCTCACCACTCCTATTCAACATAGTGTTGGAAGTTCTGGCCAGGGCAATCAGGCAGGAGAAAGAAATAAAGCATATTCAATTAGGAAAAGGGGAAGTCAAATTGTCTCTGTTTGCAGATGACATGATTGTATATTTAGAAAACCCCATCATCTCAGCCCAAAATCTCCGTAAGTTGATAAGCAACTTCAGCAAAGTCTCAAGATACAAAATCAATGTGCAAAAATCACAAACATTTCTATACACCAATAATAGACAAACAGAGAGCCAAATCATGAGTGAACTCCCATTCACAATTGCTACAAAGGGAATAAAATACCTAGGAATCCAACTTACAAGGGATATGAAGGACCTCTTCAAGGAGAACTACAAACCACTGCTAAACGAAATAAAAGAGGACACAAACAAATGGAAGAATATTCCATGCTCATGGATAGGAAGAATCAATATTGTGAAAATGGCCATACTGCCCAAGGTAATTTATAGATTCAATGCTATAACCATCAAGTTACCATTGACTTTCTTCACAGAATTGGAAAAAACTACTTTAAAGTTCCTATGGAATCAAAAATGTGCCTGCATAGCCAAGACAATACTAAGCAAAAAGAACAAAGCTGGAGGCATCATGCTACCTGACTTCAAACTATACTACAAGGCTATAGTAACAAAAACAGCATGGTACTGGTACCAAAACAGACATATAGACCAATGGAACAGAATAGAAATCTCAGAAATACCACTACACATCTACAACCATCTGATCTTTGACAGACCCGACAAAAACAAGCAATGGGGAAAGGATTTCCTATTTAAAAAATGGTGCTGGGAAAACTGGCTAGTCATATGTAGAAAGCTGAAACTGGACCTCTTCCTTACATCATACAAAAAAAATTAATTCAAGATGGATTACAGACTTAAATGGGCTGGGTGCGGTGGCTCATGCCTGTAAACCCAGCACTTGGGGAGGCCAAGGCATGTGGATCATGAGGTCAGGAGATTGAGACCATCCTGGCCAACATGGTGAAACTCCATCTCTACTAAAAATACAAAAAATTACCCAGGCATGGTGGCAGGCACCTGTAGTCCCAGCTACTCAGGAGGCTGAGGCAGGAGGATGGGTGAACCCGGGAGGCAGAACTTGCAGTGAGCTGAGATTGCACCACTGCACTCCAGCCTGGGTGACAGAGCGAAACTCTGTCTCAAAAAAAAAAAAAAAAAAAAAAAGACTTAAATGGGTCCAGGTGCGGTGGATCATGCCTGTAATCCCAGCACTTTGGGAGGCCAAGGCAGGCAGATCATGAGGTCAAGAGACTGAGACCATTCTGGCCAACCAACATGGTGAAACGCCATCTCTACTAAAAATACAAAAATTAGCTGGGCATAGTGGCTCACACCTGTTGTCCCAGCTACTCAGGAGGCTGAGGCAGGAGAATTGCTTGAACCTGGGAGGTGGAGGTTGCAGTGAGCCGAGATCACACCACTGCACTCCAGCCCAGGCAACAGAGCAAGACTCCATCAAAAACAACAACAACAACAACAACAACCACAACAAAGACGTAAATATAACAAACCCTAGAAGAAAACCTAGGCAGTACCATTCAAGACATAGGCATGGGCAAGGACTTCATGACTAAAACACCAAAAGCAATGGCAACAAAAGCCAAAATAGACAAATGGGATCTAATTAAACTAAAGAGCTCCTGCACAGCAAAAGAAACTATCATCAGAGCGAACAGGCAACCTACAGAATGGGAGAAAATCTTTGCAATCTACCCATCTGACAAAGGGCTAATATCCAGAATCTACAAAGAACTTAAACAAATTTACAAGAAAAAAACAAACAACCCCATCAAAAAGTGGGCGAAGCATACGAACAGACACTTCTCAAAAAAAGACATTTAAGCAGCCAACAGACATATGAAAAAATGCTCATCATCACTGGCCATCAGAGAAATGCAAATCAAAACCATAATGAGATACCATCTCATGCCAGTTAGAATGGTGATCATTAAACAGTCAGGAAACAACAGATGCTGGAGAGGATAGAGGATATGGAGAAATAGGAACACTTTTACACTGTTGGCGGGAGTGTAAATTAGTTCAACCATTGTGGAAGACAGTGTGGCGATTCCTCAAGGATCTAGAACCTGAAATGTCATTTGACATAGCAATCCCATTACTGGTTATATACCCAAAGGATTATAAATCATGCTGCTATAAAGACACATGCACACATATGGTTATTGCAGCACTATTCACAATAGCAAAGACTTGGAACCAACCCAAATGTCCAACAATGATAGACTGGATTAAGAAAATGTGGCATGCTCTCCCTCTCCCTCTCCCCACGGTCTCCCTCTCCCTCTCCCTCTCCCCACGGTCTCCCTCTCCCTCTCCCTCTCCCCACGGTCTCCCTCTCCCTCTCTTTCCACGGTCTCCCTCTGATGCCAAGCCGAAGCTGGACTGTACTGCTGCCATCTCGGCTCACTGCAACCTCCCTGCCTGATTCTCCTGCCTCAGCCTGCCGAGTGCCTGCGATTGCAGGCGCGCGCCGCCACGCCTGACTGGTTTTCGTATTTTTTTGGTGGAGACGAGGTTTCGCTGTGTTGGCCGGGCTGGTCTCCAGCTCCTAACCGCGAGTGATCCACCAGCCTCGGCCTCCCAAGGTGCTGGGATTGCAGACGGAGTCTTGTTCACTCAGTGCTCAATGGTGCCCAGGCTGGAGTGCAGTGGCGTGATCTCGGCTCGCTACAACCTCCACCTCCCAGCCGCCTGCCTTGGCCTCCCAAAGTGCCGAGATTGCAGCCTCTGCCCGGCCGCCACCCTGTCTGGGAAGTGAGGAGCATCTCTGCCTGGCCGCCCATCGTCTGGGATGTGAGGAGCCCCTCTGCCTGGCTGCCCAGTCTGGGAAGTGAGGAGCGCCTCTTCCCGGCCGCCATCCCACCTAGGAAGTGAGGAGCACCTCTGCCCGGCCGCCCATCATCTGAGATGTGGGGAGCGCCTCTGCCCCACCTCCCCGTCTGGGATGTGAGGAGCGCCTCTGCCCGGCCGCCCCGTCTGAGAAGTGAGGAGCCCCTCCACCCAGCAGCCGCCCCGTCTGAGAAGTGAGGAGCCCCTCCGCCCGGCAGCCGCCCCGTCTGAGAAATGAGGAGCCCCTCTGCCTGGCAGCCACCCCGTCTGGGAAGTGAGGAGCATCTCCGCCCAGCAGCCACCCCATCCGGGAGGGAGGTGGGGGTCAGCCCCCGCCCGGCCAGCCACCCCGTCCGGGAGGGAGGTGGGGGGTCAGCCCCCGCCCGGCCAGCCGCCCTGTCCGGGAGGGAGGTGGGGGCGCCTCCGCCCGGCCAGCCACCCCGTCCGGGAGGTGGGGGGCACCTCTGCCCCACCGCCCCTTCTGGGAAGTGAGGAGCCCCTCTGCCCGGCCACCACCCCATCTGGGAGGTGTACCCAACAGCTCATTGAGAACGGGCCATGATGACAATGGTGGTTTTGTGGAATAGAAAGGGGGGAAAGGTGGGGAAAAGATTGAGAAATCGGATGGTTGCTGTGTCTGTGTAGAAAGAAGTAGACATGGGAGACTTTTCATTTTGTTCTGTACTAAGAAAAATTCTTCTGCCTTGGGATCCTGTTGATCTATGACCTTACCCCCAACCCTGTGCTCTCTGAAACATGTGCTGTGTCCACTCAGGGTTAAATGGATTAAGGGGGGTGCAAGTTGTGCTTTGTTAAACAGATGCTTGAAGGCAGCATGCTCGTTAAGAGTCATCACCACTCCCTAATCTCAAGTACCCAGGGACACAAACACTGCGGAAGGCCACAGGGTCCTCTGCCTAGGAAAACCAGAGACCTTTGTTCACTTATTTATCTGCTGACCTTCCCTCCACTATTGTCCTATGACCCTGCCAAATCCCCCTCTGCGAGAAACACCCAAGAATGATCAATTAAAAAAAAAAAGAAAAAGAAAATGTGGCATATATACACCATGGAATACTATGCAGCCATAAAAATGGATGAGTTCATGTCCTTTGCAGGGACATGGATGAAGCTGGAAACCATCATTCTCAGCAAACTATCACAAGAACAGAAAACCAAACACTGGATGTTCTCACTCATAGGTGGGAGTTGAACAATGAGAACACATGGAGACAGAGCGGGGAACATCATACACTGGGGCCTGTCAGGGGGTGGGGGCTTGGGGGAGGGATAGCATTAGGAGAAATACCTAATGTAGATGACGAGTTGATGGGTACAGCAAACAAACATGGCACCTGTATACCTATGTAACAAACGTGCACGTCATGCACATGTACCCTAGAATTTAAAGTATAAAAAATAAAATATATTAAAATAAAATAAACTCCTATCCGATATGTGATTTGTAAATATTTTGTTCCATTCTTTGGGTTGACTTTTCACTTTCGTGATGGTGTCCTTTGATGCACAAAAAGGTTTACATCTTGATGAATCTTAAATTTAGCTGATTAAAAAACAATTTAAAAACAGTCTCAGCATGGTGGTTCATCCCTGTAATCCTAGCACTTTGGGAGGTCAAGGCAGGAGGATCTCTTGAGCCCAGGAGTTCAAGTCCAGCCTGTACAACATAGAAAGACCCTGTCTCTAAAAAGAAAATAATTTAAAAAATTAAAAAAATTTTAAAAGGTTTATATTTTGATAAAGTCAAACATCTGTTTTTTTTCTTTGGTTGCTCATGATTTTGGTGTCATAACTAAGAATCATCTCCTGTATATACCCAAAGGAATATAAATCATGGTGCTATAAAGACACATGCACACGTATGTTTATTGCGGCACTACCCACAATAGCAAAGACTTGGAACCAACCCAAATGTCCATCAATGATAGACTGGATGAAGAAAATGTGGCACATATACACCATGGAATACTATGCAGCCATAAAAAATGATGAGTTCGTGTCCTTTGTAGGGATATGGATGAAGCTGGAAACCATCATTCTCAGCAAACTATCACAAAGACAAAAAACCAAACACCACATGTTCTCACTCATAGGTGGGAATTGAACAATGAGAACACTTGGACACAGAAAGGGGAACATCACACACCAGGACCTTTTGTGGGGTGGCGGGAGGGATAGCACTGGGAGATATACCAAATGTAAATGACCAGCTAATGGGTGCAACATGGCACATGTATACATATGTAACAAATCTGCACATTATGCACATGTACCCTAGAACTTAAAGTATAATAAAAAATAAAATAAAATAAAATAAATAATTTCTTAAAAAAAAAAGAATCATCTCCTATCCAAGGTATTGAAAATTTATGCTTATGTTTTCTTCTACATAAATTCTTTAAATTCCTTGCATGGCAAGTGAATAATAAAGAGTTGTTAAATTTTGAATGAAAGATCAATGAGTGGGGGAGGTTAGAAAAATTAACGTAGGCCAGGCATGGTGGCTCATGCCTATAATCGCAGCACTTTGGGAGGCCAAGTCAGGCAGATCACCTGAGGTCAGGAGTTCCAGACCAAGCTGGCCAACATGGTGAAATCCCACCTCTACTAAAAATACAAAAATTAGCAGGGTGTGATGGCGGGTGCCTATAATCCCAGCTGGTCTTGGGAGGCTGAGGCAAGAGAATCACTTGAACCTGGAAGGCAGAGGTTGCAGTGAGTTGAGATTGCGCCATTGTACTCCAGCCTGGGTGACAGAGCAAGACTCCATCTCAAAAAAAGAAAAAAAAAAAGAAGAAAAAAGAAAAGTTAATGTAACTTTTTTTTTTCTTAAAATGTTCGCAGCTGGAAGTGGTGGCTCACGCCTGCAATCCTAGCACTTTGGGACGCCAAGGCAGGTGGATCACCTGAGGTCAGGAGTTAGAGACTAGCCTGGCCAACATGTTGAAACCCTGTCTCTGCTAAAAACACAAAAAAATTAGCCAGGTGTGGTGGCAGGCGCCTATAGTCCCAGCCACTCCAGAGGCTGAGATATGAGAATTGCTTGAACCTGGGAGGTGGAGGTTGCAGTGAGCCAAGATCATACCATTGTACGCCAGTGTGGGTAACAAGAGTGAAACTCCATCTCAAAGAAAAAAAAAAGTTTGAAGCTGGGTGTGGTGGCTCATGCCTGCAATTCCAGAGCTTTGGGAGGCCAAGGGGAGCAGACCACTTGAGCCCAGGAATTCAAGATCAGCCTGGGCATCATGGTGAAATCCTGTCTCTACAAAAAAATACAATAATTAGCCTGGTGTGGTGGCACACACCTGTAGTCCCAGCTACCGGAGAGGCTGAAGTGAGATCACTTGAGCCTGGGAGGTGGATGCTGGAGTGAGCCATGATCATGCCACTGCACTCCAGCCTGGGCAACAGAGCAAGACCCTGTCTCAAAAAAAAAAAAAAAAAAGTTTGAATCTATGGAAAACTAAACAAAGCAAAAAAGTGTGAATCTGGCTAGGTGCAGTGGCACTTTGGGAGGCTGAGGTGGGTGGATAGCTTGAGGGCAGGAGTTCAAGACCAGCCTAGCCAACATGGCAAAAACTCCCCTCTACTAAAACTCAAAATAAAAAGCTGGGCATGGTGGCATGTGCCTGTAATACCAGCCACTCAAAAAGCTAATGCAGGAGAGTTGCTTGAGCCCAGGGAGCAGGGGTTGCATTGAGCCAAGATCACACCACTGCACTCCAGCCTGGGCGATCCTATTCATTTGGAATGTACCAATGAACCAAAGACCCCTGGCCTTTTTAACTTATTTTCTCTTTTTTTTTTTTTTTTTTTTTGAGACAGAGTCTCACTCTGTTGCCCAGGCTGGAGGGCAGTGGCACAATCTCGGCTCACGGCAACCTCTGCCTTCTGGGTTTAAGCAATTCTTCTGCCTTAGCCTTCCTAGTAGCTGGGATTACAGGTATGCATCACCACACCCAGCTAATTTTTGTATTTTGATTTTTTAAATCTGCAAAAAACCTGCAACTAATACCATACATAATGGTGAAAAACTAGATGCTTTTTCACGGAGATTAGGAAGAAGGCAAGGATATTCCCTCTCACTACTTCTTTCTAACATCATACTGAAAGTCCTCGCTAATGCAATAAGACAAGAAAAGCAAGAAAAAGACATACAGATCACAAAGGAAGCAATACAGCTCTTTGTTCACATGTGACATGATTGTCTATAGAAAATCTCAAAGAATTGACAAAAAAAAATTCCTGAAATCAATAAGCAATTACATCAAGGTTCAGGATACTAGGTTAATATCCAAAATCTATTGCTTTCCTATATGCCAGAAATTAAAAACTGGATTTTAAAATTAAAAACAATACATTAGCACCAAAATAATAAAATAGGTACAAAGCTAACAAAATATATGCAAGAGCTGTATGAAGAAAACTTTGAAAAACTGATCAAAGAAATTGAAGAACTAACTAAATAAAAAGGTATACCATGTTCACGGATAGGAAGAGTCAATATTGCTGTCAGTTCTGCCCAACTTGATGAATAGATTCCAATCAAAATCCTAGAAAGCTGTTTTTGTGAAAATTGACAAACCAATTCTACAGTATATATGGAGAAGCAAAAGACTCAGAGAAGCCAATACAAAACTGAAAGGTTAGAACAAAGTCAGAGGACTGACACTACCCAACTTTAAGTCTTACCATAATTGAACTACAATAACTTTGAGCTACAGGAATCAAACTGTATTATTGCTGAAAAAATAGACAAAGAGATAAGTGCAACAGAAGAGAGAACCCAGAAACAGACTTATACATATACAGTCATTTCACCTTTGACAAAGAAGTAAAAGCAATACAACAGAGCAAATGGTGTCTTATCAGATGGTGCTGAAACAATTGGATGTCCACACATTAAAAAAGTGAACCTAGACACAAACTTTATTCCTTTCACAAAAATTAAATCAAAATGGATCATAGCCCTAAATGTAAAATGCCAAACTACAAAATTCATACAAGATAACAGAAGAATATCTAGATAACCTTGGGGTTGGCAATGACTTTTTAGATACAACACTAAAGACATGATCCATGAAAGAAAAAAGTGACAAGTTGGAATTTAATAAAATTAAAAACTTCTGCTTTGCAAAAAACACCATCAGTAAAAAGACAAGCTATGGACTGGGAGAAAATATTTGCAAAGGACATATCTGATAAAACATACAAAGAACTCTTAAAACTCAACAGTAAGATAATGAACCAGCTGATTAAAAAATGGCCAAAATATCTTAATAAACATTTTTCAAGATATACAGCTGGCAAATAAGCATAAGAAATATGTTTAACATCTTATGTTATTAAGGAATGCAAATTAAAGCAACAATGACATACCAGTACATTCCAATTAGAATGGCTAACATCCAGCACTAAATGCTGGCAAGGATGTGGGGCAATAGGAACTCTCAATCATTGCTGGTGTGAATACAAAATGGCTCAGCCACCTTGAAAAACAGTGTGGCAGTTTCTTACAGAACTAAACATTCTCTTATCAGACAATGCAATAATTGTGTTCCTTGATATTTACCTAAATCAATTGAAAACTTATGTCTATACAAAAGCCTGTGTGCACATGAATGTTTATGGAAGTTTTATTCATAATTTCCAAAACTTGGAAGCAACTAAAGCAAATTAATAAACAAAAATAAGTTGTGATACATCCAGACAATGGAATATTATTTAGCAATAAGAAGAAATGAGCTGTGTAGCTATCAAAAGAATGGAGGAACCTTAAATGCATATTGTTAATTGGAAGAAATCAATCTGAAGAGGCTACATACTGTATGACCCCCAATTATATGACATTCTGAAAAAGATAGAACTATGGAGACAGTGAAAAGATCAGATCAGTGACTTTCAGGGATTTGGGGAGAGGGAAGGATGACTAGGTGGATCTATAAGATTTTTAGGGCAGCAAAACCATTTTGTATGATACTATAATGGTGGGTACATGTCATTACACATTTATCAAAACCCATAGAATGCACAACACAAAGCATGAACCTTAATGTAAACTATGAACTTCAATTGAGAATGATGTGTCAATGTTGATTCATCATTTGTAACAAATATGCCACACTGGTGGGGAAAGTTAACAGTGGTGGCAAAATCATGTGTGTGTGTATTGTGTGAGGAAGGTGTCTATGTGGGAACTCTGTACTTTCTGTTCAACTTTGCTGTTAGCCTAAAACTTTTCTAAAAATTAAAGTCCATTAAGTAATGTGTGCATCAGTCATCATCAAAGTATTTTTTAGAGCTGACCAGGTTATGCTCACCTGGAGTCCCAGCTACTCTGGAGGCTGAGGCAAGAAGATCACTTGAAGCCAGGATTTCAAGGCTGTAGTGCACTAAGATCATGCCTGTGAATAGCCGCTGCACTCAAGCCCAGGCAATATTGCAAGACCTCATTCCCAAATTTTTTTTAAGTATTTTTAGGCTCAAGCAGGTGCAGGCACTTACAGGCAGAGCAAGCCCCATCTCAGCTGTCCACAGCACAAAATAGGGGTTACCCTAGAGCATTTCCTCGCAGTCCAAAGGGGACTTTCTTATTTATTTTTACCAGTTTGTAGGGGAAACATTTAGTTCCTAGGAGGCCCAGGGACAAAGTCAGCTGAACAGCTGTGAGCCAGCTTCCTGGGAAGCTTTCCAAAAGCATGGCAACATTCAGCCTTCTTGTTCCCAGGGGTGCCACCAACATCATGCTCTTGTAGTGGGTGCTAGACATAGGACACACCTGTGGTCACCAGCCTCTTGCCATTTTTCTTACTTGGTTTTTCCCCTGCTCTAGCCTATTGTGGACATTTTCCTGTTTCATTTTGTGTCTTTTATGTCCTTCCAGAGCACTTGACACACACAACATAGAAACATGCTGTCATATCCCCTTCCCAAGTCTCTCAAGGTCAGTGGTTCTCAGTCTCAGCTACACACTCAAATCTCCTGGGGAAGGCTGGTCACAGGGCTCATGCCTGGAATCCCAGCACTTTGAAAGGCTGAGATCGGAGGATCTCTTGAGCCTACGAGTTCAAGAACAGCCTGGGCAACATAACGAGACCCAGTCTCTACAAATAAAAAAATTAGATGGGCATGGTGGTGTGCCTGTAGTCCTAGCTACTCGAAGGCAGAGACAGCAGGATTGCTTGAGCCCAGGTGTTGAGGCTGCAGTGAGCCTTGATCACACTGCTGCTCTCCAGCCTGGACAACACAGCAAGAATCTGTCTCAAAAACATAAAAAATCTGGGGAGATTGAAAAAATTATAATATCTGCGACCCCCTCCTGAAATTCTGATTTAATTGATCTAGGCATGGGTAGTTTCTCAACCTTCCCAGATGATTCTAACACGCAGCTAAGGTTGCAAATTACTGATCTCAGAAAGTCACTGAGATTCACACCGGCTCCAGCCAGTAATATAAATGGACTTGTAAAAGAGACACTCTTCCTTGCTCTATCCCATCCCTAGAGTACACAGGAAGGTTCTAAGAAACATTCTTTTATCAATTTATTTTTTATTTTTATTTATTTATTTATTTGTTTGTTTGTTTGTTTGTTTGTTTGAGACAGAGTCTCACTCTCACCCAGGATAGAGTGCAGTGTCACAATCTCGGCTCACTGCAACCTCAGCCTCCTGGGTTCAAGCGATTCTCCTGCCTCAGCCTCCTGAGACTAGCTGGGATTACAGGCATGCACCAAGACACCTGGCAAATTTTTATATTTTCAGTAGAGATGGGGTTTCACCATGTTGGTCATGCTGGTCTTGAACTTCTGACCTCAAGTGATCCACCCCATCTTAGTCTCCCAAAGTGCTGGGATTACATGGGTGAGCCGCTGCACCTGGCCCTATCCATTTATTAACTAATTTTAATAGATATATATCGAACACCTACTAAGTATAAGCTAGGTGCTGAGAAAATACAGACACTTCCCTCGAAGTGTTGAGTAAAAAAGCACCATCAATGTAAATATCTCTAATACAAGGGACAAAGTTATAGGATCACCATTTATGGTTTTAGTTTGCACAGCACAAAAATCCTAAGTCACACTCCTTTTTACAAGCTCTGTCCTGACTCAGGGCTGTGTCAGCCAGAAAGAAGAGGAAGGCCTCTTTGTAATTTACCCTAAGGTGCCCCACAGGCTAGGCGGAACCCTGGCCTCATGCAGAATAATCTCAGCTAGGTACTAGCACCATGCCTAGAATATGGGAGGTACTCTATTTTTCCATGTTTATTGAGTAATTAAAAAGGGCTGCCCAGAAGTATTCAGAAGAGAGAATTAATTCTGTCCAGGAGGATTAGGACCAGAAGGGCTGAAGCAGTGACGCTGGAGCAGGACTTGGAGGAATGACGTGACCCTTGGAGAAACAGGGAACAAGCATTCCTGGCGGGTGGGATGACCCATGGAGTAGAGAGTGGATATCTGAGGCATTTATAGCCTTTGGAACATAGCAGGAAGGGACTCCATGAAGCAGGCAAAGTGAGTTGGGGATAAGCAGTGGAGGGCTTGCTGTGGAGTTGAGAATTTCACCAAATTGGGAGTAGTTGCAGGATTTCCAGCTAAGATGTTACACAAACAGATCTTAGCTTTGAGGTTATGCTGGTGGCCCTGCGGAGGAAGGACTCAGGAACGACTGGGGTAAGGCACAAGTAGCCACCCAAGACTCTAAGTAAGAGTTGGAAAGGTCCTTAGTGTCCATGAGAATCCCCAAGGGAACATTACAATTCGATTCCCAGGAGTTCTGAGTTATAGACTGTTTCTCTCTCAGCCCCATGTACACCATGCTCACATTCTGTGTCAAGCCTACCAAGGGCACCCTCAGGTTTTCTGGTTGGCTATCATTACTTTTGCAGTGGGTAGAGCAACAGCCTTTGTGTATATATCCTTAGAAAATCTAATGCGATCAACAGTCAAAGAAGAAATAAAGTTTTGAGAGAGCCTGGGCAACATAGGGAGACTCTGTCTCTACAAAAAATACAAAAATGAGCCGGGCATCGTGGCACATGCCTGTAATCCCAGCTACCCAGGAGGCTGAGGTAAGAGGATCACTTGAGCTTAAGAGTTTGAGGCTGCACTTAGGGTTAGCCATGATCACACCACTGCACTCCAGCCTGGCAACATAGCAAGACCTAATCTCCACTTAAAAAAAAAAAATTAGCCAGGCATGGTGGCTTTAAGAGGATATGACTTCTGAGACCCTCCAAAACTGTTTACAATTAATGGCAAAAGGGCCGGGTGTGGTGGCTCATGCCTGCAATCCCAGCACTTTGGGAGGCCAAGGTGGGCAGATTGCTTGGACCCAGGAGTTTGAGACCAGCCTGGGTAACATGGTGAAAATACATCTCTACAAAAATCACAAAAATTAGCCGGGCAAGGTGGTGCACACCTGTGGTCCCAGCTACTCGGGAGGCTGAGGTGGGAGGATACTTGAGCCCAGGACTTCAAGGCTGCAGTGAGCCGTGATCACACCACTGCACTCCAGCCTGGGTGACAGAGCAAGACCCTGTCTCAAAGGAAAAAAAAAAAAAAAAAGCAAAAGGAAATCAACAACAAAAGAAAACCTTAATCAGAGGGAGATCAAATGACTAATTGTCATTCCTTTCCTTCCAGAGAGCACTACGAACCTGTAACAAACATCCACAAACTAGACCATGAAAACCAGAGTGTAAATAAGCTTCCCCTACATTTTTTGGGTCTTCCTATATTTTGGAGACTCCAGGTAATTTTATTTAGCCTCAGAAGTGACAGTGCAAAGCTGGGCATGGTGGCTCACGCCTGTAATCCCAGCACTTTGGGAGGCCGAGGTGGGTGGATCACCTGAGGTCAGGAGTTCAAGACCAGCCTGGCCAACATGGTGAAACCCCATCTCTACTAAAAATACAAAAATTCGCCAGGCGTGGTGGCAAGCACCTGTAATCCCAGCTACTTGGGAGGCTGAGGCAGGAGAATGGCTTGAACCCAGGAGGCGGAGGTTGCAGTGAGCCGAGATTGAGCCATTGCACTCCAGCCTGGGCGACAAGAGCAAAACTCCGTCTCAAAAAGTAACTAAATAAACAAAAGTGGCAGTGCAATACCCAAAGTCCCCTGCAAGAAAGACTTTGGGTTCATTTCCTGAGATTTACATCTGAAATAAGTAGAAGTAAAGGATGATCGTATGCTCTTATTTCCACATGTTCTTTCATGAAGTCTGAATGCTTTTATTGAAATGTAAAATATTTTATAGCAGCTTGTATTCTGTCATTTAAACAAACAAAAATTCTCAGGTCACATCTGTATTGCTAAACCAGAATGTCTAGAAATAGGGCCAAGAAATGTGTATTTTAACAAGCTCCCAGCTGATTTTGATCTATTGACTCTCCGACTTCAGGCATCTACATAACCTTTGCCGTATTCACATTGCTTTTTTGCTATTACTCACTCAAGTTATTTTAGATTAATTAACTTTAACATTTTATTCATCCTAATCAATACCCATTAAATCATGGGTTTGATGCATCTTAAAAAATATACATCAAAAAACTATTTTAAAAATCCATTTGTGGACTGGATAAAATCAGCTCCTGTACCACCCCACTACTGCCTCCCAAAGCAGCAATTTTGGGCCCAAACCAATTAGAGCCAAACGTTGGTGCCAGTTCCCTCTTTTTTCACAACCCCTCTTGCAAGGCCTGGGGGTGTCTCACAGCCCTGTGGAAAGCCCCTTGCTGCCAAGAGGTTCCCTTCTCCCCCTCTTTTTCCCCTGCCTATATCCTTCTGTCCTCCCAACAAACCTGACTCTCGAGCTATACCTGACTTAGAATAGTGTCACTGAAGCATGTTAGTGAATGTTAACATAGAATTTGGTGATGGGTAGCAGGTTTAGCTTTTAATATGCAAAAGTGGTTTTCTAAGATTGGGACTCTTTTCCAAACAGACATCTTCATAGAGCCCTTTTCCTTTCTTTTTTAAATTTTTAATAAGATGGAGGCTCACTTTGTTGCCCAGGCTGGCCTTGAACTCCTGGGCTCAAGTGATCCTCCAGCCTTGGCCCCCTAAAGTGCTGGGATTACAGGTGTGAGCCACTGTGCCTGGCCTGTAGATTCCTTTTCATCCAGCACCTGGCCAGACCCCTTGCACATCTCTTCAGCCTTGCTTCTCTTCATCTCTCCTCACTCACTAGTTTTTTACTCATTGGAACACAACATCCTCTCTTTTAATACACAAGCTTCCTGCTGCCCCACAGCCTTTGCATTTGTTTTCCTTCCACTAGATTTTCATGTGGCTGCCACCTACACATTTTTCTTGGTTTCAACTTAAATGTCACCTCTTTCCTAGAAGCAGCCGCTGACCAACCAGCTAAAGCTACACCACTTCCTACCCCCCAACAAACACCCTCTACCTCAGTGGTTCTCAACTGTGCCCGCAGGGACATTGTCAGTTGTCACCACTGGAGGATGTGACTGGCATCTAGTGGGTGGAGGCCAGGGATGACGCCAAACACCTTACAATGCACAGGACAGCCCCCTACAACAGAGATTTCTGTCCCCAAATGCCATAGTTGAGAAGCCAGTCTCTATCACAAGATTCTTTCTCTTAGTAATAATCAGTATCAGAAGTGATAGGTTTTGTATTTCTTCCCTACTAAGCTCCTTAGAACCTGGAGTTCAGGGTTGTTTCCTGAAGAGCACCTGACACCTGTGTGACTTGCCACAAATTTGATCCACTTTGACTAGAGCTCACAGCAAGTTGAAGATGGCTGACCCAAACTAAATGATGAGCCAGAGAAAATATCGAGTCGGTTTTCAAATTTGTTCCATTGCTGTTTTGTTAAAACAAAGCTGTTTTGTTTTCAAGAGACAAACAAAAAAAAACTTTTATTAATGAGTATGCATATAAATAAACCTAGACAACCACGAAGAGTCCCTCACAGTTTCATGTATTCACAGAATTATTTCATCTTTAAAGCCATCAGTGAACAATTAGTTCTGCTACTTGTTAAAGTTGTGCAAAATTTCTCAATTTAAACATACAGTCTTAATTATACCACTGTTCTAATGTCCCAAGACTGATTGGAGGTAATGGAATCTCAACAATATCTTAAATAGTAATTTAAAAAATTCATTGCGATCTACAAGACTAATATATCTAAAGGAAAATAATTCATATTCACTAAATTCCTCCCCTTTCTTCCTTCTTACCTATTCTCCCTTTCACTTGACAATTTTTTTCTACAGTATATGATGATGGCCAAATTACCCAATATCAACTGTTTCAAAAAAGAAATGTTATTTTAAAAGATACCATACAGCAAGAGACTTATAGGTGTAACACCATTGAAATTATTTGCTAAGCCCTGGCCAGGCACGGTGGCTCACACCTGCAATTCCAATACTTTGGGAGGCTGAGCAGGCAGATCACTTGACATCAGGAGTTCAAGACCACCCTGGCCAATATGGTGGAACCCTGTCTCTACTAAAAATACAAAAATTAAGTGGACATGGTGGCTATCCCAGCTACTCAGGTGGCTGAGGCAGGAGAATTGCTTGAGCCCGAGAGGCAGAGGTTGCAGTGAGCCAAGATTCTGCCACTACACTCTAGCCTGGATGACAGAGCCAGACTCTGTCTCAAAAGAAAAAAAAAATTATTTACCAAGCTGTGTTTTCGTAGTGTTTTTTAATTCTCCAAACTGCTTCAGTATCTGTAGTGTTTTTTACATTTCAAAGACTTCTCACATGTAACATTTCATTGGAATTAGCACTGTACATCATAGTTGATATGGAAATTATTACATCTACAGATGAAGAAAATGTAGACGTAAAGAACCATTTGCTCTAATGTCATCCAGTGTAACTGCTAAGAGTTAGGATTAGACTCAAGTCCTATCCCTAATCCTGTATACTACCCTAAACTCCTAAGCCCCCATACATTGTACTGCACAGAATGCTACTAGTGACTGTACTCATGCATTCAAACAAGTTTTGGAAATGTGTTAAGCAAAGCTAACCAGATTCCTGGAGTATTACGCATCATAAATCCTCAGGAAGGATCCAGAGAATAGGGCAGTTGCCATAAAGTTAAAAGCCCCACAGGTGTCAGGCAGGTAACAAAGGTGAGCATGCAGGGAACATAAGGATTTGGGGATTAGAGGATGCAGCCCCATCTAGTGGGACCCTGGTCACATAGCAATCCAGTCCAATCTTGCCAGGTCTTTCCAGAGAAACTACAAATCTTGGCTTTAATTTCAAATCTCCAATTTTGTGCATGTTGCCTCAAATTTAAGAAAAAAAGACACTATAGCTTTTAAAAAATAAAATTTTTGACCAGATCGGGCTGGCCACATTTGGGAAAACTGAAATACCATGTATCACAATCTTATTTGCCCACAGAATTTTCCTTCAAAGGACCTATAAATTTCCTAGAATGATAACTGCGTTAAAAAATGTTGCCTCTGGCTGGGCGCGGTGGCTTATGCCTGTAATCCCAACACTTTGGGGAGGCCAAAGCGGGTGGCTCACCTGAGGTCAGGAGTTGGAGGCCAGCCTGGCCAATATGGTGAAACCCTGTCTCTACTAAAAATAAGCTGGGCGTTGTGGCGGGCATCTGTAATCCCAGCTACTCAGGAGGCTGAGGCAGGAGAATCACTTGAACCTGGGAGGTGGAGGTTGCAGTGAGCCAAGATTGTGCCATTGCATTTCAGCCTGGGTGACAAGAGCAAAACTCCATCTCAAAAAAACAAAAACAAAAACAAAAAGTTTCCTCTGAAAGCAAGCATCCTGTTGCCCCAGACAACTATGGTATGGGTAGCTCTGAACCTCAACCATGAATTATTTCAGAGTTTACTCAAACTGAAATTGAAATTAATACCCAGCCTTAACTGTTCATGTAGAAATGTTTCTTTTCTGACAAATCTAGCCCTTGCAAATCTATACTTAGTAGAGAACAGTGTTTCTCCATGTTGGTCAGGCTGGTCTCAAACTCCCGACCTCTAGTGATCCACTCACCTCAGCCTTCCAAAGCCCTGGGATTACAGGCATGAGCCACCATGCCCGGCCGGCAAATATATACTTCTAAACAATTATACTGGTTTAGTATAATTGTTTTTTATATATTTTTATACTGACTAAAGATATCCTTACAATAAGCCTAATTGAATTGTAAAAAAAAAAAAAAAAAAAATACAGGAATTGATTAGATATGAGAAAGACACTTTGCCTTTCCAAAACAATTTTATCTTTTTTTTTTTTCCTTAAATTTTTTTCTTAATAGAGATGGGGTATTGCCATGTTGCCCAGGCTGGTCTCAAACTTCTGGGCTCAAGCTACCTGCCCACCTTGGCTTCACAAAGTGCTGGGATTACAGGCATGAGCCACGGCGCTAGCCTCCTAAACAATTTTAAACATGAAAGTGGTTTGGAGGCGATTTAGAATTTGGGTCAAAACTAGTGAGTTTCAAACACTTATATCTGCAATGTAACTTATAAGGCAGAAAAGGCAGACTTTTCCCTACTCCCGCCTTTTTTTTTTCTTTTATTGCTGATCTTCTTGGTTCTAAAAATTTGTTCAGAAAGCCTGATGGTTGTTTAAATGCTTAGCACCATGACACACGTGTAATAAAAATTGCATAAATGGACCAGGCACGGTGGCTCATGCCTGTAATCCCAGCACTTTGGAAGGCCAAGGAGGCTGGATCCTCTGAGGTCAGGAGTTCGAGATCATTCTGGCCAACATGATGAAACCCTGTCTCTACTAAAAAAATACAAAAAATTAGCTGAGCATAGTGGCGGACACCTGTAATCCCAGCTACTCGTGAGGCTGAGGCGGGAGAATTGCTTGAACCCGGAAGGTGGAGGTTACAGTGAGCCGAGATTTCACCATCGCACTCCAGCCTGGGCAACAAGAGCAAAGCTCCATCTCAAAAAAAAAAAAAAAAATTGCATAAATATGTTAAATCACCTGGCAAATGATTTTCTTCCCCTGGTGTCTATGTGTTCCATACTATTGTAGGCTCTTTAACTGGTAAAACAGCTACCCCAATTCAGAGATCCAGTACTTAATGCATCACATTTCCAGAGTTATGAGAAAACAGCTAAACCTGTGAGTTAGACTCACTTTGTTTCCCCACGGAGGAAATAAAAACCCACGATTTGAAACCTTTGGAAAACATAGGAAATGCAACATTTGGAAGTATAACATAGAAACAAGAGATAATCATACAATGCTTCCAAATGAAGTCTCACGTTGGATTTGCTGGTTTTTAAGACAGATTCCCCTCTTCTGGACAGCTGTGATGGCCAAGATAGAAGTTCATTTGCTATGTTTCCAGGGACTATTCTCTTTGATGTATACAGGATTTATGGGGTCTAAAAAGAACATACAATTATAAAGTGTTCATATTTGAGAGAAAACTGCAATGATCAGAAGGATTGAGCCAGTTTTAGCATAAAAAATTAGGACTACATTAATGATGAGGTTGACTATACACAGTTTGGAGTGAGAGAGTTACTCTACCCAGTATCACTGACATGTTGGAATGCCAGATGAAACTGAAACAGAAAAATTGTCTTGGGGTCTAAAAGACGTCTGATGTGCTGATGTCTGTTCAGTCTTCTGCACTCATGGGCGTAAACTCTCAAAGAGCACCACTGGGTCTTAGTCCGTGGCATAAAGACTATTCTCAATGTAGATATTGTCTTCTGCTTGGACTTCCTTTTCAACTGCATTTTGCAAAGCTTTAATTTGAAGGCTGCTAAATGAAACACTGTAGAAAGAGTTGTTGAAGAATAACATGAGTAAGAAAAAAAGCAGACCACTTCTCACATATAAGCTGCACTTTTGTTTATGATCAGGCAATATCAGGTATTCGAGACTCCAGGAGCCCCGTTCACACAAAGTATAAAATAAATAGTGCCTTCCAGAGTTGTAAAAGGTGTGGCTCTTATTATTAAGTTGAAGAAAAGTCTGTTTAATAAGCATGTAGACAATCTAAGAAGTATTCAAAAACTCAGACTGGTCTCTTTGAAACTCGCATAATAGAATACAAAAATGGAAAATCTAAAAATACAGAGCTCTGACATCAAACTAAGTGGCTGAATCAAGATGCATATTTTCAAATGTGGCTAAGCATTGGATGACTGGTGCTTTTCCAACTGTAGCTTGTGATCCTTTAGAGAGGGTTGTTAAATCTACTTAGCCATCTACATCCTATATTCAAGATAAAAACAGAACAGAGAAACATTGAATATAGTTAAATAGTACTGTTTCACAAGTATACACTGGATCATAGTGTTAAAAATCTTCCTGTGCTGGATGCAGTAGCTCATGCCTCTAATCCCAGCATTTTGGGAGGCCATGGCAGGAGGATCCCTTGAGGCCAGCGTGAGCAACATAGCGAGACCCCGTCTCTACAGATTTTTTTTTTAATTAGCCAGGTGTGGTGGCTTGTGCCCATAATCCTGGCTACTTGGGAGGCTGAGACAGAAGAATCACTTGAACCCAGGAGGTAGAGGTTGCAGTGAGCCGAGATCACACCACTGCACTCCAGCCTGGGCTGGAGACTCTGTCTCAAAAAAAGAAATCAGTAGAAACAGTGGAAATACAAGTGAGGGAAGAAAGTAGACTTAGTTTTAACTTACGTGTAGCATTTTGATGTAACTGGTTATTTTTATATATTTGTATATAGTGACTATTTGTTACCAAAGCCTGCCCCCAAAATATGGAACTTGTCTTCATTCAGCTGCAGATGAAACACATGTCCACACATTTAAAGAACTGTGAAAAACAAAGCTCCACTATGGTCCCTAAACAGGTCAGTCATACATGTGTGAAGACACTTAGTTTAAGTGTCAATGAGCTCAAATGACTCAGTGTGATATAACTGCCGAGAAGATAATGTCATGAAGAAGTGTTCATAATTTGTTAGTGTGGGTTTTTTTTTTTTTGGCTTTTTTTATACTTTACACATTTCTCTTCCATTCCAGAAATATTTATGAGCACAGATTCGTGAGATTGAGTCCTTTATATGCTATGTGATGTGACCTTACATGTCACTCAACATTTCTGAAACTGTTTTCCAATCTGTAAAATGAGAATAGTGCCTCTCTCGCAGTTTATTGCTGTGAAGGGCTTGAATGCAATAACAAAAGTCGATGTGTATTGAGCACTTACAGTATGCTGGGCACTGTTCAGACAGGTTCTGTGGATTGGCTCAGGTAATTAACTCAGACTCAGGAAAGTCTGTGTACAAGCATCCAATGAAGGAGAACTAGACTTAATAGATGGCAGCCTAAGTAAGAGGGATAGATTCTGAATCAGAGAAAGTCCTTGCTTAAAACTCAGCCTGAACCAAATGAAGCAGGCTGGCTGGCTTTAGAACTAGGTAGTTGTCTCCTACCACTACAGGCAGTGTGGCAGATGGCCTTGGGGCATAGATGCAGTAAAGGGGATTTAAATTGTACCTGGGGCCAGGTGCGGTCCCTCACGCCTATAATCCCAGCACTTTGGGAGGCCAAGGTAGGCGGATCACCTGAGGTGAGGAGTTTGAGACCAGCCTAACATGGCAGAACCCCGTCTCTATTAAAAATACAAAAATTAGCCAGGCATGGTGGCAGGTGCCTGTGATCCCAGCTACTCAGCAGGCTGAGGCTGGAGAATTGCTTGAATCCAGGAGGTGGAGGTTGCAGATCACACCATTGCATTCCAGCCTGGGTGTCTCAAAAAAAAAAAAAAAAAAAAAAGTAACTAGGCAGCAGGGTAGACTGAAAGGTCTTTAAAGGCAAATTCAAGTGCCTGCAAGGCTAGACAGCTAATATAGATCAGTGGAGCAGGCTGGGTAGGGAGCAGCAGGGAATGATGGAAGCTGTGGAAAACTGGAGGCACTTGCCCTACCTCAGTGCCTTTGCACTCCCTGCCCCTGCAGCCAGGAATTATCTTCCTCCAAATTAGCTGCTTTCTTGGCACTCAATCAAACAGATCCTTATCCTGTTCTATAGTCCCCATGGTGTTTATCTGTAAGCATGTAAAAGAACCATGCTTATTTGCTTACATGGTTTTTGTCTGTTATATTCATCTCTTTGGAATATAATAGCCAATAACACTCAGTAAGACAAAGCATCGAATATGGTGAAACCCTGTCTCTACTAAAAGTATGAAAAAATGGCCGGGCGCGGTGGCTCATGTCTGTAATTCCAGCACTTTGGGAGGCCGAGGCAGGCAGATCACCGGAGGTCAGGAGTTTGAAACCAGCCTAACCAACATGGAGAAACCCCGTCTCTACTAAAAATACAAAATTAGCTGGGTATGGTGGCACATGTCTGTAATCCCAGCTACTGGGGAGGCTGAGGCAGGAGAATCGCTTGAACCCAGGAGGTGGAGGTTGTGGTGAGCCGAGAAGGTGCCATTGCACTCCAGCCAGGGCAGCAAGAGTGAAATTCAGTCTCAAAAAAGACAAAGCGTTAAACGAAATAAAAGAACAAACTAAAGCAAATCATTCAATGTTTACTTCCATCGAGCAAATCTTGCAATTTAGTTATCTTGCCCTATGGGGTTTGCTTAGGATTGAGGTGCTCCCTCTGTACCAGCTCTGCCACAACTCCAGGGAAATACACAAAGCTACAAATATCACTGGAAGGTGTAAATAATAGAATTGCTCATTAAAGTGGACTGTCAGGATCCAAGGTATGCGATGGAGAGTTTAGGAGAGAGACAGAAATCTATTTTTATTTTACCAGAGTAGGAACCTCAAAAGTATTGATAGAAATATTTTCGAGCTTACCTTAGTTGTTGAACCTCCTTTTTGAAGAAATACTCTAAATTGAAGGGGTGGGGAGAGAGGAGTTGAAGAGAAAACTAAACATCTCAGCAAGAGTTTTAATCTTTTTTTCAATCAAGTGTATTATTTCTGTTATTACTTAGATTTTTCCCTGGTACCTTGAGGTGTCTCCTTCCCATGTCCCTTTTGATTCTGCAGGACCCAAACAAGCCATTTACTGTCCAGTATCTCAATTTCATTAATGGTTTGGTGTATTCATCCACATATCCTCCCTAACTTTAATGCAATTCTTAAATTATCTTTCATTTTTTTAAAAAAAATGAGTAAGTCCAAGATCCTTCTGATAGGCTACTGAACAACAGGCGTCAACCAAGATTTGTTTTAGATGAACTGGGTCATAAAGATACTTTAAGAGTCACCTCTATCAAAGGATACTTTTGCAAGAGTTTGTACTACCAGTCATCTCTCTCCTAAACAAGGAAATAATGAGTTATTTTTGCTTAAGGAGTAAAGTATATTTTGAGGTTGTTAGGGCTCAGAATACAATACCCTCAAATAGGCTTCTTTGGAATTCAAAGTGAGAGCACCTGGGGAGGAGCATATTTAGGAAAGGGCTTTCTCTGAAGCTCCCCTATCTAGCTAAAGGCCAGATCCTCCAGAAGATATTCTGTTGTTGTCAATCCTTTCCCCAGATATCTCGATATCTCATCAATGGCAGGGCGGGGGCGGGGGCGGGTGGGGGTGGTGGGGGAACTGATGCACATCACAGGAAGGAGACTAGAGCTGACAACACATCCAGAGTCCAGAGGAATTTGTCCTGCCCTACAGTCTGTTCTTTGGGCCCATTCATCTCCCCTAAAAATCATTTACTCTTCCTCTAAAATTGTCTACATCCATCACTTTTCTCTCCCCTAAGAAAAGGGTATTTAAGGCCAGGTGCAGTGGCTCATGCCTGCAATCCCAACACTTTGGGAGGCAGAGGCAGGCGGTCAGGAGTTCAAGACCAGCCTGACCAACATGGTGAAAACCCCATCTCTACTAAAAACACGAAAATCATTCGGGTGTGGTGGCACGAGCCTGTAATCCCAGCTACTCAGGAGGCTGAGGCAGGAGAATTGCTTGAACCTGGGAGGCAGAGGTTGCAGTGAGCTTTAAGGGGGCCAGCCCCTCCACACCTGTGGGTATTTCTCATCAGGTGGGACAAGAGACTGAGAAAAGAAATAAGACACAGAGACAAAGTATAGAGAAAGAGCAGTGGGCCCAAGGGACCGGCGCTCAGCATACGGAGGACCCACGCCGGCACTTGTCTCTGAGTTCCCTCAGTATTTATTGATCTCTATCTCTACTGTCTCAGTGAGGGGGATGTGGCAGGACTATAGGGTAATGGTGGGGAGAGGGTCAGCAGGAAAACATGTGAGCAAAGGTCTCTGTGTCATAAATAAGTTTAAGGAAAGGTGCTGTGCCTCGATGTGCACGTAGGCCAGGTTTATGTTTGACTTTACACAAACATCTCAGTGCAGTAAAGAGCAGTATTGCTGCCAGCATGTCCCACCTCCAGCCATAAGGCAGTTTTCTTCTATCTCAGTAAATAGAATGTATGATCGGGTTTTACACCGAGACATTCCATTCCCAGGGACAAGCAGGAGACAGATGCCTTCCTCTTATCTCAACTGCAAAGAGGCCTTCCTCTTTCACTAATCCTCAGCACAGACCCTTTACGGGTGTCGGGCTCGGGGAGGGTCAGGTCTTTCCCTTCCCACAAGGCCATATCTCGGGCTGTCTCAGTGGGGAGAAACCTTGGACAATACCTAGGCTTTCTTGGGCAGAGGTCCCTGAGGCCTTCCGCAGTGCATTTTGTCCCTGGGTACTCGAGACTGGAGAATGGCGATGACTTTTACCAAGCATACTGCCTGCAAACACATTTTTAACAAAGCACCTCCTGCACAGCCCTAATCCATTAAACCTTGAGTCAACACAGCACATGTTTCTGCGAGCACAGGGTTGGGGTTAGGGTTACAGATTAACAGCATCTCAAGGCAGAAGAATTTTTCTTAGTACAGAACAAACTGGAGTTCCTTATGTCTTCTTCTTTCTACATAGACACAGTAACAGTCTGATCTCTCTTTCTTTTCCCCCACAGAGCTGAGATCACACCACTGCATTCCAGTCTGAGTGACAGAGCAAGAGACTCTGTCTCCAAAAAAAAAGAAAGAAAAGGGTATTTAAGCTCCAGTCATCTGGCCCTTTCTTCCATCTCATATTTTGTGTGGCTTCTGTACACATAATAAATATGTATTCATTTTCTCCTGTTAATCTCCTAATAATCTATTTTTTTTTTGGCGTACTCAAGTATCAAAATTTCAGAGGGAAAGTTTGAACTTCCCTGCAAGGTATTTTACCCAATTTCTAAATAACTTTGACTAAGCAAGCTCCAAAATAATTATATAAAAACTTCCTCAAATTTGCCAAACATACTCTTAATTTTCTGATTCTCCTCTGCCTAGACCCATGAACTAAATCAGTCATGGCTTCAAATACCACATCTTGCAAAATAGCTAACTAGGGTTCTTTTATGGGAGGCAGGTTATACTGAGACAAACACACACACACACAGTTAGCAGAAGGGAGACATGAAGCCTGGGGTGGTTGCTTTTTGAAGACTTTTGTTTTACTTTTTTAGTCTGTGTCTTGCTATCAGTTTCCCCTCCCAGTGTCTCATGTGCCTCTTCTGCTAAATGAGTGTTGCAAAATTTTAACAATATCACCCCCACAGGGAAAAAAATTAGATCTTGTAGGGTGGAGAAAATAAATCTTATATATCACAATGGTGTGTTGACTTCCAGATCGCAACACTACCCAACAAACTCCTATTTCTTGATACAGTTGGCCCTCGATGTCCACAGGTTTGGCATCCTCAGTTTCAACCACTCGCAAATTGAAAATTAAAAAAAAAATAAAAATAATACACAACAATAATAATACAGATAAAAACAATACAATATAACAACTATTTACATGGCATTTACGTTGTATATTAGGTGTTCTAAGTAATCTAGGGAAGATTTAAAGTATACTGGAGGAAGTGAGTAGGCTATGTGCAAATACTACACCATTTTATAAGGGACTTGAGCATCTGCAGATTTTGGAATCAAGGGGCTCTGGAACCAATCCCCCAAGGGTACTGAGGAACACCTGTATTTAGTTTTTCTTGGCCTGGCATTGTGGCTCATGCCTGTAATCCTAGAACTTTGGGAGGCCGAGGCAGGTGGATCACCTGAGGTTAGGAGTTTGAGACCAGCCTAGCCAACATGGCAAAACCCCGTCTCTACTAAAAATACAAAAATTCGGCCGGGCGTGGTGGCTCATGCCTGTAATCCCAGCACTTTGGGAGGCCAAGGCAGGCGGATCACAAGGTCAGGAGATCGAGACCATCCTGACTAACACGGTGAAACCCCATCTCTACTAAAAAATACAAAAAATTAGCCGGGCGTGGTGGCGGGCGCCTGTAGTCCCAGCTACTCAGGAGGCTGAGGCAGGAGAATGGCTTGAACTCAGGAGGTGGAGGTTGCAGTGAGCCACGATCGTGCCATTGCACTCCAGCCTGTGAGACAAGAGAGAAACTCTGTCTCAAAAAAATTCTTATAGAATTAAATTTTTTCCATAGGGGAATAATAATTGAAAAATAACAAGTTTAAAAAATAGTGGTTTTAAGTGAAAACTCCACTAGAATGTAACTTCCATGAGATTTATAGAGATTTATGGCAAAAGGATCTTTCTAACTACAATTACAGTTTAAGATTGCTGTGCACTTGTCATGTGCCAGGAACCATTCTCAGTGCTTTTTCTTTTTGTTCTTTTCCTTTTATTTTAGAGACAATGTCTCACTATGTTGCCCAGGCTGGTTTTGAACTCCTGGGCTCAAGCAATCCTCCTGCCTCAGCCTCCCAAAGTGCTGGGATTACAGACATGAGCCACTGCTCCTGGCTGGTGCTTTTTTTAATGGTTTTTTTGTTTGTTTGTTTTGTTTTGCTTTTTTGTTTTGTTTTTGTTTTTTTTTAAGAAATGGGGTCCCACCATGTTGTTCAGGCTAGTCTTGAACTCCTGGGCTCAAGCAATCCTCCTGCCTCACTCAGCCTCCCAAGTAGCTAGGATTACAGGCATAAGACCCCACACCCAGCTCCCATTCTTAGTGCTTTGTAGGTACCAATGCATTTAAACTTCATTTCCCTTCCCCCTTGAGGTAGATGGTATTACCATGTGACTTTTACAAATGAGGATTTGGGGAGACAAAGGGAAGTCGTGTGAAATCAAAATCATGTGACTTATGAAACTAGTGAACCCAGGCAATTTTGCTGTACATCCCTTGTCCCTTAGGAACAATCTCGAAATGACTTACTTTTGGCAATGATGACACCCAAAAGAGCAAGAAGCACCAAGACAGAAATACAGACTCCAGCATAGATTCCTTTAGTGGTATTGGCCGTCAGTAGACTATGTTCTAGGAACAGTTGCTGAGGAAACAACAACAGATCAAAAAAGCATCTTGTTAGAAAGTTATGAAGAGAAAACATTTCCCAGAATCACTTACCCAGCCACATTTACCTGTATTGGTGCTTGGGGACTTCTGGAACATAAGGGTAAGACCAAATGATCTCAGTTTATAACCATACGGTGAAAATCTAGGACAACTTGAAACGCAAAACATATTTTACAATGATGGAGGTGTTTTCTAGCTTGCTTGAGGTTGTATTTACATAGGTGTACACATTTGTCAAAACTAAAACTGTATGCTTAAAATGGGTTTGTATGTAAATTTTTTAATTTACTGTTTTAAAAGTCAATAGGCTATTTCCACAAATACATCCTCTTGTGATATTAAAAAAGAAAAAATGTCAGGCATGGTAGCTCACATCTCTAATCCCAGCACTTTGGGAGCCCAGGCATCCTGAGGTCAGGTGTTCGAGACCAGCCTGGGCAACATGGTGAAACCCCATCTCTACTAAAAATACAAAAATCAGCTGGGTGTGGTGCTGCACGCCTGTAATCCCAGCTACTTGGGAGGCGGAGGCAAAAAATTGCTTGAACCCGGGAGGTTGCAGTGAGCCAAGATTTCGCCATTGCACTCCAGCCTGGGCAACAGAGTGAGACTCCATCTCGAAAAAAAGAAAAAAAGAAAAAAAAATTGTTTATATAAATTGACTTGATGTGATGTTATCTTAATGTGCTCAGTTATTGAATTTTGTCCTTGGTTACAGTCCTTACTTGTCTTTTTACCTGTAATAGAAGATTCTGTCTCTATCTAAATAAATAGATTTGAGAGTAGCTGCACACAGACATGGCCATGATTAACAATTCAACGCTATGCAATCATGAAGAAATGTAAAATTGTTTAAGTCTTCTGGTGCCTATCACAAGAGATCATCACCTCCTGGAATAGGCCTGAAATGTGCCTGGCTTCCTGCTGGTCCCCATTTCATGGCTTAGTTCTAATCCTAAAGAGAGCCCACCGGGAAGGTATTTTAATAGAAGGAAGGGGGAGAATCTGAGTGAAGGACAAATCTTCTCATTTGTAAAATCTTAATCCCTGGAGTCAGAATCCCAGGTCTTCTACTTAGTCACTATGTGACCATGGACAAGCTATTTAGCCTCTCTGAATCTATTTCTATGTCTAGCAATAGACATAGACAGTAGATTCAATAGGGTTCTTTGCAAGGGTACTTTCAGGTCCTTCCTGATAAACACTATGAATATAGTGGAGTAACAGCATTTGAGCCATGCTTGCTTAGAAGCGGCATAGCCAGTGTCTGGGAGTGCAAAACTATGTTGTTATTACTTTACCTACAGGGTGGGAGGGAAGTGTAATGTGGGTAGATGGAGAATGGGGTTTCAGGAGGCAGGCTTTGCTTTCATTTTTTAATTACAACACACAAATACTGCATGCTCATTTTAGAATGTGCAGCTAAGCATAAAAAAGGAAAACTAAAAAAACCACAACCAGGTCACGGACAGTGGCTCACACCCATAATCCTAGCACTTTGGGAGGCTAAGGCAGGAGGATAGCCTGAGCCCAGGAGTTTGAGACCAGTTTGGTGAGACCCTGTCTCCAGAAAAAAATAAAACTGGCCAGGCGTGGTGATGCATGCCTGTGGTCCCAGCTACTTGGGAGGCTTGGGGTGGGAGGATCACTTGAGCCTGGGAGGATGAGTCTGCAGTGAGCTGTGATCGTGCCACTGCACTCCAGCCTGAGCAATGGAGTGAGACTCTGTCTCGAATAAATAAATAAACCATAACTTTAACATCCAGAAATGAGCACTTTTGCCATTTTGCTTTATATACTTTTATAGAATTTTATCCTTCTAGGATTTTTTCTTAACAGAAATAATTACTATATTCTATATGAACTATAGTATATCCTAATTGTATACTATTTTAAAAGTAGCTTCTTTCACTTAATAATGTGTTATAACCAACATATTATAACATTCTATAACCTATGTCAGTAAATGCACTGCAATGACTACATTCTTATGCTCTGTTGCCCAGGCTGGAGTACAGTGGTGCAATCTCGGCTCACTGCAATCTCCACCTCCTGGGTTGAAGCGATTCTCCTGCCTCAGCCTCCCAAGTAGCTGGGATTACAGGCACCCGCCACCACACCCAGCTAATTTTTCTATTTTTAGTACAGAGGAGGTTTCATCATATTGGTCAGGCTGGTCTCAAACTCCTGACCTCAGGTGATCCACCTGCCTCAGCCTCCCAAAGTGCTGGAATTACAGGCGTGAGCCAGCGTGCCCTGCCAATGACTACATTCTTTACGGCAATACGTGCACATGCTTAACTAAGTAATCCCTTACTATTAAACATTTAGGTTGTTTATAATATTTTCATGATTATAAGTGTTAACAATGAACATCCTTCTCATACATTTTTATTTATTAGTTCAATTTTTTCCTTAAGATAGAGCCCAGGAAAGTGACCTACTGGGTCAAAATGTATTCTGCATGTTTTCAAGATACCTGGGAGAAGACATCTTGACATCTTCAGTCAAGGCACAGAAAGCCCAAGTTTCTGCTACTGCCAACCTTGAACCGGCCTCTAAATTGTTTTCCCTTACTTCTAAACATACCTATTCTGTAGGTAACTGAGACCAAGAATAACCTCACCGGCCAGGCGCGGTAGCTCACGTCTGTGGAATCCCAGCACTTTGGAAGGCCAAGGCGGGTGGATCACCTGAGGTCGGGAGTTGGAGACCAGCCTGACCAACATGGAAAAACCCTGTCTCTACTAAAAACACAAAATTAGCCAGGCCTGGTGGCAGGTGCCTGTAATCCCAGCTACTCGGGAGGCTGAGGCAGGAGAATTGCTTGAACCTGGGAGGCGGAGGTTGCAGTGAGCCAAGATCGCGCCATTGCCCTCCAGCCTGGGTAACAAGAGTGAAACTCTGTCTCAAAAAAAAAAAAAGAAAAGAAAAGAATAACCTCACTATCCTGAGGAGTATTTTTTAAATCCAGCACAAATCTAGCCACACGTCAACACATTGAACATATACATGGTGGTAGTTCTGATATTTAGCCAGTATGTCAGATCAATCAGTGCATGCCATACAAGTTGCTAAATGTTTAAATGTTACGCCATGTAATGGCATTCACAATGTCACTAAGGTATTTGGCTCTACACTAAATAGCCCCACTTTGATCATTTTGAATTTTTTATACAATGGCCACGTTGTCATTTCTTACAACTGGCTATCAGAAGGATTATTCTCGGGCCAGCTGCGGTGGCTCATGCCTGTAATCCCAGCACTTGTGGGAGGCCAAGGCAGGCAGATCACCTGAGGTCAGGAGTTCCAGACCAGCATGGCCAACGTGGTGAAATTCCATCTCTACTAAAAACACAAAAACTAGCCAGGCATGGTGGTGGGCGCCTATAATCCCAGCTACTGGGGAGGCTGAGGCACAAGAATCACTTGAACCCGGAAGGTGGAGGTTGCAGTGAGCTGAGATTGTGAAACTGTACTCCAGCCTGGGCGATGAAAGTAAAACCCTGTCTCAAAAATAAATAAATAAATAAATAATAAAAAATAAAAACCTCAGAAGGATTATTCTCATAACCTCAGACTTTTTTTGTTTGTTACTTCAAAAAGTTACTTGCACATACTAAAAGGCAGATTGTTTCTTACAGGAGCCAAAAGAAAAGATCTTATTAGTAAATCTATCTAACTTACATGGAGGTAGAAGACTTTGATGAGCATCATAAGACTAAGTCCCTTAAATTTTTCCCAAGTTCACTGAGAAAAAAAGTATGGAAACATTTTACAGAATCAAAGTTATTATCTAGGACTTTGTTATCTTAAAAAATCATCCTGGGCCGGGTACGGTGGCTCACGCCTGTAATTCCAGCACTTTGGGAGGCCAAGGCGGGAGGATCACTTGAGATCAGAAGTTCAAGACCAGCCTGGTAAACATGATGAAACCTCATCTCTACTAAAAACACAAAAATTATCCAGGTATGGTGGTATGCACCTGTAATCCTAGCTACTTGGAAGGCTGAGGCAGGGGAATCACTTGAACCCAAGAAGAGGAGGTTGCAGTGAGCTGGGATCCCGCCAGTGCACTCCAGCCTGGGTGACAGAACAAGACTGTCTCAAAAAATAAAAAAAAGAAAGAAAGAATAAAAAGTCATCCCATGGGGAGGTTTATGTATAGAAAAACATCAATAGACATTTTAAAATTTCTACATAAAATGGTCATTAGGTAGGGAAAATATATTAGGAAAATAAACATATTATGTTCCTTTCACTTACATTTTACTTTTGTTTGGGGCAGCCTCTACTCCACCCCATCAAAGCATGCTGTTTCCCTATTGATAATTGAATTCCTCCTTGGTGTGTTATCTTAACTTGTTCTCCTTAAATTAGCTCATTCGGGCCCGGGCGCGGTGGCTCACGCCTGTAATCCCAGCACTTTGGGAGGCCGAGGCGGGTAGATTGCCTGAGGTCAGGAGTTTGAGACTAGCCTGGCCAACATGGTGAAACCCCACCTCTACTAAAAATACAAAAATTAGCCAGGCGTGGTGGCGTGCGCCTGTAGTCCCAACTACTCTGGAGGCCGAGGCAGGAGAATTGCTTGAACCCAGGAGGCGGAGGTTGCAGTGAGCTGAGATCGCATCACTACACTCCAGCCTAGGAGACAGAGTGATGTTCTGTCTCAAAAAATTAGCTCATTCTTTCTTCCCCTATTTTCTCCCAACAGAAAGTCTGTGTACTATGTATCTAAGTACGCTATTCAGTAACATAATCTCTTTGGGCATCTCTGACAAACTGGGTCACCTAAATGAACTTTCCAAATTAAAGCATCCCGAGGCGGGCGGATCATGAGGTCAGGAGATCGAGACTATCCTGGCTAACACGGTGAAACCCCGTCTCTACTAAAAATACAAAAAATTAGCCGGGCATGGTGGCGGGCGCCTGTAGTCCCAGCTATTCGGGAGGCTGAGGCAGGAGAATGGCCTGAACCCGGGAAGCGGAGCTTACAGTGAGCAGAGATTGCACCACTGCACTCCAGCCTGGGCAACAGAGCAAGACTCCGTCTCAAAAAAAAAAAAAAAAAAAATTAAAGCATCCTATTTAAGAGTGAAATTATTTTCTTCAACTTTTTTTTAAGAAGAAAAAAAAAATTCTGTGGGCTAGTCTTACAGACATAGTCTTTAAATGTAACTTGCTTCCAAGGAGATATACAAGTGAATCTGGCTAATCAAATAGGGCGGAATATGCTTACAGTTTGATTGTTATTCCAAAGGCCATCTGAAGACTCTGTCACGGTGTCATTCCCATCTACTCAACAAGAAGGAAATTTAATTAGAATTACAAAAAATATTGAATTTTCACTGCAGACACTAAATATATTCACATTACCTTCTGGCGATGAAAAGTTGAATGATAATATGACCAAATTCTGCAGGCACTGCAAGAGTCATACCAAGTTATTAATGTTATATTAATTTCTCCTGTAAAGTTGTATTTCTTAACCTTTCTGTCACCGGCTCTTTGAAAATGGACTCTTGTTTTTTCTTTATTAAAAAAATAATGCATGTGCACACACATGAATTTTATCTACTATTTTAGGGTCATCACAGAAGCCCATTCATGGAACCAGGTTAAGAATGCCATTTAAAGGCAATCAATACTTTTATGCTATCTAAACAGCTGTAAATGAATGGTCAGAGGCATGTACATCCAAAAACCAGAACCACCCTTTTCAGAATGGACATCATATTGGTTTTATATTCAGAAGGAGTAAAATATGCTGTAATATCAAAAACAGGTGGCATATAACTCCTGTGTTGTTGCCGATGTGCTTACATTTTGATCTAGAAGTGCTTTAGAAAATATGGCAGCCACCAGATCAAGCATATTATGCCATATAAGGATTAAGATTTTATGTAATATATAAGATACATTTCTCTTAGAGTTGAACATTTAAAAATTTCAACATGTTTTAAAATATCTGCTTTGTAATAGACAGTATATTCTCAGCCAGGCATGGGTGGCTCATGCCTATAAACCCAAGCACTTTGGGAGTCCAAGGCAGGCGGATCACTTGAGGTCAGGAGTTCAAGACCAGCCTGGCCAACATAGTGAAATCCCATCTCTAACAAAAAATACAAAAAATTAGCTGGGCATGGTGGCACATGCCTGTAGACTTAGCTACTCGGATGGCTGAGGTAGGAGAATCCCTGAACCTTGGAGGCAGAGGTTTCGGTGAGCTGTGATGGCACCACTGCACTCCAGGCTGGGCAACAGAGTGAGACCCTGTCCCCAAAAAAGAGTATATTCTGTTGGCCTTCCTAGACAACTATAGGTCAAATACAGAACTGACTTTTTACTGAGCATCTACCATGTAGTGAACACTTTACCTTCTAACAACCAGTTAGTTCCTTAATCCCATTTTTATGGATAAAGAAATACACAGGAAATGGTTAAACGATGATTTCTAATTAAGTGACAAGAGCCTCTGCTGATAACCTACACAACACATTGCACTTCTATCAAATGGAAATACTTAGGTCTATGAAATTCTGTAACTGGTGACAATGCTATAGGGCTCAACATGAATAAACTTGGACTAATATCTCCCCAACATTTACATTACTGTGTTTACATTTTACTGCTTCTGAGGCTTCCTAGAAAGCCAAAGGCAAGGCCAGGCACAGTGGCTCATGCCTGTAATCCCAGCACTTAGGGAGGCTGAGGCAGGCAGATCCCTTGAAGTCAGGAGTTCAAGATCAGCCTGGCCAATGTGGTGAAACCCCATCTCTACTAAAAATATAAAAAATTAGCCAGCGTGATGCTGCACATCTGTAATTCCAGCTACTTGGGAGGCTGAGACACAAGAATTGCTTGAACTCAGGGGGTGGAGATTACAGTGAGCCAAGATTGTGCCACTGCACTCCAGCCTGGGCAACAGAGTGAGACTGAGAAAGAAGGAAGGAAAGGGAAGGGAAGGGAGAAAGAAAGGACGAAGGAAGGAAGGAAGGAAGGAAGGAAGGAAGGAAGGAAGGAAGGAAGGAAGGAGAAAGAAAGAAAGAAAGAAAGAAAGAAAGAAAGAAAGAAAGAAAGAAAGGAAGGAAGGAAGGAAGGAAGGAAGGAAGGAAGGAAGGAGGAAGGAAGGAAAGAAAGAAAGGAAAGAAGAAAGGAGGAAGGAAGGAAGGAGAGAGAAAGAAAGACAAAGAAAGAAGGAAAGAAAGAAAGAAAGAAAGAAAGAAAGAGAAAGAAAGAAAGAAAGAAAGAAAGAAAGAAAGAAAGAAAGAAAGAAAGAAAGAAAGAAAGGAGGGAGGGAGGAAGGAAGGAAGGAAGGAGAAAAGAAAGCCAAAAGCAATATGTAGGTTTATGCAATATATAGAATCTCAGCCCTGTTTGTGACAGGTATTATGACCTTAAGTAACAGTTTCAGGAAGAGGATGGGGTGATGCAGAAAAACAGCACGGACCGGAGTCAATAAAATTTCAGTTCAATGCTGACAATGTCTGTTAGCAATGTAACTTTGATACTCAAGGTCCTTTTCATACACACAGTTATGTATGTATGTATAGGTATATAAAGGGGTGTGTGTTTATGTGTGTATGTGTGTGTGTGTATACAGTAGTGCCCCCTTATCCACAGGGGATATGTTCCAAGACCCTCAAGTAGATGCATGAAACCAAGGATAGTACCAAACCCTATAGAGACCATGTTTTTCCTAGATATACATACCTATGATAAAAGTTCAATTTACAAATTAGGCACAGAACGATATTAACAGCAATAAATAATATAATAGAAAAATTATAGAAATAAACTGTAATAAAAGCTATGGGAATTTAGTCTCTCTCAAAATATCTTAGTATTTGAGGAATATAGTTGACTGCTACAGAAAAGCAAAACTGCAGATAAGGGGAAAACTACTATATATATATTTCTAGCTACAGTACGCATGAACTACAACCTATTAATAGTACACAGCCCATCAAGTTGTTACAATTAAATTAGATGATGCATGTAAAGTGGTTGGCACTAAGCTATTATTATTATATAATGGGAAGAGGAGTGGGGAGGAGGGAGGGATAGATACTATGCAATGCACTTTCCAAATATCATATACTCTAATCATTCAAAGAGGAATGTTCAACAATTTTCCTGTGGGCACAGAACTAGTAACTTATAGCTGAAATGGGAGTTGTGTGTCTCCAGAGCAGATTTATAGCGCCTCCTCAATCTGGCAATAGCATTAAATATGGCCTGCCTTGAAAGAATTAAACAAGATAATATATCCATTTCCTGGCACATACATCTGTCAAAGGTGGGTAGTGGGCCATATGACAGCTCCAATCCTTTCCAGATCTAATATTCCTTGCTTCCATGGGCTTTAGGCAACTGAGGGCCAACCCAGGCACAGTAAGAACTTGGCCCAAGAGCCTTGGATCCACGGCCAAAATGGCAGCAGCCACACAAATCCTGGGGATACAGCTGCTCCACTGTCTGTTCCACCTGGAAAACTCTACTTTGACCAGGTTTCACTGACATAGTATTTCGGAGAATGATTCCCCACTCCTACTTTCTTCCTCCTTACACTCTCAAAGAGTGGGGTGCAGCTGCTCCTACCACTGTTACGTTGTGTTTTTATCTATTTTCATTTTGCTTTTGTGCCTGGAAACAGTTTGCGCTGAGGATTACACTTTCAAAACGAAATGTCGCCATTATCTAATCCCAGTTGAATGAGTCCCTCTGTGAATCACACTGCAGGTCCATTTTAAATTAACCAGCTACCAGGAATGATTGGCAAAAAAAGTAGGCCATGTAGGCTGGGGAGCAGCTGCCTACAGATTGGCAACAGCTGAGTACAATGAGTCATACACACAAGGAGGCCTGCAAGGTGTGACCTTGCTTGGATGCCACACAAGGACACAGAGCCAGCTCAGCATCACAGAGGAGCTCAGCACAGGGCACTCCCAGAGCTTACCACTAAGGGAAACAAGGAGAGTTAGCTGGGAAAGATGACAGGTTTCAGCATCAACTTTCTCCATCACAAGGAAAGACAGGTCAATTCTACACTTCCAAGGAGCAGAGACTCTAAGAGGCCTGTTCAGACTTGAAAGAATAGTAAGGATTGTTTGGAGCAGAGTAGCAGGATCTCAGAGGGTCATGCCTCTTTGATGTTGGTGTGGGTGTCCTCAACTCATCTGTCTTAGTCTGTTCAGGCTGCTATGATAAGATAGCTTAGATTGGGTAATTTAAACAGAAATTTATTGCTCACAGTTCGAGGCTGGGTAGTCCAAGATCAAGGCACAGGCTGATTACTCAATCTAGTGAGGGTCCTCTTTCCTATAGATGGTGTCTTCTATTTGTTCTTATATGGGGGAAGGGTCAAACAAGTTCCCTTGGGCCTCTTTTTGTTTAACTAATTAATTTATTGTTTCTCTCCCATCCAGAAAATGTAACTTGGGCCTTTTATAAGAGCATTGATTCCATTCATGAAGGCGGGGCTCTCATGACCTAATCATGCTCCGAAGGCCCCAGCTCTTAATACTTGCATTGGGAATTAGCTATCAACATGAATTTGGGAATTATCTATCAACATGAATTTAGGGGTGTGGTGTTATGAGATTATACATACATATATAGATAGATAGAGGTCTGTGCATGGTTCCTGGCTCATAACTCCCATATCCCTGATTATAGTCTTTTCTTATCATGGTAAGTATGTTTGACCTCAGGAAACAATATTGGACTTTCTCCTGCTCTCCTTTCACCTGACAAGGCAGAACTTTAATTTCCCCCGCCTTTCTGATTGTGGGTCATAAGACACTTCCCAGAGAGAGTCCTTCCCTGTGCCCCTGGGGGATGGAATGTTGATGTCTTGAAGTTTCCATAAAAACCCAAAAGGCCTGGGTGCGGTGGCTCACGCCTGTAATCTCAACACTTTGGAAGGCTGAGGTGGGCAGATCACCTGAGGTCAGGAGTTCAAGACCAGCCTGGACAACATGATGAAACCCCATCTCTACTAAAAATACAAAATTAGCCGGGCAGGATGACGCATACGTGTAATCCCAGCTACTTGGAAAGCTGAGGCAGGAGAATTGCTTGAACTTGGGAGCAGAGGTTGCAGTGAGCCAAGATCATGTCACTGCCCTCTAGCCTGGGTGATGACAGAGCAAGACTCCGTCTCAAAAAAAAAAAAAGTACAAGAAGACTAGGTTTTGAGAGCTTCCAGATAGTCAAACACTTGGAGGTTCCTAGAAGGTGAAGTTCCCAAGGAAGAGCATGGAACCCTTTCCCATATACCTCATCCTGTGCATCTCATCATCAGTATCCTTTGCAATATCCTTTATAATTATCTGGTAAACATAAGTGTTTCCCTGAGTTCTGGAAGCCACTCCAGGAAATTAATAGAACCCAAAGAGAGGGTTGTGGGAACCCCAACTTGAAACTGGCCGCTCAGAAGTTCCAGAGACCCGAACTTGTGACTGGTGTGTGTGGTGGGGTTGGGAGGGGCAGTCTTGGGGACTGAGCCCCTTACCTGTGGGATATGACCCTCTCTCCGGGTAGACAGTGTAAGAACTGAATTAAAGACACAGCCGGTGTCCACTGCTTGATGTATGGGGAAAAAACTCCACACATTCGGTCACAGAAGTCTTCATCTGAGTTGATGATTGTTGTTGACGTGGTGTGAGAAGAGACAGAAAACCCAGTTTGGGAGTTTCCCTTAATAGCGAGGACACAAACATTCAAATCATAGCCCCATCTGAGAATGCTCATGTAAATACAAATTTGATGAATCAGTGGAAGCCTCCTGGTACTTTTTGGGGTCTGGGACTTGTCAGAAGCATAGGGTCTGGTGTTTGAGCTAAACATCAGAGGGCTGGATTTAATTGTTTTAAGGCCCTGGCCCAAGGAATCAAGTCAAAATAATATGTTCAGATTCAAGACTGGTTGATTTGATTTCTAAAAACAAGGTAATATGCATGTGGATGTTTCCAAATCACATAAGCTATCTGTGCAGTCAGGCATTTGGATTCTTGATGTTCTAAGGAATAATAATAATAGCTGCTATTATATTTATCACTTACCCCCTGTAACCATGTCCCAAATCTTTCATCCCATTTGATCCTCACAAGCATTCTGCAAGATCTTGGTATTACATCCTTTTTACAAATGACAAAACAGCTGGGCACGGTGGCTGATGCCTGTAATCCCAGCACTTTGGGAGGTGGAGGCGGGCAGATCACGAGGTCAGGAGATCGAGACAATCGTGACTAAGACGGTGAAACCCCGACTCTACTAAAAATACAAAAAATTAGCCGGGCGTGGTGGCGGGCGCCTGTAGTCCCAGCTACTCGGGAGGCTGAGGCAGGAGAATGGCGTGAACCTGGGAGGCGGAGCTTGCAGTGAGCCGAGATCGTGCCACTGCACTCCAGCCTGGGCAACAATGCGAGACTCCATCTCAGAAAAAAAAAGAAAACACACACACACACACACACACCAATGACAAAACATTCAGAAAGGGTAGATATTTGTACAAGTCAAATGACTGATCTGTGTGCCTGGTGTTGGCACTCAGATCAGTCGTATTCCAGAGCGTGTGCTCTCAACAAAGTCAATGGTTATCAAGGTTTGAATGATCCCAGGTCTTCAGGAAAGAGAACGCAGTTACCTGTTGTGTAAGAGTACAATGGTGAGCTGGTGGGTTCTCTCCTTATTGCTCCCTGCAGTGTCGTAGGGTGGGTTTCTGCTGGCTGAGGTGAAGATGGTGAAGTGGCTACTGGAATGAAAAGAATGGAAGAATTGTTCCATTTGTGGAGGAAAATGTGCACCCCAAGAAAAATAAAGAACAAAACTAGAATCAGGAATTACCATCACCTTTCCATGGGCCCTTCTCCTGGCCTTCCACAGTGGGCATGCAGGGCTTCTACCGACCCACTTCTGAACCTTTCGGCTCCTCTTAGAAATGTATTCAAAGATGGCCTTCAGGCATTGCCCTGCTATCTAATTATCTCATTAACATGAGGAAATGCGATCTAGATAATGTTCCACATAGTCAATATATACGATTATCTCAAACTTTCTATACTCCCAGGTTCCCTCTAAATAGACAAAGCCAACAACAGGGCATTTTATGTAGAATACCCAATTAAGCTTTATTTTATTCATACAAGTGATATTTCACTTTCAGAAAATGGGGGCTTAGGAATTTGCACTAACATGCCCTACCCCCTTCACAACAGCCCCATTCTGGGTTTCCTGGCCTTACTCAAGTTCAATTATCCACACATCTAATAACTAACAGAGAATAGATACAATATTAATTCCTTGAGGTCTCTTAAAGCTGACAATATTGCCCAATGTCAGCCTTGGTAATGATTTACAACCCTAAAGGTAAGGTTCCTGGCAGGACCTGACCCCAGCTCCTTCTGCATCTGCATTCTAGTCATTCCTTTAGGGGTGATTTCCTGTGTTTTCTGACTCATCTTACACTTCTCACGGTAAAGCTTCCATTAGGAATTCTCCAGCATAGGGCTACATTCCCCTTTCCTTTCCTGAAATCCCTCCTTTATTTCCTATCAGATATCTCACCTTATTTGCAAAGTTGATCACTTGCCTCTTCACAAAGCATTTACATGATTCCCTTCTCTTAGAGCACCACAGAAATTTAGAGTCAATTAGTGACGGTGACTGGATGAATTCCCAAACCTGGCTTTCCTTATTGCCTCTCACTGGTCTGTTTCTCTTTCTCCACCACAGTCTCAATAACTTCACTTTTCAACATCGCTCTTTCTCCTGTTCTCAACTTTTTCCTGTTTTCCTCTAGTGCTCAAACCTGTAAGAGGATGTGGCTCTCTTTCGGAACGAAAAACAGAACAACACAGGAGAGTCACGTGGGCAGTCTGTACCCAATTGAGTTCTGTGCAAAAGATCTCTTGAGCTTAACTTCTTTCCTAAGTTTGGGTCCTTATGGCATCTTTCTTTTCTCCACTGCTCCTACAACCATACATACAATTGTTCCCTGGAGTTTTAGGCAGCAAGCAGGTACTAGGGGCACTGAGCAGGGAAGATTGGATGCAAAGATAAATGTCCCTGCGTTCTATTTGCTCCAGGGTTCTCTCATTCCTGGACTGTAATGTTCAACTCATGCAAACTCTTTAGAGAACTATCCAGATAAGAATAACCTCAAGTGATACCATCCTCCAAGTTATAGCCATATAAACCAACTCTTAGGAGAAAGGCAACTTTCTCCCATATCTCGGCTTTAAATGAAATCAGTGACTTGGGGATGTTCTCCAAAACCAGTCCACTAATCCATCCACCTTAGCAGACACAAGCTAAGTATTAGAAAGTGAAATCAACATTGAGAAAGTCTAACAGACTCTCTAGTGTGTGCGGCTGCCTGGAACAAAACTGTTTTTCTTACAAAACTTTTATGGCTCTAAAATCCCAGGTATGACCTAATTAACACCCTCTATTTCAAACTGAGCTACTAGCCCAACCCTTCAGATCTCTCCTGGTTAAACACACAATTCAATGGCAGTCAAGGGAAATCAATATGTTCCATCAGATTTTTCCAGCTAAGAGGCTGCGACATTTGTTACTCCTCAGAATCCAGAGCCACCCTAAGGGGTCAATGGATTTCTGAGGGCTTTGAGAATCTCCACTAAAAGTTATCTTTTAAATCCCGAAAATGGAAGATTTGAACCTATACTTGTCCTCAGAATGACAAGCTATTTCCCTACCTATAAGTCAAGTTATCCTCTATTTGTATTAAATCTAATGTCTTATTTACAGGGAATTTGAAGTATCAACTATATGGCCTGAACTGAAAAAAATAAACTGTACATTCTAAATCCCTAAAGCCCTTAAATCCAATGTTACTTTTTCCTAAGTATAAATCACACCTTTTGCAATTTCCACTGTACATAAATAAATTAAAGGACCTTTGAAGTAAAAATGTGTAAGTCATTGACTACCCTGAAAAGACAGTGTGGTTGTTTAAGGGTTTTTTTCAGTAAAAATGTTAGATCAGGGCAAACTCATCCAAACATAAAACTCAGTGCTGATAATAGGAGGCATGATCCAGTAGTTAAAAGTACTGGCCCTATTTCAAGCTAACAGAGATCAAAACGTGACTCGACCACTTTCTATCTGTGTAAATTTCTTTTTTCTTTCTCTTTTCTTTCTTTTTCACTCTGTTACCCAGGCTAGAGTGCAGTGGTGCAATCATGGCTCACTGTAGACTTGACCTCCCGGCCCCAAGCGATTCCTCCACCTCAGCCTCCCAAGTGGCTGGGACTAGAGGCATGCACCACCATGTAGAGACAAGGTCTCTCACTATGTTGCCCAGGCTGGTTTTGAACTCCTCGGCTAAAATTACAGTCATGAGCCACCGCACCTGGCTTCTATCTGTGTAACTTTCAACAATGAACTTTTAGACTCTGTCTCAGTTCTAACAATTATAAACCACACCTACAGTGGATATAATTATCCTAAGAATTAAATGCATGAGGCATGGTGCCTGGTAGATAGAAAACAGTAAATGTTAACTTCTCTGAAATCAAGGTCTGCTTTCAGAATGGACTAAATGATCTCTCTTCAGAGCTCTTCGTGAGGACACTATCTCATTTATCTGACCTTGGTTCTCTGGCATTCCCTGTGTTTTCATCATAAAGCCATACCTAGCTGAGTCAGATCCACAGTATCCCTGTTAGATGTTCTACATCCGTGGTCCAGCTATTTTTGGTTAATAATCAATTTCTTTGAGAATTGACAAAAAGCAATGGGTCCCCTCACTCCAAAAATGCTCATTGGTGCAAAAGACGCATACAACTTGGGAGTTGGGGAGGATCACAAACCCTGAGGAGACCCTGATTGAAACCCAGGTAAGACCCCTCACTCTAGACTGTCCTTCTACCTTGATACAATGCCCTGGATGGTCCGCAGCTCCTCATTAGAAGGCCTTTGGGCTTCCAAACACATCTGTTTTACCTGGTTCATGGTTCTGCCTGGGCAAAGGCATTGGAGGAACAAAGGTAGAGACAGTTGTTGTCACTGGAACACTTGTTGTTGTTGGAATGCTCGTTGTCGTTGGAACGCTCGTTGTCGTTGAAACAGTCATTGTCGTCAGAACAGTCGTTGTCGTTGGAATGCTCATTGTTGTTGGAACAGTTGTCGTTGGAACAGTCGTCATTGGAACAGTCGTTGTCGTTGGAACAGTGGTGCTCGTTCGAACAGTCGTGACGGTTGGAACAGTTGTGACAATTGGAGTAGTCGTGACCTTGGCTGGAGTCAGAAATCAACATGAGAGTGAGCATAAGTCAAACAAGAAACAAGAGCCTCAGGCTGGAACTGTACCCTAGCACACCAATGACAGACTGTCCCTAGGTGGAGTTAACTTCCTGAACTGTCAATCTTGGTCATTGCCCAGCTAGAAACTGTGACAGGAGAGGGCCTTGGAGACATACCCCTCCTTCCAAAAGAAAAGCAGATGTATTGAAAGGTGCATGCATATTCAGCAAATAAGAACAGACGCCTCATATTTGCACTGAAGCACTTTTTTGGGGGCAGGGTCTCACTCTGTCATCCAGGCCGGACTGCAGTGGCATGATCAACTCACTGCTGCCTCGAACTCCCAGGCTGAAGCAATCCTCCTGTGTCAGCTTCCCAAGTAGCTGGGACTACATGCAGGCATCACCACACCCGGCTAATTTTTAAAAAAACTTTTTTTGTAGAGACTGGGCGTGGTGGCTCACGCCTGTAATCCCAGCACTTTATGGGGCCAAGGTGGGTGGACTACTTCAGCTCAGGAGTTCAGAGTTCCAGACCAGCCTGGGCAACAGGTGAAACCCCATCTCTACAAAAAATAGTCAAGTGTGATGACACATGCCTGAAATCTCAGCTACTTGAAAGGCTGAGGCATAAGGATTGATGAACCCCAGAGGTGGAGGTTGCAGTGAGTAGAGACTGGGCCACTGCACTCCAGCCTGAGAAACAGAGCGAGACCCTGTCTTAAAAAAAAAAAAGAAAAAAAGAATTGACCTCATCTTGCTCACCCTTATAAGGGAAACAATCCAAGTCCAAAAGCTAAGAGACTGCAAATTAAAATTCCTCTTAATTAAAACGAAAATAGAGACATAGCTTATTAAGGTCGTAGGTATTGGGTTCTATTATCATTGTAAGACCTTAGTGGAAGAAGATTCATTAAGAAACAGCAACGGCCGGGCGCGGCAGCTCACGCCTGTAATCCCAGCACTTTGGGAGGCCGAGGCGGGTAGACTGCCTGAGGTCAGGAGTTTGAGACCAGCTTGGCCAACATGATGAAACCCCATCTTTACTAAAAATACAAAAATTAGCCAGGCATGGTGGTGCGCACCTGTAGTCCCAGCTACTCAGGAGGCCGAGGCAGGAGAATTGCTTGAACCCAGGAGGCAGAGGTTGCAGTGAGCTGAGATCGCATCACTGCACCCCAGCCTGGGCGACAGAGAAAGACTCTGTCTCAAAAAAACAAAACAAAAAGTCAGCAGCAAGGCTGGGTGCTGTGGCTCATGTCTGTAGGCCCAGCCCTTTGGGAGGCCGAGGCAAGTGGATCACTTGAGCCCAGAAGTTTGAGACCAGCCTGGGCAACATAGCGAAACCATATCTCTACAAAAAAAATTTTAAAAATTAGCCGGGCATGGTGATGCACTCCTGTAGTCCCAGCTACTCAGGAGGTTGAGGCAGGACAATCACTTGAACCCAGGAGGCAGGGGTTGCAGTGAGTAGCAATCACACCACCGCACTCCAGCCTGCTACCTGGGCAACCGAGTGAGACTCCATCTCAAAAAAAAAAAAAAAAAAAAAAACAAAGGCCCTGCATGGTGGCTTACACCTGTAATCCCAGCACTTTGGGAGACTGAGGCAGGCAGAACATCTGAGGTCAGGAGTTCAAGACCAGCCTGGCCAACATGGTGAAACCCCATCTCTACTAACACAAAATACAAAAACTAGCTGGGTATGGTGGTGCCTGCCTATAGTTCCAGCTACTTGGGAGGCTGAGGCAGGAGAATTGCTTGAACCTGGGAGGCAGAGGGTTGCAGTGAGCCACGATTGTGACATTGCACTTCAGCCTGGGCAACAGCGAGACTCTGTCTCAAAAAAAGTAAATAAAAAAATAAAAAAGGACAGTTCCTCAAGGTGAATAAATTCAGCTTGATAAAAATATTCACTGTATTTTACTATGGAACAGTAAATGCTATTTCTTGGGCCAACTACTATGTTTGAAGTATATTTGGACCTCCATATTTGTGGGTTCTATATCTGTAGATATAACCAAGACTTTGGATGGAAAATGTATGGTGGAAAAAGAAGGATATGTTGTCTGCTGTACTGAACAAATACAGACTTTTTTGTTTGTCATTATTCCCTAAATATTTCAGTAAAACAACCAATTGCATAGTATTTACATTGTATTCGGTGTTATAAGTAATCTAGAGATGATTTAAAGCATATGGGACTATGTGCATAGTTTACATGCAAATACTACACCATTTTATATAGGGACTTGAGCATCTGCAGATTTTGGTATCAAGGGGGTCCTGGAAACAATTTCCCATAGATATCAAGGAACAATTGTACTGCTGTAGGAGCTAGTTTGCTGATTCTAGCCTGACCTTGAATTATGCTTGGCCTTGTAACTTCATCTACACAAAAGTTATTCTATTTCCCAAGAACAAGAGTTTATTTAAAAACAGGACTTACGGGAACCTCCTCTTTCCCTATTAAGAAAAAAGAAAATTACTACCGAACAGAAAATTCAATTAACTAGCAAGAAATATCAAAGAAAAACTTACGTGGCACAATCTCCAATGATACGGTGATTTTCATGTCATTGAACCACCCACGGTGCTCAACACGGCAACAATATACGCCACTGTCAGACACAGCTGTATTTTCTATGGTCAAAGAGACATCCCTTCTTGAAAGGTCCCCCAATAGCTTATAGCGTGTGTCCTTCCGATAGGTGACGTGGGTTCCATTGGTCCAGACAATGCCATTTTGGCATGTGAATAGAGAACATGAGCCTCTATTCCAGCACATGGATGTGACAGCTCCACTGTAGTGGCAGGGTAGTGTGACAGATGGACCTGCCTCTCCACCAACCTTTACAGAACCAGCTACAGAATCTGCAAAGAAGAAAAGACAAACTGAGAATGAGCCCTCACTATTTCATCTTGGCTGGGCACAATGGCTCACGCCTGTAATCCAAGAACTTTGGGAGACCAAGGCAGGCAGATCAACCCAGGTCAGGAGTTCAAGACCAGCCTAGCCAACATGGCAAAACCCGATCTCTACTAAAAAAAAAATTACAAAAATTAGCGGGGTGTAGTGGTGTAATCCCAGCTACTCAGGAGGCTAAGGCAGGGAGAAGTGCTTGAACCTGGGAGGCGGAGGTTGCAGCAAGCTGAGCTCGTGCCACTACACTCCAGCCTGGGTGACAGAGCAGACTCTGTCTCCCCCTCCCCCAAAAAAAAATTCTCTTAATTTTTTTTACTTGTTTTACTTTCTTTAAAAAAATATTTTATTCATTTTTTAATTGTTTATTTTTTATTTTTTTAAGACAGAGTCTTGCTCTGTCACCCAGGCTGTAGTGCAGTGGCGCAAAGATCTTGGCTCACTGCTACCCCCGCCTCCTGGGTTCAAGCAATTCTCATGCATCAGCCTCCCAAGTAGCTGGGATTACAGGCACATGCCACCACGCCCGGCTAATTTTTGTATTTTTAGTAGAGACAGGCTAGTCTTGAACTCCTGACCTCAAGTGATCCACCCACCTGAGCATCCCAAAGTGCTGGGATTACAGGCATGAGCCACCATGCCCAGCCTTGTAAATAGACATTATAGCTGGAAGGTTTTTCCCCTTTTTCCAAGTTAGCTGATATAGCTGGAATTTTTAAAATTTGAGATTATAAGCATTTTTCTATGCTAGCATTCTTTTAATTTTTTTTTTTAGACAAAGTCTTTCTAAAAAGAATTTCTTCTTTTTTTTTTTTGAGACAGAGTCTTGCTCTGTCGCCCAGGCTGGAGTGCAGTGGTGTGATCTCGGCTCACTGCAAGCTCCGCCTCCCAGGTTCACGCCATTCTCCCGCCTCAGCCTCCCCAGCAGCTGAGACTACAGGCACACGCCGCCACGCCCGGCTAATTTTTTTGTATTTTTAGTAGAGACGGGGTTTCACCATGTTAGCCAGGATGGTCTCGATTTCCTGACCTCGTGATCTGCCCGCCTTGGCCTCCCAAAGTGCTGGGATTACAGGTGTGAGCCACCACGCCCGGCCACCAAGAAATTCTTGTTTAATTTTGCCTAATACTAGTATCATTTTTTTGGATTACACATATAATGCATGCTATTACAATTTGGTTATAGAAGTATATAATGAGAGATTATTTTTCCCCCATAATCCCAAAGGCATATATCACTCCAGAAATTTGTGTTTAAAAATTAGGATATGTCTATTTTACTCTTTCCTTATCTCATAGAATGTTTTGAATTAAAGTGTTTATTTCAAAATAAAATACTTAGGCCAGATGTGGTGGCTAACGCCTATAATCCCAGCACTTTGGGAGACTGAGGTGGGAGAATCACTTGAGCCCAGGAGGTCGAGGTTGCAGTGAATCAAGATTGCCCAACTAGGCCAGGCGCGGTGACTCACGCCTATAATTCCAGCACTTTGGGAGGCCGAGGCAGGTGGATCACAAGGTCAGGAGTTCAAGATCAGCTTGGCCAAGATGGGGAAACCTTGTCTCTACTAAAAATACAAAAAAATTAGCTGGTAGTGGTGGCAGGTACCTGTAATCCCAGCTACTTGGGAGACTGAGGCAGAGAATTGCTTGAACCCAGGAGGCGGAGGCTGCAGTGAGCCGAGATCACGCCACTGAACTCTAGCCTGGGCGACAGAGTGAGACTCTGTCTCAAAAAAAAAAAGATTGCCCTACTGCACTCCAGAGTGAGACCTCATGAAGAGAGAGAGAGAGAGAGAGAGAGGAAAGAAAGAAAGAAAGAAAGAAAGAAAGAAAGAAAGAAAGAAAGAAAGAAAGAAAGAAAGAAAGAAAGAAAGAAAGAGAATTGAATGTGGCTGAAAAAAATCGGAAGGCACAAAAAAATACAATAAGGATTAACTCTCCCTCCACCTCCCACCCTCTGCCCCCATCCCACATTACCCACTGTCACTATTTCCTATATACATGTGTCTATGCATATACATCTAACCACACCCTTTTTGTTTAAACACAAAGGGCAGCCTGTGACACACTGTGCTGCATCTTGCCTTGTTCATTTAGCCATGAATGTTGTAATTCACAGCAGTTAAGCAATTTCTTTGGCCTAAAACTTTATTCTGGTCCTGCTCACTAGTTAACTCATAGCCATACAACGGTACCCAAAGAACATCTACATTAATCCACCACCACCATCCCCTCCCCTTCCCCTACCCCATTCTCTGGCTTCTAACCCCCCTCTACTCCCTTCTTCCCGCCCAGGGCACCTACTCACTTACCTGCCAGATGTAGGATGAGGCTTAAGATGACCACTTGAGGATGCATTATGGGATCAGCCTGAAGGAAAATGAGCAGACAGGCTGGTTGGTACCCTCCACCAGATGGTATCTGATCAAGTCTTAAATCTCAGATTGCAACTTATCTTTTCACCCAGTTGGTTGATTCATATGAGCCTGCTCTGCTGGAAATGAGAGAAGACCACATATAACGGCTTCAGAGCTCTGTTAGTTCCCTGCAGCTGAGAGCTCTGTGCCTTCCAAAGGACAGGGAAAGCTGTCCACAGAAACAGCCCCTGACTTCCCAGCTTCTTCCCCACACATAACCGCCAAACTGACTCCTGGTCCTGATACAGGGTATCAGGGGAACAAACAAAAAGGAAACAGGGCCGGGCGCGGTGGCTCAAACCTGTAATCCTAGCACTTTGGGAGGCCAAGGCGGGCAGATCACGAAGTCAGGAGATCGAGACCATCCTGGCTAAAAGGGTGAAACCCCGTCTCTACTAAAAATACAAAAAATTAGCCGGGCGTGGTCACTGGCGCCTGTAGTCCCAGCTACTCGGGAGGCTGAGGCAGGAGAATGGCGTGAACCCGCGGGAGGCGGAGCTTGCGGTGAGCCGAGATCGCGCCACTGCACTCCAGCCTGGGCGACAGAGCAAGACTCCGTCTCAAAAAACAAAACAAAAAAAAAGAAAAGAAAAGGAAACTGGAAGCAGAGAACCAGCGTGGCTCAATGGCAGCACGAGAGCAAATGCCAGCCTTCCAGTGGCAGAGATGCACTTGCTTTTCAGAGTAAACTGGGCCTCTGGTGGACGTGGAGCTTTTCCTACTCAGTGGCCACAACGACTTATCCCTAGCCTTAACAGTCATATTGCCAAGTTTGCCATTAGCAAGAGAAATTGAGAGTGAATGTGAATCACTGTGCCTAACCTTTCATGCTCCTGTACAACATGCTTCAGACTACACCTCCTTACCAAGGGACTTCAAGAGAATGCTTCAGGAAACAGAAGTCTGGAGCAGACTTACGTTCAGATCCAGGCTCTGTCACTCACAATGCTGGGTAACCCTGAGAGTTCCTGAGTTCTCTTCAAACCTCTATTTCCTCAGTTGTAAAATAGCACTAAAAATGCTTCCTCTATCTCCCACCAAGGATTGATATAATAAGCAAAAAGGGCCACGGAAGAACTTGGAAAACTAAACCTACATCATATGCAGTAATAGCACTAGCTGAGGTTTTTGGAGAATACTATATAGCAGGCTCTGTGTCAAGCACCCACATGCGTTAAATCGGGCTGTTGACTTCTGCTGTTAATCATTAAACCATACAAACATGAGTAAGCTTGCCTAGTACTTCATTAACTCCTCTTCTGGTCTAAGAATTCAGTAACTTCCAAGGAGGCAGTGGTGGTCTGTATCTTGCAGCTCATGACAGGGTTCATGGGGAAGTGGATGATCTCAGCATAGTGTTTTGTATGGCAGCGTTTAAAAATTCATTTCTTGACCGGGCATGGTGGCTCGTGCCTGTAACCCCAGCACTTTGGGAGGCCGAGTAGGCCAGTCACCTGAGGTCGGGAGTTCAAGACCAGCCTGGCTAACACGGTGAAACCCCGACTCTACTAAAAATACAAAAATTAGCTGGGGGTGGTGGCGGGCGCCTGTAATCCCAGCTACTTAGGAGGCTGAGGTAGAAGAATTGCTTGAACCTGGAAGGTGGAGGTTGCAGTGAGCCGAGATCAAGCCATTGCACTCTAGCCTGGACAACAAGAACAAAACTCCATCTCAAAAATAAAAATAAAAATTCATTTCTTGCCAGGCACAGTGGCTCACGCCTGTAATCCCAACACTTTGGGAGGCCAAGGCAAGTGGATCACCTGAGGTAAGGAGTTTGAGACCAACCTGGGCAACATAGCAAGACTCCCTCTCTGCAAAAAAAACGAACAAAAAATATAGTCAGGCCTTGTGTACCTGACCGTAGTCCCAGCTACTCAGGAGGCTGAGGCAGGAGGGTTGCTTGAGCCCAGCAGTTGGAGGCTATGATTGTGCCACTGCACACCAGCCGGGGTGACAGAGCAAGACCCTGTTTCTTAAGGAAAAAAAGATTGAAAAAAAAAAGCTAATTCAATTCAACCAGTTATTACTAACATATTGAGCTGATGGGACATGACTCAATATACTAGGGACGTCAAAAATCCAGACTTGTGCAATCGGGCAGGGACATGGGTAAGTAAGCAACTAATGAAATCAGGATAAGTGAGGTAAAGGTAAATATATAATCAGACTACATCATTCCCCCACTTATAACCCTCTCATAACTCTCTCAGAAAAATAATAATAATAATAATAATAATAATTCCTAAATCTTTACTCAAATTACTGAAGCCCTGGTGGTCTGGCCCTGACCTACCCCATAGATTTCTTCTACCACTCTCTCCCCTGCTGACTCAGCCCCAGCTACTAGAGCTTTCTTTCCAACTTGCCTCAACCCTAAGGCCTTTTCCGTGGCTGTGTTCTCCATCTAGCTCCCCAGCCCCACCATTTTCACTTTTTTCCTTTTCATTTTTATCCCGGCTTAAATATGACCTCCCTGGACATTTTTCACAGGTCCTTCAATCTAAAGTAGCCAACCAGTCCCTCTCACTATTATTATCTTGTTTTCCTTAATCCATTTTATCTGTGTGTGCAATATATGTGGTGTCTGTCTCTATTCCCTCCTATAGAGTGCTGCCCGGTAGAATTTTAGTAATGGAGTTATTCTGGTAACGGAGTTATTCTGGAACTGATGAGCCACAGAGAGCCAAGACAGGGATGTGGAGCCAGTGCTCTGAGATGTTACATAACTGTACAATTCCATAGGATTTGAATTTGAATTCCATAGGATCGATTCTGTCTCCAGTAGAATATTGGTTACAGAGTTATTCTGTGTGAGTGTCGTGCACTACAGCAGCCACTAGCCACATATGACTATTGAGCACTTGAAATGTGGCTAAGGCAACCAAGGCATTTTTAATTTTTTTTTTTTCCAAGACAGAGCCTGACTCTGTCACCCAGGCTGGAGTGCAGTGTCACAATCTCAGCTCAGTGCAACCTCCATCTCCTGGGTTTAAGTGATTCTCTTGCCACAGTCTCCTGAGTAGCTGGGACTACAGACACGCGCCACCATGCCTGGCTAATTTTTGTATTTTTAGCAGAGGTGGAGTTTCACCATGTTGGCCAGGCTGGGCTGGAACTCCTGGCCTCAAGTGATACGCTCATCTCAACTTCCAAAAGTGCTGGAATTACAGGTGTGAGCCGCCATGCCTGGCCTAAAAATTTTTATTTAATTTCATTTTAATTAAAATTTCAGATTGCTTGAGCCCAGGAGACAGTCTTCGGGGAGTTGAGATGGCACCACTGCACTCAAGCCTTAGATGACAGAGCTTTCAAAAAAATAAATTAATTAAAAACAAAAAAATAAAATTTAAATTGTCACACATAGTGACTGTGTTGTGTGGCACCCAACTCCAGACCATAAACTCCTTTAAGGCAATTTAAGTGTTGAAGCCAGGCATGGTTGCTCACACCTGTAATCCAAAGGAGGCCGAGGTGGGAGGATCACTTGAGGTCAGGGGTTCCAAACCAGCCTGGCCAACATGGTGAAACCCAACTCTACCAAAAATGCAAAAATTAGCCAGGCGTGGTGGCGGGTGCCTGTAATCCCAGCTACTCAGGAGGCTGAGGCAAGAGAATCGCCTGAACCCGGGAGGCAGAATTTACCCTGAGCGGAGATCATGCCACTGCACTCTGGCCTGGGCCACAGAGTGAGACTTCTCAAAAAAAAAAAAGTTATTAATTGAATAGATAAACAAATGGAAACACAAACCCATAGGGAAAGACCATTCATTTTGATGACGGAATGTGGGGGGTGGGAAGAATTTCTTAAAAAGTGACATGTGAGAAGAATGGGTGGAGGGTGTTTCAACTGGAGGAAATGATGAGCCAGAGAGAGCCAGGACAGGGATGTGGAGCCAAGGCTCTGAGATGTTACATAACTGTACAATTCCATAGGGTTGAATTTTCTGACACAGGACCATCTCCCATGAGAGACGCCTGTGTTCTAAAGACTCCCAAACAATATAGCACAGTGGATTTTTTTAATGAGCTATACAACCTCCAGGGATCACTACTCTTTAGGGCAAACTTCATGACCCCCCTGAAGGATGCATCCCAGTTGTAGGGTAAAGCTGGAAGTGACAATACTTGGGCACCAAAGCTGAATTTCCAGCTGCTCACTAGGGAGCTGCATCTGTATAAACCAAGATTAACGGCAGTGAATTGAAATGATTCAGAACATGGGCCGGGCACGGTGGTGGGTGCCTGTAATCCCAGCTACTTGGGAGGCTGAGGCAGGAGAATTGCTCGAACCCGGGAGGTGGAGGTTGCAGTGAGCTGAGATCGTGCCACTGCACTCCAGCCTGGACAACAGATTGACACCCTGTCTCAAAAAAAAGAAAGAATTCAGAAAAGAAAATAATTCACTGTTCTTTCTTGCAATCACCACTTACTTCCCTGCTATCTCAGCGCACATCGTACCTCCAGCTCCAGCCTCCTGCAAAACAGTTCAGCTGTTCATATTCCCCATGCTTTCACCACAGCAAGATCTTCTTAGGCCCCCTCCACAACTAGGGACTCACCAACTCCACATCATTGTACCTGTCAGTCTCTCCCTCATCCCCATCACTTTATATTAGGCCTCTATAATCCAGACTTCTGCAATTCCCTCCAAAACTGTCTTCCTACCTTTCAGTTCTCTTCCTGCCCTGCCCACTGCCCTAAGCTAGTTATTTTCCTTCACTTACTCCTCTGATTTCATAACAAGTAATATAATGCTTCTTTTTTTTATATCTTTTACAAAGATATAAAAATTACAGGGTACCACCTATGTTTACCATAGAAAATACATAAAAGCCCAAGTATGGTGGCTCACACCTGTAATCCCAGCACTTTGGGAGGCCAAGGCAGGAGGATCACTTGAGGTTAGGAGTTCAAGACCAGCCTGGCCAATATGGCAAACCCCTGTCTCTACTAAAACTACAAAAATTAGCCAGGCGTGGTGGCGCGTGCCTGTAGTCTCAGATACTAGGGAGGCTGAGGCAAGAGAATCGCTTGAACCTGGGAGGTGGAGGTTGCAGTGAGCTGAGATCACACACCACTGCACTCCAGCCTGGGTGACAGAGCGAGATTCTGTCTCAAAAAAAAAAAGAAAGAAAGAAAGAAAGAAAGAAAATATATAAAAATACCAAAAGTGTACTCATTTAACAATTATTTGTTGATGATCTGCGATATGTTAGAAATGATCCTATTCATCTGGAATGTACCAATGAACCAAAGACCCCTGGCCTCATGTAACTTACATTTTTTTTTTTTTTTTTGAGATGGAGCTTCGCTTTTTTTGCCCAGGCTGGAGGGCAATGGCACGATCTCAGCTCACTGCAAACTCTGCCTCCTGGGTTCAAGCGATTCTCCTACCTCAGCCTCCCAAGAAGCTGGGATTACAGGCATGCATCACCACACCGGCTAATTTTTGTAATTTTAGCAGAGACGGGGTTTCACCATGTTGGTTAGGCTGGTCACGAACTCCTGACCTCAAGTGATCTGCCCGCCTTGGCCTCCCAAAGTGCTGGGATTATAGGCGTGAGCACCACTCCTGGCCTCATGTAACTAACTTTTAACTGAAAAATAAATATACAGATTTTTAAAACATCACTAAAATGTAATTTATCAGCATATTACAAGTTGAGGAATGCTAATGCAAAAAAGGCAAAAGGATACACAAGAGCAGGGTGAAGGTGGTTGGGAGTGGAGGGTTGAGGAGGCACTGAGTTGCAATTTTAAACAAGGTGGTCAGGTTTGAATAGTCTCTATTACTTTCACCAAGAAGGTGATTATTTGAACTAAGACAAAGGACAAGGAAGTTAGCCAAGACAGCAAACGCTTTCCATGGAGACAGACAAGAAGGGCAAAGGCCCTAAGGCAGGAGGGTGCCTGGTGTGTTTACAGGGCAAGAGAGGCCAGCGTGACTGCAACAGAGCGAGGGACAGGGATCACAGAGGAGTGAGGGCAGAGGACAGACACATGGGGCTTAGGAGCCATATTCTGAGGACATAGGCTTTCACCCCACATGAAAAGAAGCACCACTGCAAGGGCATAGGGTGACAGTATCTAACTTCCTTTGAGAAGGACCACTGTGGTTGCTAGATTGAGAAGCAGGAAGACCTGTCAGGAGACTATGGAAAGATTCCAGAAGAGATGGGTTAGCAGTGGAAGTGGTCAATGAACTTTCCTCACTCAACCTAGAGTAGCCAGATGTGATGGCTCACAGCTGTAATCCCTGGACTTTGGGAGGCCAAGGCGGGAGGACTGCTTGAGCCCAGGAGCTCAGGGCAACATAGTGAGACCCTGTCTCTACAAAAAAAAAAAAAAAAGAAAGAAAAAGAAAAATTAGCCAGGCATGCTGGCATGCAACTTGTAGTCCCAGCTACTAAAGAGGCTGAGGCAGGAGAATGGCTTGAGCCAAGGAGGTGGAGAAGGTGGAGCAAACAGGATTTCCTGTAGGATATGAGGAGAAAGGGCCTAAGATGACTCCAAGGATTTCGGCCTGAGCCACGGGAAGAGCTGGAGGTTCCAGCCAATTAAGACAAGGAGAGCTGCAAAGGCTGGGCTCAGTGGCTCACACCTGTAATCCTAACACCTTGGGAGGCCAAGGCAGGTGGATCACCTGAGGTCAGGAGTTCAAGACCAACCTGGCCAACATGGCAAAACCCTGTCTCTACTAAAAATACAAAAATTTAGCCAGGCATGGTCGTGGGTGCCTGTAATCTGAGCTACTCAGGAGGCTGAGCCAGGAGAATTGCTTGAACCCAGGAGGCAGAGGTTGGAGTGAGCCAAGATCGTGACACTGCACTCTAGTCTGGGCAACAGAGCAAGACTCCATCTCAAAAAAAACAAAAAACAAAAAACAAAAACCTGCATGACCACAGGTTTTAGAGGAAATATTCAGGGTTTTAAGTATGTTGAGTTTGACATGTCTTAGACCTGTGTGGAGACTGCTGGAGTTCAGGAGGGAGGTCTGAGCTAAAGATACAGTTACAAGTTACTGGCTTAGAAATGGTATTGGCTGGGTGCGGTGGCTCACGCCTGTAATCCCAGCACTTTGGGAGGCCGAGGTGGGCGGATCACGAGATCGAGACTGTGCTGGGTAACACGATGAAACCCCGTCTCTACTGAAAATACAAAAAATTAGCCAGGCGTGGTGGCAGGTGCCTGTAGTCCCAGCTACTCGGGAGGCTGAGGCAGGAGAATGGTGTGAACCTGGGAGGCGGAGCTTGCAGTGAGCTGAGATCGCGCCACTGCGCGACAGAGCGAGACTCCGCCTCAAAAAAAAAAAAATGGTATTTTAAAGCCAGGAGCCTGAATGAGGTAGGAATTCAAAGGATGAGATTCAAAGGAATGCCTGATGCTAAGGACTAGGTCCTGGGGCCTTCCAGCATCAAAAGATTAAAATGGGGACAAGCATGTTGACTCATGCAGGTAATCCCAACACTTTGGGAGACCGGGGCAGGCTGATAACTTAAGGTCAGGAGTTCCAGGTCAGCCTGGCCAACATGGTGAAACACCATCTCTACATAAGAATAAATTTTAAGGCCGGGTGTGGCGACTCACACCTGCAGTCTTAGCACTTTAGGAGACCAAGGCAGGCTGATCACTTGAGGTCAGGAGTTCCAGGCCAGCCTGGCCAACATGGTGAAACCCCGTCTCTACTAAAAACACAAAAATTGGCCGGGTGTGATGGCGCATGCCTGTAATCCCAGCTACTCAGGAGGCTGAGGCAGGAGAATTGCTTGAACCTGGGAGGCAGAGGTCGCAGTGAGCCGAGATCATGCCACTGCACTCCAGCTTGAGTGACAGAGCAAGACTCCGTCTCAAAAAAAAAAATTAATTAATTTTAAAAAAATTTGTTAAAGCTGAGGTGGAAATTAGCCGGGCGTGGTGGCGGGCGCCTATAGTCCCAGCTACTCAGGAGGCTGAGGCAGGAGAATGGCGTGAACCTGGGAGGCGGAGCTTGCAGTGAGCCGAGATCGCACCACTGCACTCCAGCCTGGGCGAGAGAGCGAGACTCCGTCTTAAAAAAAAAAAAAAAAAAAAATGCTGAGGTGGAAGAGGCACCAATACAGAAATGGAAGCAGCCCAAGGAGGTAAGAGAAAAAGCAAAAAGGTCCTAGAAGCCAAGTGAAGCAAACGCATCAAAGAACAGGCAGCAATCATGAGTCAAATGCTGCAAAGGAAAGGAATAAGATTTGTCATAGACTGAGCAAGCTGGAGATTATCAGTGAGCCCCAGTACTTTATACTGCAGTAAAAAGTTTACAAGAAGGAAAATCAGGAGATAATTGAATACAGGAAACACTTTCAAGGAGTTTGCATGGAGAAAAGCAGTTGGACTTGAGTGCCTATAGTACCAGCCATTTGGGAGGCTAAGCGGGAGGGATCACTTGAGCCCAGGAGTTTGAGGCTGCAGTGAGATATGGTAGTACTACTGCATTCCAGCCTGAGTGACAGAGTGAGTCCCCATCTTCCAAAAAAAAAATAAAAGTTTTGCAAAAATGGAAGGAGAAAATCCTGGGTGTTTTTTTTTTAAGTGATAAAAATAACAGCATGTTTGTATGATCTGGAGACAATCAAGGGGAAGAAAGGGAAAATTTGCTGGGGCAACAAGTAAACAGAGGAGTGTGATCCTTTGTCCAAGTAGAAGGTTCTAATTCACAACCAGGGATAGCCTGTTGGTGCACACGCTAAGTGGGCACATATGTCTGGGGAAACTCCAGGTTGATTGCTTCCTCAGTGAAAAAGGAAACAGTTAAAAGTTAGCAGTAAGGGCCGGGCACGGTGGCTCATGCCTGTAATCCCAGCACTTTGGGAGGCTGAGGCAGGCGGATCACTGGAGGTCGGGAGTTCGAGACCAGCCTGACCAACACAGAGAAACCCTGTCTCTACTAAAAATACAAAATTAGCCGGGCGTGGTGGTACATGCTTGTAATCCCAGCTACTCAGGAGGCTGAGGCATGAGAATCACTTGAACCCGGGAGGCGGAGATTGTGGTTAGCAGTAAGGATGGGGAAGAGGTTTGGGGAATTTGAAGAGAGCTTTAGGAGAGCAAATGAAGTAAGGACAAATGTTCCACCATCTGGCAGCACTCAGGTATCACTGGAAGTAGGAGGTCATGTGGTTGATGCTCTGCAGCTACCTGCAGGTGCAGGCTATGGGGGAGGAAGAGGACTCACATCAGCAGATAACTTCTTAATCTTCCCATGTATTTCTCTAAAATCATTTCCACTTCAAAGGCATTTAATGGCTTGCCAGTGCCTTTAAGGCAAAGTCCAAACTCTAAAAGCTGCCCACCTTCCCAGGCTGGTCACACCCTATCACTCTAAGCTTCACAAAGTTCCAAACAAACCAAATTGCTTATACTCACTAATCTTTGCAAGCTCAATAATTTCTAACACATGAGACTACTACAAACCTTCAAAAATCAGCAGCCCAGCCTGAGCAACAGAGTGAGTCCCCATCTCTACAAAAAATAAAAATAAAAAAATTAGCTGTGCATGGTTGCACAAGTGTGTGGTCCCAACTACCTGGAAGGCTGAGATTGAAGGATCAATTGAGCAGGGGTCAAGGCTGCAAGGAGCTGTGATTGCACCCCTGCATTCCAGCCTGGGCAGCAGAACCAGACCCTTTCTCTCTCTCTCTCTTTTTCTTTATTTTTATTTTTATTTTTTGAGACAAAGTTTCACTTTTGTTGCCCAGGCTGGAGTGCAATGGCTCGATCTCGGCCCACTGCAACCTCCGCCTCCCGGGTTAAAGCGATTCTCCTGTGTCAGCTGGAATTACAGGCATGTGCCACCACACCCAGCTAATTTTTTGTATTTTTAGTAGAGACAGGGTTTCACCATGTTAGCAAGGATGGTCTCCATCTCCCAACCTCAGGTGATCTGCCTGCCTCGGCCTCCCAAAGTGCTGGGATTACAGGCGTGAGCCACCACTCCCGGTGAGCAAGACCCGTTCTCAAAACAAAACAGCCGGATGTATAATCCCAGCACTTTGGGAGGCCGAGGTAGACAGATCACTTGAGGTCAGGAGTTCCAGACCAGCCTGGCCAACATGGTGAAACCCCAACTGTACTAAAAATACAAAAAAATTAGCCAGGCATGGTTGCGGGTGCTTCTAGTCCCAACTACTCAGGAGGCTGAGGCAGGAGAATTGCTTGAACTTGGGAGGTGGAGGTTGCAGTGAGCTGAGATGGAGCCACTGCACCCCAGCCTGGGTGACAGAGCAAGATTCTGTCTCAAAAAGCAAAACAAAAAGTCAGCAGCAAGGCTGGGTGCTGTGGCTTACACCTGTAGGCCCAGCCCTTTGGGAGGCCGATGCAAGTGGATTGCTTGAGCCCAGAAGTTTGAGACCAGCCTGGGCAACATAGCGAAACCGTATCTCTACAAAAAAAATTTTTTTAATTAGCCGGGCATGGTGATGCACTCCTGTAGTCCCAGCTACTCAGGAGGCTGGGGTGGGAGGATCGCTTGGGCCCAGGAGTTCAAGGTTACAGTGAGCTATGATTGAGCCACTGCACTCCAGCCTGTGTAACAAAGCAAGACTCTGTCATAAAAGTCAGCAGCCAGTACTAGGCTTCTGCTTTACTGCACATTATCTTTATATGGGCTTTTTTTTTACATTTTTTTTTTTGAGACAGAGTTTTCTGGCTCACTTCATCCTCCACCTCCCAGGCTCAATCCATCCTCCTGCCTCAGCCTCCCCAGTAACTGAGACTGCAAGCATGTGCCACCACACTCAGCAAATTTTTCTATTATTTTTCAGGCGGATCTCACTATGTCGCCTAGGCTGGTCTCAGATTCCTGGGCTCAAGCAATCCCCCTGCTTCAGACTCCCAGAGCACTGGGATTATAGGCATGAGCCACCACGCCCCCTAATATTTTTACTTTAAAAATTATAAAACTACTAACAGAGCTATGCCCTCAACACATTTCCATATTATTACACAATACCCATCTTACAGATAAGGAGAAGCTCACCAAAAGTATGTATTGCGCCTAAAGTCACAGTTTCAAGCCAGCCTGAATAAATACGGCTTAACACAAATGTACCACACAATTTTCTGCAGTTTTAGTTTTTCCTCCTATTTCTCACACTAAACTTGCCCAGGCAAAGTTTAAATAAGGCCACTATGGCAGTCCATGATTCCATTGAAATAAAAGCCAATTTCTCAGGAAATCCAAAAAACTCTGTTTTATGTAAATTTCCCCTAAATTTCTTGGCTCAATCATTATTGTCCTTATATCTCATATAAAACTACGAAAGTCCAAGCAACTATATCCTGATTTTCTCTTTGTCATAAGTTTCCAGAGGACCGCACTTACCGGTTAGTTAGAAGGCGGTTTTCCAGCTTCTCCTCCCTCCTCCTGGTCTGTTTGTAGCCCTCCTCCAAAGATCTTTATAGATTAAGACTACTTTCTCCCAGAATTCCATTCTTTATCTCTTTGCCACACCTTTACATAAGAATACGGGGAAGCACGTTTGAACATTACATTTCTCCAGTTGGCTGATCTTTTTACTGGATTTGATCCACTTACAAATTTAAACAGATTACAGGGAGATTGTTACAGTACTTGTTCTCTACTGGGCATTTGTTTTGTTTTGTTTTTGTTTTTGTTTTTGTTTTGAGATGGAGTCTTGCTCCGTCCGTCGCCCAGGTTGGAGTGCAGTGGCCCAATCTCGGCTCACTGCAACCTCCACCTCCCGCGTTTAAGCGATTCTCCTGCCTCAGCCTCCTGAGTAGCTGGAACTAAAGCACTCGCTACCATGCCTGGCTAATTTTTGTATTTTTAGTAGAGTCGGGGTTTCACCATGTTGGCCAGGCTGGTCTCTAACTCCTGACCTCCAGTGATCCACCCCTCCCTGACCTCCTAAAGTGCCGTGATTACAGGCGGGAGCCACCACGCTCTGCTGGGCTATTTTTAAAGATTCAGCCAAGATCTGGATGTTAGGTCAGACTCCAGGCTTGAAAAACTATACAGACTTTGTGAACGCTGGTGCAGGAAAGGACTTTAAACTACCTGGGGCCAAGTTTCTCAATTTATAGTGAATAAACCAAGGTCCAAACAGTGGAATAGAGTGTGGGACCCACAGAAGCCACTGGGGGCAGAGGCAGAAATAAAAGCCAGGTTAACTTTTCCTATTCCACTGTTCTTGTTACGCAACAAACATTACTTCAATAAATATTTATTGAGCACCCCATGCTAAGAATGGAACACTTAGATTTTTCTTTCTTTCTTTCTTTCTTTTTTTTCTTAGACACGGTCTTGTTCTGTTGCCCAGGCTGGAGTGCAGTAGCACATTCATGGTTCACTGCAGCCTTGACTTCCTGGGCTCAAGCGATCCTTCTGCCTCAGCCTCCTGAGTAGCTCAAGCACTCGTCCCGCCTTGGCCTGCTAAAGTTCTGGGATTATGTGTGTGAGCCACCATGCCCAGCCTTCTTATTCATTCTTTCTATTTTTTTTTTTAACCCATTAAGCATTCTCACCCCCAAGAACAAGGTGTACGTTCTTGGCACCTTTGTCGAAAATGAGTTCACCGTAGGTGTGGCATGGGGCTTTTACCAGATGGGATTAGAGAAGTTTTTAAAGAACTCTGTACACTCCCAAACCAAGACCACCACAGGACCTGGACACCAAATTGAACTGCTCATGACAGTAAGTAACGACTATGTAAAACGTATGCTGAGTTCTATCAAAACCTTTATCAAAACGTTGTGCTAGTGGTGGGCATTGTGGCTTTAAAAAATGTTGACTCTGCTTAATAATGATATATGTTGATAAAATGCCAACTTTTTATTGGGAACTATGACATGGAAATATTTTCAAGAAATATGGCTGGGATGGCTGGGTGTGGTGGTTCACACCTATAATCCCAGAACTTTAGAGGCTGAGGTGGGAGGATCACTTGAAGCCAAGAGTTCTAGTCCAGCCTAGCCGACATGGTGAACTTAGTATTTAGTATTTTATTGTATTTTATTTATTTTTGAGACAAAGTCTCGCTCTGTTGCCTAGGCTGGAGTGCAGTGACACAATTTCAGCTCACTGCAACCTCCACCTCCCAGGTTCAAGTGATTCTCCTGCCTCAGCCTCCCTAGTAGCTAGAACTACAGGCTTTTGCCACCACACCTGGCTAATTTTTATATTTTTAGTAGAGATGGGGTTTCACCATGTTGGCCAGGCTGGTCTCTAATTCCTAACCTCAGGTGTTCCACCCACCTCAGCCTCCCAAAGTGCTGGGATTACAAGTGTGAGCCACTGGGCCCGGCCAGTATTTAGTATTTAGACACTACTAAAAAAAGAAAAAAATTAACTGGCAGTTGTAGCACATGCCTGTAATTCCAGTTACTCTGAACGCTGAGCCACAAGAATTGTTTGAACCCAGGAGGCAGAGGTTGCAATGAGCCAAGACGGCACCACTGCACTACAGCCTGGGTGACAGAATGAGACTCTGTTTAAAAATAAAAAGAAAAGAAGTATTTCCAGGAAATATTAAATTAGGCCAGGCATGGTGGCAGGTGTCTGTAGTCCCAGCTACTAGAGAGGCTGAGGCAGGAGGATCACTTGAGCCCAGAGTTCGAGGCTGCAGTGAGCCGTGATTGCAACACTGCACTCCAGCCTGGGTGACAGAGGGAGACGCTGTCTCAAAAAAATACAAAAACAAACAAAAAAGAAATACTAGATCAAAAAAACAACAACACGGTGGCTCATGCCTGTTATCTCAGCACTTTAGGAGGCTGAGGTGGGAAGATCACTGAGTCCAGGAGTTTGAGACCAACCGGGGCAATGCAGTGAGACCTTGCATCTACGAAAAACAAAAATAGCTGAGTGTGGTGGCGTGTGCCTATAGTCCCAGATACTTGAGAGGCTGAGGTGAGAGGAAAACACAATTTAAAACACACACAAACACACACACACAACCACCACCACCTAGTTTATAGGAATCCATTTTTGCAAAAATGCTACAACAAAATGACACATATGTATGTATATATGTATATGTACCTATACGGAAAAGTTACAGGAAAGAATCTACGAAACTAGTCAGGTCAGAGTATCCTATCTGGTAGCGAAGCCAGCTGAGACAAGAGGAACTTTCAGTTTGAGGCTATATATTTATGTATCACTTGTTTGTTTGTTTGTTTGTTTTGAGAGGGAGTTTCGCTCCTGTTGCCTAGACTGGAGTGCAATAGCACTATCTCACCTCACCGCAACCTCTGCCTCCCAGGTTCAAGCGATTCTCCAGCCTCAGCCTCCCGAGTAGCTGGGATTACAGGCATGCACCGCCACACCTGGCTAATTTTGTATTTTTAGTAGAGACGGGGTTTCTCCATGTGGTCAGGCTGGTCTCGAACTCCCGACCTCAGGTGATCTGCCCACCTTGGCTTCTCAAAGTGCTGGGGTTACAGGTGTGAGCCACTGTGCCCAGCCATTTATGTATCATTTCAGTATTTTACAAGAATGTACCAATATACTGTTTATATAACATAATGCATGCAAAGTGTTTTAACAACAACGACAAAAAGCAAAACCCAATCCCAAAACTGTACATTCTTGCAAAAGTAATGTTCTTTTTTTTTTTTCTTTTGAGACAGGGTGTTTGTCTGTCACCCAGGGTGGAGTGCAGTGACACAAACATGACTCACTGTAGCCTCGACCTCCTGGGCTCAATCAATTCTCCCACCTCAACCTCCTGAGTAGGTGGAACGACAGGCACATGCCACCAGCCACCACACCCTGCTAATATTTTTTATATTTTGTGGAGACAAGGTCCCACTATGTTGCCCAGGCTGTTCTGAAACTCCTGGGCTCAAGCAGTCCTCCTGTCTTGGCTTCCTAAAGTGCTGGGATTACAGGTGTGAGCTACCTCACCCAGCCATAAGTGGAAGTTCTTTTACATTCACATAATGTACTTCATTTTTCACAGCCTAATTACAATCATCCTTTTCTTTAACCCAGAAAGACAGAGAGAAAAGATAGCAGCTGAAGTTGCCAAAAGCTAGACTCGGACATCACCAAGCATCTAGAAAGATGGAAGATTATGAAATAATGCTTTAATAAACATAAAAGCGCTATACCACAAAGCACATGTTCTTCTACAAAGAAAATACATCCGGTCACTATAGTTCACCCTTGAACAACATGGCTTTGAACTGCAAGGGTCCACTTATTCGCAGATTTTTTTCAGTAAAAGTTATACGAAGTGTGCCTGCTTTTCCTGCCTCACCTCCATCTCCACTTCTTTCACCTCTACTCCCCCTGGGACAGCAAGACCAACCCCTCCTCTTCCTCCTCCTCCTTCACATTGAGCTTACTCAATGGAAAGACGACGAGGATGATCCTTATAATGAGCAGTAAATATATTTTGTCTTCCATAGGATTTCTTAGTAACATTTTCTTTTCTCCAGCTTACTTTAAGAATATAGCATATATATATAATATACAAAAATGTGTTTTAATAGACTGTTCACATTATCAGTAAGGCTTCCTGTCAACAGTAGGCTGTTAGCAAATTTTTTGGAGAGTCAAAAATTATATGCAGCCCGGGCACGATGGTTCATGCCTGTAGTCCCAGCACTTTGGGAAGCCAAGGCAGGAGGATCACTTGAGCCTAGGTGTTTAAGACCAGCCTCAGCAACATGGCAAAACCCTATCTCTACAAAAAATGCAAAAATTAGCCAGGCATAGTGGCACACACATATAGTTCCAGCTACTAAAGAGGGTGAGATGGGAAAATTGCTTACAGAAGGTCAAGCCTGCAGTAAGCAGTGATCATGCCACCACACTCCAGCCTGAGCAACAGAGTGAGACCGTCTCAAAAAGAGAAAAAAAAAAAAGAGAGAGAGAGATAAAAGTTATATGCATATTTTCAACTGCACAGGGGATCAGTGCCACTAGCCCTCATATTGTTCAAGAGTCAACTATATATATTTATTTGAGGGACTGCTGTTAGAATCTGCGTCACCTCTGTCACTTTATGCATTCACCCATTTATATTTACTGAGCACTTGCTATGTGCCAGGCAACCTTATTCTATGAGACTCATTTGGAGTTTTACAGAGTTAAGTTAGGCAAGTGGTAAAGCTAAGGATTTGTATTTCCAGAAATTTTTATTCTGAATGATACAGAAAAGGGCTTTTTGGTGATGTCTTTAAATTTTTATTTTTTTATTTAAATAAAATTTAAATGTCTTTAAATTTTTATTTAAAGACATCATCAAAAAGCCCTTTTCTGTATCATTCAGATTCTAGTGTGTGGGTCTGCTATATGCTTATTGCCTTTTATTGTAACTATATTCTTGGGGATCAGGTTGCCCTGCCATATTCTGACTTCCTTGAAGGAAAAACGTAAACCTTTTTGTGGTGCCTGTGTCACAGCTTGTGTTTGCAATACAGCAGGCATATGTTCATTCATTCATTCAGTCTACAAATACTTATTTCACACCCACTGTAAGCCAAGCATTGTACTAGGCCCCTGGGATAGAGGCCATGAATGATAGAGTTTACTTTCCAGTTGAGGGTTGGGGTGGATAGATCACACACACAGAAAAATGTAAGCAAGAGAATTTCAGATTGGAACAAACTATGTAGGAAACCAACTGAATTAGAGATGGGAAGATAGTTACTTAGATTTGGTGGTTGGGGAAAAGCTCTTAGATGAAATTTAGGCTGGGCGCTGTGGCTCACGCCTATAATCCCAGCACTTTGGGAGGCCGAGACGGGCAGATCACTTGAGGCAAGGAGTTTGAGACCAGCCTGGGCAACATGGGGAAACCCCATCTCTATTAAAAATACAAAAAACATTAGCCGGGCGTGGTGGTGTGCGCCTGTAGTCCCAGCTACTCGGGAGGCTGAGGCAGAGAATCGCTTGAACTCATGAGGAGGAGGTTGCAGTGAGCTGAGATCACGCCACTGCATTCCAGTCTGGGTGACAGAGCAAGACTCTGTCCCAAAAATAAATAAGTAAAATTAAAAATTTAAATTAAAAAAAAAAAGAAATTTAAACTAGAAACCAAAAGATGAGAAAGGGGAAGCTTTATACCAACAGTCTTAGAGAAGTATTCTGAAGAGAGGAAATGGCCTGAAAAGGGGCTGGAATCAGAAAGAACATGGGCTGTTCTAGAAGCAGAAACATCAGTGTGGCTGAAACAGAGAATAAGGAGTGGTTGGTGAGGTCAGCAGACTTTCAGTTCAATGGCAAGCTATGGAAAGGTTTTAAATAAGAGTAATTGAATCCAGTTAATGATTTAAGAAAGAAAAAAACGACAGGTGCGGTGGCTCACGCCTGTAATCCCAGCACTTTGGGAGGCCTAAGCAGGCGGATCACGAGGTCAGGAGTTCGAGACCAGCCTGGCCAACATAGTGAAACACCATCTCTACTAAAAATACAAAAATTATCTGGGCAGGCATGGAGGTGTGTGCCTGTAGTCACAGCTATTTGGGGGGCTGAGGCAGGAGAATCACTTGAACCTGGGAGGCGAGGTTGAAGTGAGCCGAGATCGTGCCACTGCACTCCAGCCTGAGTGATGACAGAGCAAGACTCCGTCTCAAAAAAAAAAAGAAAAAGAAAAAAAGAAAAAGGAAATACTGGAAATACTTAGGCTACTGTGTGAGGAGAATGAACTACCAGGAGAGCAAAAGTGGACTAGGTGGCTACCAATTAGGAAGCCATTTCTTGGATGGATGCATGGACAGATGGATGGAAGGAAGGAAGGAAAGAGAGAAGGGAGGAAAGACAGAAACAGATGAATGAGAGATAAAAATAACTCTGATTACAGGTTGGGGCCGGTGGCTCACGCCTGTAATCCCAGCACTTTGGGAAGCCAAGGCGAGTGGATCACTTCAGTTTAGGAGTTCAAGACAAGCCTGGCCAACATGGTAAACCCTGTCTTTACAAAAAATACCAAAATTAGTCAGGCGTGGTGGCAAGCACCTGTAGTCTCAGCTACTTAGGAGGCTGAGGCTGGAGAATTGCTTGAGCCCAAGAGGTGGGGGTTGCAGTAAGCCATGATCAAGCCCCTGCACTCCAGCCTGAGTGACAGAGCGAGATCTTGCCTCAAAAAATAAAAATAACTCTGATTACAAAAGAGCAAGCCTCATGAGACTCACTTGACCTAGATTTTTTAGCTTAAACTGGTTTTTAAGTCAAATTTCAAAAAGCAAAACCAAATTATTTTTAGTGAACGAACATGCTGGAATTAAAATGTGGTTTTCTAAAATGATTGCCTTGAAACAGATGGTATATATTTAGCTATACACTTGCTAGCATATTGGTTTGAAATATATATTATTGTTTTATAGTCATAATACTTCCACCAGCATCATAACCTTTGACAAAGCAATTCTGTATCTAGACCTCTATACCTTGAAAATACACAAATGCATGTAAGTTTTTGTATAAAGGATGTTCCTTAGAGCCTTATTTGAAACAGAGAAAGAAAATAAATATATTTCAATAGGGAAATGATTTAATAGAACATACATGTTTATTCTACTCAATACTATGTAGCTATCTAAATAAAAGGTATTCTCCCAAATATTCTGACATGGACTAATAGCCTTCTACAAATGGTTAAAAAAAAAAAAAAAAGTAAGTTACAACCTGTATCTGTTTGTGTGTATGTGTGTGTATGAGAGACAGACTGGGCATCGTGGCTCACTGTGACTCATGCCTGTAATCCAGCACTTTGTTATTTTTGGAGGTTCTTGTTTTGGTTTGGTTTTTTAACTTCTACCCAAAAGCTACTATGCAATCTCAGCATTTTAAGAGGCTGAGGTGGGAGGATTGCTTGAGCCCCGGAGTCAAAGGCCATCCTAAGCAACATAGTGAGACCCCCATCTCTATTTTTAAAAAACAGGGCCAGGTGCAGTGACTCACGCCTGTAATACCAGAACCTTAGGAAGCCGAGGTGGGAGGATCACTTGAGGTCAGGAGTTTGAGACCAGCCTGGCCAACATGTTGAAACCCTGTCCCTGCTAAAAATACAAAAATTAGCCAGGTGTGATGGTGGGCGCCTATAATTCCAGCTACTCAGGAGGCTGAGACAGGAGAATCGCTTGAACCTGGGAGGCAAAGTTTGCAGTGAGCCAAGATTGCACCATTGCACTCCAGCCTGGGCAACAGAGTGAGACTCTGTCTCAAAAAATAATAATAATAAAATAAATAAATAAATGAGAGAGAGAGAGAGAGAGTGAGAATAGAGAATGGTGCAGAACTGTGCTGTCTAATACTGTAGCCACTAGCCACACGTAGCTACTGAGCACTTAAAATGCAGCTAGTCAGAACTGAGATGTGCTTTAAATGTAAAGTGCACACTGAATTTTTACTGAATTCTGAAAATTTACAATGAAAGAACATAAACTCTCTCCCCCATTTTCTTTTTTGAGACAGGGTCTTCCTGTGTCACCAAGGCTGGAGTGCAATGGCGTGATCTTGGCTCACTACAGCCTTGACCTCCCAGGCTCAAGCAATCCTCCTACCTCTCAGCCTCTCAGGTAGCTGAAACTAGAGGCACACATCACCATACCAAGCTAATTTTTGCATTTTTATAGAGATGCGGTTTTGCCATGTTACCCAGGCTGGTCTCAAACTCCTGGACTCAGGTGGTCTGCCCATCTCAGGCTCCCAAAGTGCTGGGATCACAGGTGTGCACCATCACGCACAGCCCTCATTAATTATTTTTATCTTTATTCCATATTGAAATAATAGTTTAGATGAATGGAGTTAAATAAAATATATTCTTAAAATTAATTTCATGGCCGGGCATGGTGGCTCATGCCTGTAATCCCAGCACTTTGGGAGGTCTAGGCAGGCGGATCACCAGGTCAGAAGTTTGAGACCACCCTGACCAATATGGTGAACTCTCATCTCTACTAAAAATACAAAAATTAGCTGGGCATGGGGTGGCGCGTGCCTGTTATCCCAGCTACTCAGGAGCCTGAGGCAGGAGAATCACTTGAACCCGGGAGGCGGAGGATGCAGTGAGCCAAATCCCACCACTACACTCCAGCCTGGGTGATAAAGCAAGACTCTGTCTCAAAAAACAAAAAAAATTAAAATTAAATAATAATAATAATAATATGCACATTTAAACAGATGAGCTCATACCACCACCACCACATGTGAATAGTTTAAATAGCCTTTTTTTTTTCAGTCTCACTGCTCTCTTTGTAAAAAGAGTCACACCTTAAGCAAAAGAAATTGGAATGTTAATTCACGAGAGATTCATGACTATGAGTAGGTGAGTTGCTTGGAATAACCTTTGTAAATGCAGTCTATATGGCTGAGAAAAAGATACAGAGGCTCTATTAGGTTGGTGCAAAAGTTATTACGGTTTTCGCCATTACTTTCGATGGCAAAAACTGCAGTAATTTTTGCACCAACCTAATAGAAGCCTAAAATTAACATCTGATTGATATTCTCCCTTGCACAGCTTTTCCACTGAAAATCAAGCAAAATCCAAGCCCTCCTAAAACTTAAGAACCTCCCAGCCTACTGGGTAGCTGCCTCTCTCCTCTGCCCCACTTTCCAACTGAGTTCCAGAAAATGATGATAGAAAATCTTGCAAGTGACTACTCTAGGGCATCTCTAATTATCTCTAGAAGCATCCAGACTTTTTCAGTAGAAATCAGGACACAAAATTAATTTGTGTTCAGTTTAATTTTTTTAAATCAATAAATTATCATTGGAAGTAGACAGGAGGGCCCTTTGAACTTCAAAATATATTTTGAGATGGTGGAAATGTTTTATATCTTGCTTGGGGTAGTATTTACATAGGTGTATATTTGTGGAATTTTTTTATTTTATTTATTTTATTTTTATTTTTTATTTTTTTTGAGATGAAGTCTCACTTTTGTCCCCCAGGCTGGAGTGCAATGGTACAATCTCGGCTCACTGCAACCTCTGCCTCCCAAGTTCAAGCAGTTCTCCTGCCTCAGCCTCCCTAGTAGCTGGGATTACAGGCACCTGTCACCACGCCTGGCTAATTTTTGTATTTTTAGTAGAGACTGAGTTTCACCATATAGGCCAGGCTGGTCTCGAACTCCTAACCTCAGGTGATCTGCCTGCTTTGGCCTCCCAAAGTGCTGGGATTGCAGGCGTGAGCCACCATGCCTGGACTATTTGCGGAATTTAAATTGTCTGCTTAAAATGAGAGCATTTTGGCCAGGCGTGGTGGCTCATGCCTGTAATCCCAGCACTTTGGGAGGCCAAGGTGGGCAGATCACTTGAGGCCAGGAGTTTGAGACCAACCTGGTCAACATGGCAAAACCCTGTCTATACTAAAATACAAAAAATTCACCGGGCATGACGGTGCGTGCCTGTAATCCCAGCTACTGGGGAGGCTGAGGCACGAGATTAGCTTGAGCCTGGGAGGCAGAAGTTGCAGTGAGCAAGATGGCGCCACTGCACTCTAGCCTTGGAGACAGAGGGAAAAATCTGTCTCAAAGAAAAAAGAAAAAAAGAGAGCATTTTAATGCATTTAAATTGTTCCTGTTTAAAAATTTATCCACATGATGGCAGAATGAAAAATAATAATAAAAATAAAAATTCAGGCCAGGCGCAGTGGCTCACTCCTGTAATCCCAGCACTTTAGGAGGCCAAGGCGGGCGGATCACGAGGTCAGGAGATCGAGACCATCCTGGCTAACACGGTGAAACCCCGTCTCTACTAAAAACACAAAAATTTAGCCGGGCAAGGTGGCGGGTGCCTGTAGTCCCAGCTACTCGGGAGGCTGAGGCAGGAGAATAGCATGAACCCAGGAGGCGGAGCTTGCAGTGAGCCGAGATCACGCCACTGCATTCCAGCCTGGGCGACAGAGTGAGACTCTGTCTCAAAAAAAAAAAAAAAAAAAAAAAAAAATTCAATAAGTGATTTCCATATATACATTCTCTCATAACATTAAAAAAGGAAAAAAACAATTTTCATTTACATAAATTGACTTGATGTTATCTGAATCAATTAATGAGCAATTGACCTGCTTGGAATTTCTGCCTTGGGAATTCTAAATCTAGAAGTGATGGGCAGATAAAACACAGTAGACTTTACTTTTTTTCAGTCTAAAAAAGATCAGGGACTCTCCCCCTTTTCAGAGCCTGTGGGCTTTCTGTGGGCAGCTCTGGAAGAAAAATCCTAAGGCATTTCTAAGAGCAAACCACACATTCAATTTTATTGCATTTTTTTATTTTAATTTTATATGAAGTTTTATGCTTCAAATATATAAAACACACACACACACACCAAGGGACTAAGATGTTATTTCACAGCACTTGCTTGCCTCAGTCTTTATGAAGAACACAATTCCAAACTAATGGACAAGTTCCTCCCTGTACTCTAGGTCATTCAAAGGAGGCAAGCTCCTTTGTCAAATCAGGAGCTCCATCAGCTGATCAGGAGCTCAGATGCCAGCGTGGGAGTTTCTTAGTGGGATCTAGTATTGCTAGAAAAGCCTTGCTTATGCAGCAAAAGACAGGCACATGGGCCTCTTCCCTTAGAATGTATCTGTCTCACATGCTTGGGAACTGCTGTGCAGGAACACCTGGTGTGGCCTGAGGCAGTGTATATACGTGGCTCCCCAACATTGGTCTATGTTGCACTGTTTTTAATTTTTTTTTTTTTTTTGAGACAGAGTTTTGCTCTTGTCCCCAGGTTGGAGTGCGATGGCACGATCTTGGCTCACTGCAGCCTCTGCCTCCCGGGTTCAAGCAATTCTGCTGCCTCAGGCTCCCAAGTAGCTGGGATTACAGGTGCCCGCCACCGTGCCTGGCTAATTTTTGTATTTTTAATAGAGACGGGGTTTCATCATGTTGGCCAGGCTGGTCTCAAACTCCTGGCCTCAGGTGATCCACCCGCCTCGACCTCCCAAAGTGCTGAGATTACAGGCATGAGCCACCTCGCCCAGCTGTTTTTAATTCTCTAAGTTATCATTTGCCATCTCCTTGGCCCTTTGTAGTAATTCCCCTCCCTTTTTTGTTTTTCTGTGTCCATCTTTCCCATTCCAAATACTTGATGTAAAGGGAGATTCCACCTTGAAAACCAGAGTTCCAGTCCTGGCTTGCTGCTACACTCTACTGCTGACCTTGATCTTGACCTTGACCTTGTCTGCATTTATTTCTTTGATGAGGAGGGCAGACAGAAAAACATTGCTATAGTGCTTAATTTTTTTTTATTACAAAAGAAAATGAAGAAAATAATTCAAACTATAGCAGAAACATGAAAAAGGGAAAAGTGAGTCTTCACTATTTGTCTCCTTCAGTAACCATATTTATTTGGGTATATTCTTGCATGTTTTTACGGCAAAAACAAATTCAACAGATATATATATATACTATTATGGAACCCTTTTTATTTTCCTTTGAACTTAACTACGTAGCATTCTCTGATAAGTAATGTAAGCTCCAGACAGCAAGGATTTTTGACTGCTTCATTCACTGCTATATTTCTGGAGACTAGAATACTGTTTGGCATAAAGTAGGTGCCAACAAATATTCACTGAACGCACCAGACGTGGTGGCTCACGGCTGTAATCCTAGCACTTTGGGAGGCCAAGACGAGCAGATCACTTGAGGCCAGGAGTTCAAGACCAGCCTGACCAACATGGTGAAACCCCGTCTCTATTAAAAATACAAAAATTAGCCAGGTATGGGGGCGCATACCTGTAATTCCAGCTACTCCAGTGAGTATCTGGACAGGGGAATCGCTTAAACCTAGGAGGCGAAGGCTGCAATGAGCCAAGATTGCACCACTGCACTCCAGCCTGAGCAACAGAGTGAGACTCTGTCTCAAAAAAAAAAAACTTAAAAATTAAAAAAAAAAAAAAAAACAGAAGGGGACCAAATATACACATCCCTGGCTCCATGGAACTCCCAGTTGACCTGACGGAAAAAAAAAAAAAGAAGAAGTAGTATATATACATATATATAGGTAGTATATAAATATATATATAGTAGTATATAAATATATAGTAGTATATAAATATATATATAGTAGTATATAAATATATAGTAGTATATAAATATATATATTAGTAGTATATAAATATATATATATTTTTTTTTTTTTTTCACTGAATGAATGAAAGGACACAAATCCTCCTTGCTGTCAGATCAACTAGGAGTTGAATGGAATGGAGCCGGGAATGTGTCTATTTGGTCCCCTTCTGTGGTCCCAGCACCAAACAAAGTGCCTGGCACACAGTAAGCATTTAATAAGTATTTGTTGATTTAGCAAAAAAGCTTAATGATAAAACCACCTAATTCTTTTTACTTGCACCAGTGTATTGACATAACACTGTAATCAACAATTCCCTTATTCATTGTAAAAATCTCCGCAAACACCATTGCAATGATCAGCCTTGTACACATACCCTTATTTAAAGATTTTGGTAGGATAAGAATGTCTTTTGAGGGGGACCATTGATCTGCTTCAAATGTGTCGTGAAGTTTCTTCTCACTAGGATTTCATGGCATTAAGACACTTATGGGCTGGGCACGATAACCCAACGCCTGTAATCCCAGAACTTTGGGAGGCCGAGGCGAGTGGATCACCTGAGGTCAGGAGTTCGAGACCAGCCTGGTCAATATGGCAAAACCTCATCTCTACTAAAAATACAAAAAATTAGCCGAGTGTGGTGATGTGCACCTGTAATCCCAGCTATTTGGGAGGCTTTGGTAGGAGAATCACTTGAACTCAGGAGGTGGAGGTTGCAGTGAGCCAAGATTGTACCAATGCACTCCACCCTGGGCGACAGAGCAAGACTCTATGTCAAAAAATTTAAAAAGACAGTTCAGATTAATTTTTTAGCCTGTATGAGAGCTGTTCCCTACAATTAATTTTGCAAAATGATCTCCCTTACGTATCTGCCTACAGAATGTCAGTCTGTCCCGAAACTATCTAGATGCAGCCCAATGCTCTAATTCACACGAGACTGTCAGAAAGACTTCTAGAAACAAGCAGGCTGGCGACAGCCTTGCTGGCCAACATCTTCTGCATGCAACACAATCACAGCTTAGTCATCACCTGGGGAGGACCAGTTTTTAGGCAGTGATAGGCCCATATTGTTAATTCATTCCGATGTGCTGAGGATGGCTCAGCAGAAAGAAGGAAATAGACAAAAGAGTAAGACCCCAACAAAGGCCTGAGCTGAACAATGTTGAGAAACAAAGGCCACTTTGGCCTGGATAAGAGTTAATATGGGGCTGGGCACAGTGGGTCACACCTGTAATCCCAGCAATGTGGGAGGTCGAGGCGGTCAGATCACACAGTCAGGAGCTTAAGACCAGCCTGGCCAACATAGTGAAACCCCGTCTCTACTAAAAATACAAAAATTAGCTGGGTGTGGTGGTGCATGCCTGTAGTCCCAGCTACTTGGGAGGCTGAGGCAGGAGAATCGCTTGAACCCAGGATGCACAGGTTGTGATGAGCCGAGATTGTGCCACTGCACTCCAGCCTGGGCAACAGAGTGAGACTCTGTCTCAAAACAAACAAACAAACAAAAGAGTGAATATGGGAGCTTCTGGGTATTTGTGAGTTCCCTAAGAAGTGAACTTGCAGAGTCACACTCTCTCTGAGCTGTCTAATGGAAGTCTTCCAGAAAGCTACCTTTCTGATTATTTAAGTTTTTCACTCCAAAAATATTTAGTCCGGGCACGGTGGCTCACGCCTCAAATCCCAGCACTTTGGGAAGTCGAGGCAGGGGGGATTGCTTGAGCCCAGGAGATTGAGACCAGCCTAGCCAACATGGTGAAACCTTGTCTCTACTAAAACTATGCAAATTAGCTTGGCATGGTGGTGCATGGCTATAGTCCCAGCTACTGGGGAGGCTGAGGCAGAAGAGTGAATTGTGCCCAGGAGGTCAAGGCTGCAGTGAGTGAAGATCATGCCACTGCACTCCAGCCTGGGCGACAGAGTGAGATTCTTTTATTATTATTATTATTATTATTATTATTATTATTATTATTATTATTATACTTTAAGTTTTAGGGTACATGTGCACAGTGTGCCTGTTAGTTACATATGTATACATGTGCCATGCTGGTGTGCTGCACCCATTAACTCGTCATTTAGCATTAGGTATATCTCCTAATGCTATCCCTCCCCCCTTCCCCCACCCCACAACAGTCCCCAGAGTATGATGTTCCCCTTCCTATGTCCATGTGTTCTCATTGTTCAATTCCCATCTATGAGTGAGAACATGCGGTGTTTGGGTTTTTGTCCTTGCAATAGTTTACTGAGAATGATGATTTCCAATTTCATCCATGTCCCTACAAAGGACATGAACTCATCATTTCTTATGGCTGCATAGTATTCCATGGTGTATATGTGCCACATTTTCTTAATCCGGTCTATCATTGTCAGACATTTGGGTTGGTTCCAAGTCTTTGCTATTGTGAATAGTGCCACAATAAACATACGTGTGCATGTGCCTTTATAGCAGCATGATTTATAGTCCTTTGGGTATATACCCAGTAATGGGATGGTGGGGTCAAATGGTATTTCTAGTTCTAGATCCCTGAGGAATTGCCACACTGACTTCCACAAAGGTTGAACTACTTTACAGTCCCACCAACAGTGTAAAAGTGTTCCTATTTCTCCACATCCTCTCCAGCACCTGTTGTTTCCTGACTTTTTAATGATTGCCATTCTAACTGGTGTGAGATGGTATCTCATTGTGGTTTTGATTTGCATTTCTCTGATGGCCAGTGATGATGAGCATTTTCTAATGTGTCTTTTGGCTGCATAAATGTCCTCTTTTGAGAAGTGTCTGTTCATATCCTTTGCCTACTTTTTGATGGGGTTGTTTGTTTTTTTCTTGTAAATTTGTTTGAGTTCAAACAGAGCCAAATCATGAGTGAACTCCCATTCACAATTGCTTCAAAGAGAATAAAATACCTAGGAATCCAACTTACAAGGGACGTAAAGGACCTCTTCAAGGAGAACTACAAACCACTGCTCAATGAAATAAAAGAGGATACAAACAAATGGAAGAACATTCCATGCTCATGGGTAGGAAGAATCAATATGGTGAAAATGGCCATACTGCCCAAGGTAATTTATAGATTCAATGCCATCCCCATCAAGCTACCAATGACTTTCTTCACAGAATTGGAAAAAACTACTTTAAAGTTCATATGGAACCAAAAAAGAGCCCGCATCACCAAGTCAATCCTAAGCCAAAAGAACAAAGCTGGAGGCATCACGCTACCTGACTTCAAACTATACTACAAGTCTACAGTAATCAAAACAGCATGGTACTGGTACCAAAACAGAGATATAGATCAATGGAACAGAACAGAGCCCTCAGAAATAATGCCGCATATCTACAACTATCTGATCTTTGACAAACCTGAGAAAAACAAGCAATGGGGAAAGGATTCCCTATTTAATAAATGGTGCTGGGAAAACTGGCTAGCCATATGTAGAAAGCTGAAACTGGATCCCTTCCTTACACCTTATACAAAAATTAATTCAAGATGGATTAAAGACTTAAACGTTAGACCTAAAACCCTAAAAACCCTAGAAGAAAACCTAGACATTACCATTCAGGACATAGGCATGGGCAAGGACTTCATGTCTAAAACACCAAAAGCAATGGCCACAAAAGCCAAAATTGACAAATGGGATCTAATTAAACTAAAGAGCTTCTGCACAGCAAAAGAAACTACCATCAGAGTGAACAGGCAACCTATAAAATGGGAGAAAATTTTCGCAACCTACTCATCTGACAAAGGGCTAATATCCAGAATCTACAATGAACTCAGACAGAGCGAGATTCTATCTCAAAAAACAAACAAACAAACAAAAAACAGTAAAAAAAAATTTTTAGTAAGTTCCAATTGTGTGTCAGAATTGTGCTAGGCGCAGGGGGCAACAATAAGCAAGACAGATCAAGCCTATACCGTCTTGAAATTTAAGTTTAGGGACCACTCTCTGTCAAAGGATCCAGCGCTGGTAATATAGATTGCTGAAGGCCTTTGCCTTCTTTCCACCAGGCAACAGAATTTGTGTCCCCGTCACTGCTTCTTCTTCTGTGAAAAATATAGCTTCAGTTTGGTCCACGAATACAGAAGTTGGTCAGAGATATTTTCTTTCAAGCACACAACAAGCAAAACTTGGCCAATACACACCAATCAAATGCACTTCGTTTTTCCCTGGGAGCTCCTGCCACATCTCAGCCCTGCAGGGCAGTCTTCATAAGGGAGACAAAAGAAGGGCTATGCACTGGCACTGACAGTTGGGCAGGCAGTGCTCAAATAAGCCTAAATCTCAACATTCCAAGGGAATCTTCAAGATCAAGGTAGACCTGGTCCAGTCATCTCTTAATCTTTTAAGGATCACTGGCTGGATGTGGTGGCTCACGCCTGTAATCCCAGTGCTTTGGGAGGCCGAGGCAGGCAAATCATGAGGTCAGGAGTTTGAGACCACACTGGCCAACATGGTGAAACCCTGTCTCTACTAAAAATACAACAAATTAGCTGGGCATGGTGGTGCATGCCTGTAATCCCAGCCACTCAGGAGGCTGAGGCAGGAGAATCGCTTGAACCCAGGAGGCGGAGCTTGCAGTGAGCCGAGATTGTGCCATTGCACTCCAGCCTGGGCAACAGAGCAAGACTCCATCTCAAAAACAAAAAACAAAAAGGGATCACAGATCTCTTTGAAAATCAGTGGCCCCTTTAGACTTTCTGTGCCAAAAAAGTTATGCTTTCACCTCAGCACCCAGTTTTCCCTAGTTTATCTGAAGTTTCATGGACATATGATGTGCCCGAATTTCCTGGAGCTCCAGAGACCCCACGTCAAGAATTCCTAGTGTATATAAAAGCCCGTTTGAGCTCTAACATCCATGATTAACAGTCTCTGGGTTGGGTAACTCTGTTGGCTTAAATACAGAGGCAATGACATGCCTGTTTAAGTTCAGTGCAGGTCCCAGTTCAATTCCCATGTGAGTCATTATCTTCTGAAAATGGGAAAACTCTGCTCCATAGCAGTGGACAGAACCTCCAAAACCAGTCAGGTGACACAGCTCATAGTTTCTGAAAAAGACAAAACACCAAGCTCAAAAATAAGGTGGTTGGATCTATGGCATTGCAAAGCGACAACCCAAAGGTTGTGAGGGTTGCTGCCTGCTGCTGACATAGCAATAATACTCATTGGGCTCCTCCACTTCATATACGTTCTCTTCAATGGTATAGATGTTTTCTTCTGAGCGAATTCCCTCTGCTACTGCATTTGCCAATCCTGAGGGAGGGAGGTTGGCCAAAGAGATGAGGCTGTGGAAATAAAGTGTTGCGGTTGAGTTAAGCATTTCCCAGGTAACACGGAATAGAGTTAAGAGAATAGGCTTTCCCAAAGAGACAGCAACTAAATATAGTGCATGATCTTTGATCAGATGCTGAACAAGTGGAAAAGCCAAGAAATAGCAATAAAATACTATGGGGAAACAATTGAGAAAATGTCCATTAATTTTAATTTTCTTAGGTATAACAACAGCATTGTGATAGCTAAGAGAATATTTTTATTTCTCGGAGGTGCAGGCTGAAGTTTAGGTGAAGTATCAAGATGTCTGCAATTATGTACACATTTAGATTTTCAAAAAATGGGCCGGGCGCCGTGGCTCACGCCTGTAATCCCAGCACTTTGGGAGGCTGAGCCTGGCAGATCACGAGGTCAGGAGTTCGAGACCAGCCTGGCCAACATAGTGAAACCCCGTCTCTACTAAACATACAAAAAATTAGCCAGCGTGGTGGCATGCACCTGTAATCCCAGCTACTTGGGAGGCTAATGCAGAGAATCGCTTGAACCCGAGAAGCAGAGGTTATAGTGAGCCGAGGTTGTGCCACTGCACTCCAGCCTGGGTGACAGAGCCAGACTCCGTCTCAAAAAAAAAAAAAAAAAATTATTAATGCTTTAGATAGCATTCAATGGACAGAGGTTTTTGTTTTGTTTTGTTTGATGCTGGGTCTTTCTCTGTCACCCAGGTGGGAATGCAGTGGCACAATCATGGCTCATTGCAGCCTTCATCTCCTGTGCTCCAGCAATCCTTCCACCTAATGTTTCCATTTTTTTGTAGAGAAGAGGTCTCATCATGTTGCCCAGGCTGGTCTTGAACTCCTGGGCTCATGTGATCCTCCCACCTCAGCCTCCCAAAGTGCTGGGCTTATAGGCGTAAGCCACAGCACCTAGCCCAGAATCATTTTTGTAATCCAAATATATTGTATTCCATTCATGTGCCAAACATCACTAAAAGTCTAAAATCTAGTAAGTTATGTAAGCCATACCTATTTGAAATGGATGTGTGGGTGTGTATAATCAGGAACGAAGGTCAAGACAGGAGTCTATAACAGACTAGCAGTTCTCAGCCCTGACTGTTCACTAGAATCACCTGGAGAGCTTTTAGAACAATTTCTATGCTTAGGCTTCATCCCCAGAGATTCTGATTCAGTTGCTCTGGGGTTGGCCCTGCATTAGTACACTTCAGTGCCTGGGTGATTCTAATAGGAAACTAAAGTTGAAAATGCCTGGGCTGTTTACAGAAATGCTGAGAACAGATACTGGGTTTCTTGCTCACTTCTGTAACGCCTAAGTGCAGCCCAGACCCTGGATATAATAGGAGCTCAATCCGTTGATGTTTCAGTTCAGTGGAAAAACCATTAATATCGAGATGAATAAGCATGTTGTATTATTAGGGTGATAAATTCTATACCTTAACTTTAGAACTAAAGAAGCTAGAGGTGTCAGGAAGTACACACAGTAGCATGTTACATTTTCACTTCATAACTAGACCTAGAGAAAGAAGGAAGTATAAACTCAGATCTCAAAGCCCCAGGACAGGATTTCTCAGAGAAAAGATCAGACATGTTAGAGTAGGGACTTCCAAGATTCTCACCTTTTCCCAACCCCATTCCATTATTCTTACCTTAAATTCTGTATCTTCTCTTTGCTATGAGAATACCCTAGTAAGGGGGAAACAAAAGCCAATAAAAATGCATTCATAAAATAAATGAGACAAGAAATCAAATAGGTTCACTGGAAGCACGCATAGTTTAGGGAAATCTGGTCTCATCTCAGATTGAGTTAAATGAAACTCTCAACGTGTGCCTTAGATAGTTATATGGACTGTGTTAGAAAATAATAATAAAGATGCATTTTTCTTATTTAACAAATATTATGAGACCTCTACTATGTGTCTGGCAGTTTGCCTGGCACAAGGAACACAGGAACATAAAAGTGAATTGTGAGCCCTAATTTCACGAAGCTCACGCTCTCCTGTGGGAGACCAAAGAAATAAAAGAAAACAGTACCCCAGACCCAAGACCAGCCTGACCAACATGGAGAAACCCCGTCTCTACTAAAAATACAAAATTAGCTGGATGTGGTGGCCCATGCCTGTAATCCCAGCTACTCGGGAGGCTGAGGCAGGAGAATCACATGAACCCGGGAGACGGAGGTTGCGGTGAGCCAAGATTGCGCCATTGCACTCCAGCCTGGGCAACGAGAGCGAAACTCCGTCTCAAAAAAAAAAAAACAACAACAAAAAGGAAATAGTAAATAGGAAAACAAAATAATTTCAAATTATGATGTATTATAAAGGAAACCAACATCATAGTGAAACAGATAATAGAGAGGGTGGTCAGGGAAGGACCCTCAGAGATGAACTTTAAGCTCGTTTCTGAAATGAGTCAGCCAAGTAAAGAGCCAGAAGGAGCATTCCAGGATGAGGGAGCCCCTTGTAAAGATCTTGCTGAGTACCTGAAACTGAAAACGTGGCTGGATTAAGGGAGCGGCCCAAGATAAGGTCTGAAAGGTAGGCTGGGGCTAGGTCCAATAAGACCTTTCCAGCCATAATCAGGAGTCTGGATTTTATTCTAAGACCTGTAGGAAACCTTAGATTTCCTTGAAGGGCAGAGATGTGATCCTTATTTGTTTTGGGTTTCTTTTACCCGCTGAAAACAACTACGTTATCTCATCATTTCTGTGTTGTGGGTCAGGAATCCAGGTGTGGCTTACTGGGTACCTCTGGATCAAGGTCTTTCAAGGTGTCTTCTGGGGATGCAGTTTCAAAAATTTGAAACTTAAAATTTTCCTTTCTTTTCTTTTCTTTTTTTTTTTTTTTTTTTTTTTTTGAGACAGGGTCTTGCTCTGTTGGCCAGGCTGGAATGCAGTAGTAAGATCATATCTGATTGCAACTTTGAACTCCTGGGCTCAAGGGATCTACCCATCTCAGCTTCTGAGTAGCTAGAACTATAGGTGCACACTACCACAGCTGGATAATTTTTTTTAATGTTTTTGGGCTGGATGCAGTGGCTCACGCCTGTAATCCTAGCACTTTGGGAGGCAAGGCAGGTGGATTTCTTGAGCTTGGGAGTTCGAGACCAGCCTGGGCAACATGGTAAAACCTCATCTCTACTAAAAATACAAAAACTAGCCAGGTATGCTGGCACATGCCCGTGGTCCTAGCTACTTGGAGGCTGAGGCAGGAGAGTTGCTTGAACTCGGGAGGTAGAGGTTGCAGTGAGCCATGATCACACCACTGCACTCCAGCCTGGGTGAATCTCAATATGTTGCCCAGGCTAGTCTCAAACTCCTGGCCTCAAGTGACTCTCCTGTCTTGGCCTCCCGAAGTGTTAGGATTATAGGCATGAGCCATTGTGCTCAGACATTGATTTGGGTTTTAATATTGGATTCGAAGGAGGAATAAAGAAATGAGAAGATAAATTAAGTAGAAATAATGGTGTCTTGGAGTAAGGAATGGCCAAAAGAGATGCAGAATAATGAAAACACTTTAGATGTATGTTGGAGGAAGACTGCAGGAATCTTCTGTTGTTGTTTTTCTCTGAGACAGGGTCTCCCTGTGCTGTGTCACCCAGGCTAGAATGCAGCAGCAAGATCATAGTTCATAGCCTCAAACTCCTGGGCTCAAGTGATCTTCCTGCTTCATTCTCCTGAGTAGCTGGGACGATAGGCGTGCACCACCATACCCAGCCCTAAGGAATCTCAACATCTAAGGATCAGGCAGAAGAAGATCTGAAAAGCAATGGATCAAAGAGAAGAATGTCATTTCAGAAGCCAAGAGAAGGAGGACTTTCTAGAATGAGTGATCAATTTAAAAGGTTGACTATAATAAAGATAAAGGTATCAGGCTGGGAACGGTGGCTCACGCCTATAATCCCAGCACTTTGGGAGGCCAAGGCGGGCAGATCATCTGAGGTCAAGAGTTTGAGACCAGCCTGGCCAACATGGTGAAACCCCCGTCTCTACTAAAAATACAAAATTAGCCAGGCATGGCGGCACATGCATGAAATCCCAGCTACTCAGGAGGCTGAGGGGGGAGAATCACTTGAACCCGGGGAGGCAGAGGTTGCAGTGAGCCAAGATTGCACCATTGCACTCCAGCCTAAGCAACAAGAGTGAAACTCTGTCTCAAAAAAAAAAAAAAAGATAAAGGTATCTGTTAATATTTAATTTAGAAAACTGAAGGTCAGTGGTGAGCTTGACCATTTCCGTTGTGCTTTGGAGCAGAAACTAGATGATGGTGGGTCAAGGAGTGTAGATGGGTGAAAAGTAGAGACAACTCCTTTGAAAAATATGGCTGTGAGAACGAGTTGAGAAATGGGACTAGCTGGAGAGGAATGCATGGACTAGAACATATATTCTGCTAATGAAAATAGCATAAACAGAAAAGGAGAGAGATGACTCAGAAGAAAGGGATAAAAAGAAGGATGAAGTCTTGGCCTAGGCAATGGAGATTAAAAAGCCCTTTCATATTTCATCAGTTAGGAGAGGGGCAAAGAAGTTTTGAGCAGCAGTGAGGTATGGATGGTCATCTCAGAGAGTACACTAGAAAGATGGAAGATTGTGGGGCATTATTGAGTGTCAGTTTGTTTTTGTGAGGTCATGACTTAAAAAGCTGTCACCTTGATTTTAATATTTTCTCCAGCAACTTCCAGGGAAAAGATTGGAAATGAAACAGGCCTTTCTTATCTGTACTTCTCAGTAGCCATGTTTTTTTGGAGTGGCATATATGTGTGTGTACAAAGCATCAGATTTCCTCTAGATCCCATCACTCTTTATACAAACTAGAATAAGTGCTAATATGTATAAATTATGGTCATATTATATATATATATATATATATATATACACACACACATATATATATAAAGTGGTCTCTAATATATATAATAGTAAAGCTCAAAGTTTTACTTTGAGCCATGGCAGAAGTCAAAAAAGTAGTGAGTGTTATCAGTGCTCCTTAACAATCCCTAGTCTGTTTTGGAAATACTCAAGTGAGGCTAAGTGCAATGACTCATGCCTATAATCCCAACATTTTGGGAGGCTGAGGTGGGAGGATTATTTAAGCCCAGGAGTTTGAGACCAGCTTGAGCAACATAGCAAGATCTCATTTCTATTTTTATTTTATTTTATTTTATTTATTTTTTGAGATGGAGTTTCACTCTTGTTGCCCAGGCTGGAGTGCAATGGCACGATCTCAGCTCACTGCAACCTCCGCCTCCTGGGCTCAAGTGATTCTCCCACCTCAGCTTCCCGAGTAGCTGGAATTATAGGCATGTGCCCCCATGCCCGGCTAATTTTGTATTTTTAGTAGAGATGAGGTTTCTCCACGTTGGTCAGGCTGGTCTCAAACTCCCAGCCTCAGGTTATCCACTCACCTCGGCCTCCCAAAGTGCTAGGATTACAGGCGTAAGCCACCGTGCTCAGCCTCTATTTTTAAATATGTATATATTCATCACGCCTGTAATCCCAGCACTTTGGGAGGCTGAAGTAGGAGGATCACCTGAGCTCAGGAGATTGAGACCAATTTTCTGGGCAACATGGCAAAACCCTGTCTCTACCAAAAAAAAAAAAAAAAAAAAAAAAAAAAAAAAAAAAAAAACTAGCCAGGTGTGGTGGCATATGCCTGTAATCTCAGCTACTTGGGAGGCTGAGGCACAAGAATTGCTTGAACCCAGGAGGCAGAGGTTGAAGTGAGCCAAGATCACACCACTGTAGTCCAGCTCCCAGGTGACAGAGTAAGACTCTGTCCCAATAATAATAAATATATATATATATGTGTATACATATATATACATATATATATATTCATGTGATCAATTCAAAAATTCCATGGCTATCTCTGAATAAACCCAGGTAAGTGTGGGTGGGGTAGTTTCTTTTTCTGAATAATCCATTTAACCATAATCGCAGAAACCATAAAGATGAGGAGCAGGACAGTCCTGGTTTCAAATCCAGTATCTATCAATTAACTGTGTAAATGCAGGCAAGTGACCTAACCTTTTAGCATGCTGATTCTCCATTAGAAACATATTAGTACCTATCTCATAGGGTAGTTACGAGAATTTAATGCACGTAAAGCACTTGGCAGCTTCAGTCCACAGTTAGTGGGGGGACCAACTCATGTTTTTCTTGGACTGTTCCAGTTTTAGCCCTAGAAGTCCCATATATCTTAGGAACACCCTTTAGTCTTGAGCTAATCTGAGGTGATTGCTCACTCTACACACACAGTCCCTGTTTGTGTATTAGTAAGAAAGGCTGCTATGTCATATTACGCTCTGGGGCATAAGGACTTGGTTTCTGCCCTAAAAGAAAATAAAATAGACACAATTATAAAAGTGTGTGAGTGGCCAGGCACAGTGGCTCACGCCTGTAATCCCAAAACATTGGGAGGTCGAGGTGGACGGATCACAAGGTCAGGAGATCAAGAACATCTTGCCCAACATGGTGAAACCCTGTCTCTACTAAAAATATAAAAATTAGCCAGGCGTGGTGGTACATGCCTGTAGTCCCAGCTACTCTGGAAGCTGAGTCAGGAGAAACACTTGAACCCGGGAGGCAGAGGTTACAGTGAGCTGAGATCGTGCCACTGCACTCCAGCGTCCATCTCCAAAAAAACAAAAGTGTGCGAGGTTTTGGGGGTACTGGAAGTATTTAGATCTTGATTGTGATGATGGCTTCCTACTGTAATTCTCCATCAAAATTCATCAACTTCAACACACTTCTTTTTTTTTTTTTTTTTGGAGACTGTCTTATTCTGTTGCCCAGGGTGGAGTGCAATGATGCAATCACCGCTCACTGCAGCCTCCTGAGCTCAAGTGATCCTCCCACCTCAGCCTCCTGAGTAGATGGGACTACAGGTGTGTGCCACCATGCCCAGCTCATTATTATTATTATTACGTTGTAGAGGCAGGATCCTGCTTTGCTGCCCAGGCTGATCTTGGTCTCAAACTCCTGGGCTCAACTGATCCTCTCACCTCAGCTTCCGAAAGTGTTGAAAATACAGGCATGAGCCACTGCACCTGGCCATTGTATTTATTTATTTATTTATTTGCTTATTTATTTATATTTTATTACTTTTTTTTTTAAGACAGTCTCACTCTGTCACCCAGGCTGGAGTGCAGTGGCATGATCTGAGCTCACTGTAACCTCCACCTACCAGGTTTGAGTGATTCCTCTGCCTCAGCCTCCTGAGTAGCTGGGATTACAGGCATGCGCCACCACACCCGGCTAATTTTGTATTTTTAGTAGAGATGGGGTCTCACCATGTTGGCCAAGCTGGTCTCGAACTCCTGACCTCAAATGATCCACCCCCCTCAGCCTCCCAAAGTGCTGGGATTACAGGCGTGAGCCACTGCGCCGGGCCTGTTTTTTTGTTTTTGTTTGTTTGCTAGTTTAAAAAAAAAAAAGGGATAAGTAACTTAGAAAAAGCTATGTGCTAAGTACCATGATGGAGGAAAACATTCTCTAACCCCAGTCACGACCCAGTGTTAAAGGGACTTGCAGTCTACTGCCAGAGAGGTATGCCTGAGAAACCAATAACAGAAAAGTGCACAGAAGGAAGTGTTTTTTGTTGTTGTGTTTCGTAACAAACCTAGACATATTCATGAATTAAAGAAATTAGTTTACTGGAATCAGCCTGCCTGGATTTGATTTCCGGTTCTGCCAGGTACTGATGTTGAAACCTCGGGAAGGCAGCTTACTCTAAGCTTGACTTCCCTTCACTGTAAAATGGGGATGGTACTATTCCTTATCTCATAAGACAGTAATGATGATAAAATGTATGTAAAACATTTAACGCAGTGGCTGCCTGACACACAATAAATATTAAATAAAAATTAGCCATTATTGTTAGGATTTGGATGGACAAAAGGGTATTTAGTCTAATCATCTTTGGGTATAAACATGAATTTGCATTTCTATCTAGGTTTTTACTGGTTCTCACTGAAGAATTTGTTATCAGAGGGAGAGAGAAACAAAAACACTTACATTTGAAAATTAAAGCGCCGAAGATAAGAGCCAGAGCCAGCCCAGCACAGATCCCTGCTCCGATGTAGATGCCTATTCTGATGGTTGCTCCAGAGTCCCGTAAGTCATTGGCCAATCTAGAGTCCCGTAACTCATTGGCCAATGTGGATATTTGCTATGGAAACACAAACAGGATTTAAGCAGAAAACAGCTAGAAATCGCTTGTGTAATCAGCTTCAAGATTTGTGAATTGGACCATCCCTTTTACAACATCACAGGATGGCTGAGTCCTTCAAATCACCTTTGATCTGTCACCTTGTAGCCAACACTCAAGCCAACCCAAGAAAGGGTCTCCCTTAACCTTTGGAGTTAGCAAGGAAACAAAATGTGCCCTTCTGTGTTGTGGGTAGAGAAGGAGCTCTTAAAAAAAAAAAAAAAAAAAGAGAGAAGGAGCTCTTAAGACCCTTTCCCTGCCCCTGCAAAAATTGGCTTTAGAGTGGAGTCTTGTTGGTTCAAGATCCCCTAAGATTCCCCAGAGAGTTTTAGAGTAGTTTACATTTAGTGTCTTGCTATGAAACGTCTATTTTTCACAAAAAGACAGTGATTCAATAGCCAAGACTTTACAGCCAGACGGTCGTGGATTCAAATCCCAGCTCTGAGGCCGGGCGCGGTGGCTAATGCCTGTAATCCCAGCACTTTGGGAGGCCTAGGCAGGCGGATCACCTGACATCAGGAGTTTGAGACCAGCCTGGACAACATGGTGAAACCCCGTCTCTACTAAAAATACAAAACTTAGCCAGGCGTGGTAACACATGCCTGTAATCCTAGCTAGTGGGGAGGCTGAGGCAGGAGAATCACTTAAACCCAGGAGGCAAAGACTGGAGTACTCGAGTTGAGATCATGCCACTGCACGCCAACCTGGGCAACAGAGCGAGACTCCATCTCAAAAAAAAAAAAAAAAAAAAAATTCCCAGCTCTGCCACTAAGGGCTGAGTAATCCTGTAGAGTTATCAGGAAAACTAAGTGAGAGAAAATATAAAATGCTTAGTACAGGGCCTGGTACATAATAAATGTTCAATCAATCGTAGCTATTATTGCTATTGCTCTAGTTAACTTGATTTTCTGATAACTGAGAGCCACACAAAATAAATCCTGTTTCTAAAATTTCAGTCTATGGGTTCTCTCTTTTTCTCTCTTTAAAAACAATGATTAGGCCAGGTGCGGTGGCTCACGCCTGTAGTCCCAGCACTTTGGGAGGCCAAGGCAGGCAGATCACGAGGTCAGGAGTTCAAGACCAGCCTGGCCAACATGGTGAAACCCCATCTCTACTAAAAATACAAAAATTAGCCAGGTGTGGTGGCGGGCACCTATAGTCCCAGCTATTTGGGAGGCTGAGGCAGGACAATCGCTTGAACCCAGGAGGCAGAGGTTGCAGTGAGCCAAGGTTGTGCCATTGTACTCCAGCCTGGGCGACAAGAGCAAAACTCCATCTCAAAAATAAATAATAAATTAATAAATAAATAATAATTATAGGCCAGGCTCACACCTATAATCCCAGCACTTTGGGAAGCTGAGATGGGAGGATCACTTGAGACCAGGAGTTAGGGACCAGCCTAATAATATTGAGACCCCATTTATACAAAACACACACACACACACACACACACACACACACACACATATAATTATAAGCATTTTTAAAACAATGAATTTAAGGAAGTTAAATCTTCCATTTATTCAATATACATTTACAAATTGATTCAATACACATTACTCCTGCAATAACAGGAGTCCTATATGCAAGATATTGTGCATTAAGCATTGTGGGCACATACAGGTCCTTAAAAAGCACTGTTTGATTGCAAAGAGAGAAGGAGCAAATACAAGATGCTGAGCATCAGTTGTGAATACACAAGCAAGAAACTGAGTCAAATAAATGTGGGCTCCTGGATATGCCCTCAAGTAATTTTTTTTTTTTTTTTTTTTTTGAGACAAGGCCTTGCCCTGTCACCTAGGATGGAGTGCAGGGGCATGATCACAGCTCAATGCAGCCTCAACCTACTGGGCTCAAGTGATCCTCCTGCCTCAGCCTCCCAAGTAGCTGGAACTACAGGTTTGCAGCACCATGCCTGGCCAAATTTTAAAAAATATTTTTTGTAGAGACAGGGTGTCACTATGTGGCCCAGGCTAGTCTCAAACTCCTGGTCTCAAGCATTCCTTCCACCTTGGCCTCCTAAAGTGCTGGGATTACAGGCATGAGACACTGTGCCCGGCCTCCTCAAAGAATTTTTAAGTCATTGCTGCAAGCTTGCCTTCTAGTGGTTTTTCTTTTATGAGGGAATTTCGCTCTTGTTGCCCAGGCTGGTGTGCAGTGGCGCGACCTCAGCTCACTGCAACCTCCACCTCCTGGATTCAAGCGATTCTCCTGTCTCAGCCTCCTGAGTAGCTGAGACTACACAGGCACACACCACCATACCTGGCTAATTTTTTGTATTTTTAGTAGAGATGGGGTTTCACCATGTTGACCAGGCTGGTCTCAAACCCCTGACAGGTGATCCACCCTACTTAGCCTCCCAAAGTGCTGGGATTACAGACGTGAGTCACTGCGCCCAGCCAGTTTTTCTTTTATTCTGAGAAGGTAGCAGGGACAGTAAAATTGAGGTTTATTAAGGTATGGCTTTATTTATAGTTAAATACATAAAACTGGCTGGGCACCATGGCTCATGCCTGTAATCCCAGCACTTTGGGAGGCCAAGTTGGGCGGATCACCTGAGGTCAGGAGTTCAAGACCAGCCTGACCAACATGGAGAAACCCTGTCTCTACTAAAAATACAAAATTAGGCCAGGTGCCATGGCTCACGCCTGCAATCTCAGCACTTTGGGAGGCCGAGGCAGGTGGATCACCTGAGGTCAGGAGTTCAAGATCAGCCTGGCCAATGTGGTGAAACTCCGTCTCTACTAAAAATAAAAAAATTAGCCGGGTGTGGTGGCTCATGCCTGTAATCCCAGCTACTCGGAAGGCTGAGGCAGGAGAATCGCTTGAACCCGGGAGGCGGAGGTTGAGGTGAGCCAGGATCACACCCTTGCACTCCAGCCTGGGCAACAAGAGCGAAATTCTGTCTAAAAAAAAAAAAAAAAAACCTCTTCACTTTGAATATTCCTGACTGGTGTCTTGCCATATTTAAAGAGATAAATTTAAATACTCTTTCCCATTAGGATTGCAATGGAAGCAAGAAGAATGGTATTCTAGGGAGATGAAGAATCTTTGAACCTTCCACAGGGTAGACAGTTGTGAAATTGAAGAATAAGAGGGACAAAATGCTAATGTTTCTTCTTTGTGGTTTTCAAGCTCTTACTATATGCCAGGCACTTTACACACATCATGTCAGTCCTTCATTACAGCAGGCCTATGAGGTTAGAACTGTCATCATCAACATGTTACAGCCCAGGAATCTGAAGCTAAGGGAACTTAAGGCTTTTTACCCCAAGGACAAGGTGGGCATGAAGGAAGTCTAAAGCCATGATTTCCCCTCCAAGTTGAGTACAACATAGCTCACAAAAAAAGTTACTTACTGTTAGATTTATATCAGGGAGGCTCCCCAGTGTCTGTGTCTCTGCTATAAAAAGAGAGAGAGAGAGAGAGAGAGGAAAAATAGCCAATAGTATAGTTAAGAACGTTTTCTTTTATCTAAGTTTTTAAAAAATCTTAATGATGCCTATAATCCTATTTGAAATGAATTCTACTCCGTACTTGTCACAATAATTAATGGAGAGACAGACAAAATTTACTGAACACCCAGGAATCAACTTTAGGATGGCCACATTTTTTCATCTAGATAATGAACCGTACTGTTTTATGAAATAGAGACTTCTGCCAGGAAGTCCTACATTAAATATGTGCTTTGTTTTTTTCACAGGACCCTAATGAGTTCTACAAACATCTAGCAATATTGATAAGACTCAGGCATTATTTATTTATTTATTTATTTAGACACAGAATTTCACTCTGTCACCCAGGCTGGAGTGCAGTGGCATAATCTCAGCTCACCGCAACCTCGGCCTCCCTGGTTCAAGCAATTCTCATCCCTCATCCTCCCAAGTAGCTGGGACTACATGCATGCACCACCACGCCCAGCTAATTTTTGTATTTTTAGTAGAGACGAGGCCATGTTGACCAGGCTGGTTGTGAACTCCTGACCTCAGGTGATCTGCCCACCTCAGCCTCCCAAAATGCTGGGATTACAGGTGTGAACGACCAGGCTTGGCCTCAGGCATTATATTCTAATTAGATTTTAAAAGACAACAAAAATTCATTTCCTTCTTTTTTGTTTTTTTGAGACAGTCTCACTCTGTTGCCCAGGCTGGAGTGCAGTGGCACAATCTCAACTCACTGCAACCTCCATGTTCTTTTTCTTTTTTTTCTTTTTGCGAGACAGAATCTCACTCTATCACCCAGGCTGGAGTGCAGTAGCATGATCTCTGCTCACTGCAACCTCCATCTCCTGAGTTCAAGCGATTCTCCTGCCTCAGCCTCCCTGGTAGCTGGGACTACAGGGGCACACCACCACACACAGCTAATTTTTGTATTTTTAGTAGAGACGGGGTTTCGCCATGTTGGCCAGGCTAGTCTCGAACTCCTGACCTCAAGTGATCCACCCGCCTCGGCCTCCCAAAGTGCTGGGATTACAGGCGTGAGCCACCGTGCCGTGCCCAGCCTCCATTTTCTTAAATAAGTTTTGCATTTACTCATGAGAAGGGAGACAGGGTTGCCAACAAATGAAAATAATCACTGTGGTCACAATGTAATAGGAGCCAGGCCTTGTGCTAAATAAACTCTTTCAGTGAAGAAGCTCATTTTAGAGATACTTAGAAGCACTTACTTTAGAACTACGCTTCTAAAGTAGAGACTGTTAGTCCCATTGCACAGATGAAGAAACTGAAAATTAGGGAAGTGAAGTGACTAACCCAAGGTCACATGACTTAGCAAATGACAAAATGGCCTTCCAATTTAGGTCTGCATAGCCTTAAATGCACATTCTTAATTATACTGCCTTCACCAGCCCTTACCTCAGTGCTGTCATTATGAAGAGGGTCACGTTGCCCAGCCACCCACTCACCATCTTTCCTTCCTGTTCATTTGTTTATTTCTTCATCTGCTGATCCATTCCATGAATATGCACTATGCCCTTACTCTAGGCACAGGGGACAGAGCAGGAAACAAGAGGGGCACAGGCCCTGACCTCATGAACACTGAATTCTAAAAATAAGTACATTGCCAGCTTTTGGAAAACTAAGCATGCTTACTCATTTTTATGGCTGAGTCAGAGATGTTGAAACTTCTTAAATGTCACTGTCACCTTCTGGAAGCCTTAATGTGTATAAAGGGTTTGACTAAATGCTGGTTTAGCAAACTATAGTTTAAATATTATAAAGGCATAGCCTCAGCCTAAAATTATTGAAGAAAAAAAGATTATGTTCCAATTACTTTTGCCCTAATTACCAGAAAAAAATTTAAAATATAAAAACCACAGGCCTGGTGCAGTGGCTCACACCTGTAATCCCAGCACTTTGGGAGGCCGAGGGCAGGCAGATCACGAGGTCAGGAGATCGAGACCATCCTGGCCAATATGGTGAAACCCCATCTCTACTAAAATACAAAAAATTAGCCGGGCGTGGTGGTGTACGCCTGTAGTCCCAGCTACTCAGGAGGCTGAGGCAGTGGAATCGCTTGAACCCAGGAGGTGGAGGTTGCAGTGAGCCGAGATCACACCATTGCACTCCAGCCTGGTGACAGAGCAAGACTCCATATCAAAAAAATAAAAAAAAGACCCTCATCAGTACAACTGCTAAGTAAACATGAATCTTAAGTGCACATAAGATTTTAAATGTAAATCCAGTTTCAGACTCCTTATAATTATTTTTCTTGATAAAAATGGTAAAACTAACTTTTTAAAAACTTCATTTTGCTATGAAAATGATCAGTAAAATCAAGCACTGTTGTGTCATTACAGCTTTTTTTCACACAGATTTGGCCACCAACCAAGATGGATGGGACAGTTGAAGGGAGTGGCAATGTTCTTTCTGGAGAAACCAAGATTTGCCTGGTGGGGCAGGTAGCAGCGGAGGTGAGATGTGATGGCCTTAACAGTGTATAAATTTAGTAGTTACCATCTATTTGGTACTTATTAGGTGCCAGACATGGTGCTTAGCACCATATACATACAATCTCATTTAATCCTCAACCACAATAAGTAGGTACTACTATTTTCCCCATTTTTCAGATGAAGATACTGAGTCTGAGAGAGCCACTTTGCCCAAGATCACACAGCTATTAATTGGGAAAGCTAGGATTTAAAGCAGATCTACTCTAGAGCTGAGGACTCACCTGTGACCCAGTCCTTACTCCTTCAGGTAGAAGACAAGTTGCATTTGTTCTGTGTTCAAATTCCAGGCCCTTGGATCTCTTACTTTTAAAGGCTCTACTCCATTTTTTTTTTTTTTTTTTCTGAGAAAGGGTCTCGCTCTGTTGCCCAGGTTTGGAGTACAGTGGCACCAACTCGGCTCAGTGAATCCTCAACCTCCTGAGTTCAAGCAATCTTCCTGCCTCAGCCCTGCCAAGTAGCTGGGACTACAGGCACATGCCACCATGCCCGGCTATTTTTTTTTTTTTTTTTTTTTTTGGGATGGAATCTCGCTCTGTTTTCCAGGCTTCAGGACAGTGGTGAGATCTCGGTTCACTCCTCCCAGGCTCAGACAATTCTCCTGCCTCAGCCTCCTGAGTAGCTGGAATTATAGGCATGCACCACCATGACCAGCTAATTTTTGTATTTTTAGTAGAGACAGGGGTTTCACCATCTTGGCCAGGCTGGCTTAAACTCCTGACCTCAGGTGATCCATCTGCCTTGGCCTCCCAAAGTGCTGGGATTACAGGTGTGAGCCACTGCACTCAGCCTAATTTTTTGTATTCTTAGTAGAGATGGGGTTTTGCCATGTTGCCCAGGCTGGTCTTGAACTCCTGAGCTCCAGTGATCTGCCTGCCTTGGCCTCCCATAGTGCTGGGATTACACATGTGAGCCACTGTGCCCAGCCCCATTTTTATATTAAATGCTCCCACATCCCACATTTAGAGTTGGTTTGCCAGCAGCCAATTTACATAATGTTACATATTATAGACAAACCATTAAATATTCATTCATTTCAATTTTTTATTTTATTTTCCTATTTAGGAGCTACTGACCTATTTTTGGTTGTTTCAATATTTTTTCTCAGTCAGGCCCTTGAGAAGCTCAGAGGTTCGAGGTATTATTCCTATATTCCCATTTTTGTTGCCCTAGAGGGAAGGAACTAACAAACAAAAACTAAAGGGAAGGCTGGGCGTGGTGGCTTACACCTGTAATCCCAGCGCTTTGGGAGGCCGAGGCAGAGGGATCACCTGAGGTTAGGAGTTCGAGACCAGCATGGCCACCATGGTGAAACCCCGTCTCTAATAAAAATACAAAAATTAGCGGGGCGTGGTGGCGCGCGTCTGTAATCCCAGCTACTTGGGAGGCTGAGGCAGGAGAATGGCATGAACCTGGGAGGCAGAGTTTGCAGTGAGCCAAGATCGTGTCATTGCACTCCAGCCTGGGTGAGAGAGTGAGACTCCGTCTCAAAAAAAAAAAAAAAGGAAAGAAAAACTAAAGGAAAGAAGACTTCTGTCTGTGGTAGAGACAAGTATAAGGAAATGCACCACCTCGACAGGGAGTGAACTCCGTCTACAGCAAATGCCCATTCAGTGGTGATGTAGTAAAAAGTACTGGCCGGGCGCGGTGGCTCACGCGTGTAATCCCAGCACTTTGGGAGGCCGAGGCGGGAGGATCACAAGGTCAGGAGATGGAGACCATCCTGGCTAACACGGTGAAACTCTGTCTCTACTAAAAATACAAAAAAGAAAAAAATTAGCTGGGCTTGATGGTGGGCGCCTGTAGTCCCAGCTACTTGGGAGGCTGAGGCAGGAGAATGGCGTGAACCCAGGAGGCGGAACTTGCAGTGAGCCGAGATTGCGCCACTGCACTCTAGTCTGGGTGACAGAGCAAGACTCCGTCTCAATTAAAAAAAAAAAAAAAAGTACTGAAGCACAGGATGGGAAAGTGAGACTAAATGACCCTTGAAGTCCCTTCTAGCACTATGGTTGTAAGATTCTTTAAAATATAACAATGGCATACAATAAGTATCTGGTATAACTTTATTATTTTCTGTCCCCACCATATTTAGTTTCCTCTCTAATTGCATAAAAGATGTTGGCTACCAATCACTAAAGACTAACCAAAGACTGAAACTTTGGAGAGCTAAAACCAGTAACTATAGTAATAATAAACAGTTGAGTGCTTTTTATGGGCCAGGTACTATGCTGAGCATTTTACATACATTATCATGTTTATACATTACAACCACCTCATGACATGGGCACTGGAATTATCCTCATTGTAGAGATGAGCAAACTGAGCTTCAGAGAATTTGAGCAACTTGACTGAGGTCACAGAGCTATCAAGAACAGCTGAAATTAGAACCCATTCCACCTGTCACTGAAGTACTTTAACCACAATCTCACTGTGCCTCCTGATCTTATAATATTAACGACAACAGCTAACATGTACAAATTGTGGTCAGACATTGGGATAAACGTTTTAGACATTTTCTTATTTAAAGCCCATAAGGTGTGATTTATGAGATTTATGACATTATGAGGTGGGACTCACCTATTAACCTCATTTTACAGAAGAAAAAAAAAATGGAGCTCCAGAGAGTTTAGAAGAGACCAGGACACTGACAAGAAATACCTTAAAATTAACCTTCATGATCAATGTGACTTGACTTCTGCTTTATGCCCAGTGTTCTCTTCTGGAGCACCCTGAGTACGTCCTTGCTGAATTACATGAAGAATTTAACTATTCTTTCTGTGGCTGGAATCCAGGGAAGGTGATGGGCTTTATTCTAGCTAGAAGGCATCCTAGAAATCACCTAATCCAATGTGTCAGTTCCCAAACACAGACTGACACCAGTTCATGACCAAACATCACCAGTCCAGGGTCAGTCAGAAAATGTGGACAAAGTAATGAGCATTTCATTCAATTTAGTTAATATTTAAGTAAAATTAAAGACTATAAAGTTTATTAACTTTTTTCCAGTTAAAATTTAAGTAAAATAATCCTAAGCCAGACCATCTTTTTCCCAGCACAGGTGTGTCTCCACCACTTCCCTCTTTTCAAACACTATTTCAGGTGCACGGAGATATCCATGCCTCCACTCTCACACTGTTTTCTCATCTTTTTTTCCCACATTCAAAATCCTCTGAATTCAGAGCCAGCTAAAGATTCCCTCCTCTGCCCCATGCATAGTTACCTGGGCCATGTCCCCTGGTGGTAAGCATCCTTGGAAAGGCTGCAGTGAAGTCTCTCTGCCGAGTCGGTGCAGGGGTGACCTTGGCTAATGTCAGAAACAACATAAGGATGAAAATTATCTGAGAGCAGAAAGCTTATTTCAGGGAATCAAAGGGGCAGCAAGAAAAAAATGCGAAAGACAATTAAGAAAGAGAAATACACCCTCAGCTTCCAAACCTGCCTGGATACCTACGTTGAGAGTGTATCACACACTTCAAATGTTTGACAAAGGTAAGATGCAGTCATCATTGTTACATTCTGATTATTAATAGCGGAACTAACAGCCACACAAATGGCCATAATTACAGGTTGAAGACTCCTTATCTGAAATGCTTGAGATCAGAAATGTTTTAGATTTTGAATTTTTTTTTTTTTTTTGAAACGGAGTTTTGCTCTTGTTGCCCAGGCTGGAGTGCAATGGCATAATCTCGGCTCACTGCAACCTCCGCCTCCTGGGTTCAAGCAATTCTCCTGCCTCAGACTCCTGAGTAGCTGGGACTACAGGCATGTGCAACCACACCTGGCTAATTTTGTATTTTTAGTAGAGACAGGGTTTCTCCATGTTGGTCAGACTGGTCTCGAACTCCCGACCTCAGGTGATCCACCCACCTCAGCCTCCCAAAGTGCTGGGATTATAGGCATGAGCCACCACGCCCAGCCATGTTTTTATTTTTTTATTTTTTAGTATCTGCCTATACTTATGTTCCAATGAGCTTTTCCTTTGAATGTCATGTCAGTGTCCAAAAAGTTTTGGATTTTAGAGCATTTCAGATTTTGGTGCATTTTAGGTTTTAGATTTTCAGATTTGGGATGCCCAACCTATAAAGGCTTTTAATAAAATATTATCACATAAAATCCTTCTAATGGCCCACATGATCGGTATTATTGTCATATTTTATAGAAGAGGAGCTCACAGCGTTTCAATAACTTGCTCAGGATTATATAGCTAGTAAGAGGCAGAGTTAGATGTAAACTCAGCTCTATCTGGGCACAAAGTACATGTTATAGAAATCTTAAGTCTGTTCACCTCCCAGCATACATGCATAACCCAGCAGTTCACCATGCTGGCTGCACCTGGGGTAAAATCACCTGAGGTAGACTCTGTAAAAAGCTAATGCTTAGCATCTACCTCCAGAGATGCTGATTTCTCTGGTTTTTGGTAGTGGGGTTTTTTCTTCTGCTTTTTAAGAGATAGGGGTAGCCACAGTATATCAGCCAGGCTGGTCTCAAACTCCTGACCTCAAGTGATCCTCCTGCTTCAGCCTCTCAAAGTATTGGGATTATAGGCATGAGCCACTGTACCTGGCATCTATAGTTGTTTAAAAACTCTCTATGTGATTCTAATGAGAGTCAGGGTCTCTAACCACTGATCTAGGCCTTTCATCCCATCTATACATTCCACCCATGAGTTTTGGCTTTTCTTTTCTTTTCTTTTTTTTTTTTTGAGACAGAGTTTCACCCTTGTCAGCCAGGCTGGAGTACAATGGCGAGATCTTGGCTTACCACAACCTCCGACTCCCAGGTTCAAGTGATTCTCCTGCTTCAGCCCCCCAAGTAGCTAGAATTACAGGCTCCCGTAACCATGCCTGGCTAATTTTTTGTATTTTTAGTGGAGACAAGGTTTTACTATGTTGGCCAGGCTGGTCTCGAATTCCTGACCTCATGATCCACCGGCCTCAGCCTCCCAAAGTGCTGGGATTAGAGGTGTGAGCCACCACGCCCAGGCACACCCATGAGTTTTAAAACAGAGAGAAGGTGTTAAATATCACTGAGCATCACCAATGGGGCCTGTTAAACTTTAGGTCTTAGTGGCCCTCCTCCAGGGCTATAATTAGGGAAGTCAGAGATGAGAACAATCAGTACCTTTAATATGATCCACAGATAAATCTTATTCATAAAGATGGCATGCAAATGTCCACTCACCTGGTTTGATGACCAACTTCAGGTTAAATTTTTCATCATTCATTATGCCTGGGATTTGGATCCGGCAGCAGTAGATCCCACTGTCTGCTAGAGTCACATTCTCTATGGTCAGGGACACATCTCCTTTGCGGAAATCCCCATTTAGCCAGTATCTGGATGTCCAATAATTCACATCCCTTTCATCAGTCCTGAGCACCACGTTGCCACATTCAAACACAGGACAGGCTCCTTTGCCCCAGCAGACGGGCACGAGGTTCCCTGGGGCGGCTGGGGTGTAGAAGCAGGGCAGATAGGCATTCTGACCGACCTCCGCTCTGTATTCCACTTCTGAGGACCCTGCATAGAGAGAGAAGGAGAGCCAAGACTCAAGCGGTGAGTGAGGTTACTCCATTTCAGGAAAACTGCAAGCCATGTCTTACAGAATAAAGAGGAAGCTACTGCTGCAGTCCTGTTTGGAGGATGATTCGCTGTGACAATGCTTCTCAGATGTGAAGGCCATCAGAATCACTGGGAAGCCTTGCGAAAACACAGATTGCTGGGCTCAACTGCTAGAGTTCCTGACTCAGTTGGCCTGTGGTAGAGCCTGAGAACTTTTATTTCTAACAAGTTCTCAAGTGTTGCTGAAGTGGCTGGTCTCAGAACCTCACTTTCAGAAACACTGCCCTAGGAGAGAATTGTGGCCCAATTCTGTGAACACGGGAGAACAGGGCTGATGGAAACAGACAATCAGAAAATTAGTCATGGTCAGCCAGGAAACGGCCCGCCCATCTGGGCTACTTGCTTGTTCATCAACAAAGGGAGGCTCTCCTAACATACTTCTCTTTTTAAGCAGCAAGTGCACAGTAAATACAAACCCTTGGTTAAATAAGGATCTTGTGTATTTGAAACTACTCATGGAGTTGTTTTAAGGTTTAAAGTTGTGAAAAGAAATTAAATTTTGGGACCCCAAACTCATTCAGTCAAAGGGAAAAGTCAAGCTGGGAACTGGGTCACAGAAACCTGCCTCCTCTTTTTGATTCCTGAATAAGATGGCTACAGGATGAAAGGCTGCATACCTCCCCCATATTTTGCCCACAAGGAAATTCCTGGTCAGCTGTGCAATGCAGATTGATAGCTCATCTTTACCGGTGCGGTCACCCTGGCCAGACACAAATGCGTTATCTGATTGTTTCCCTACCCCATTTTGTCTGTGTTATCTAATGTAAAATGCAGATTCCCCATATTTTTCCTCTGCCCCCCCCCCTTTTTTATGTGAAAACTGAGTGCTTCTCAATATCCCACCTTGTCCCCTTTAAATCTGGAGCCCTCAAAATCATCTTCTGAGAAAGTCATAGACCTGTCTCTCAGGTGCCTCCTTAACTTTGGCAAACAAATCTCCTAAAATGATTGAGACTTGTCTCCTCATTTTCCTCAAATGACAAAGTTAATTCCATTAAAAAAAAACTATATATATTTTATATATGATAAAACATTCATTATATATTTTCTTTTGATTTTTTATGTCCCCTTTGTTTTCATATGACTCAACTACAGTAAAAACATTCAAACACTATCAAAGGTGTATGAAAAAGTGGCCGGGCACACGGTGGGTCACGCCTGTAATCCCAGCACTTTGGGAGGCTGAGATGGGCAGATTACTTGAGGCCATGAGTTTGAGACCAGCCTGACCAACATGGTAAAACCCTGTCTCTACTAAAAATTAAAAACATTAGCTGGGTGTGGTGGTGCACGCCTGTGATCCCAGCTACTCCGGTGCCTAAGGCAGGAGAATCACTTGAACCTGGGAGGCGGAGATTGCAGTGAGCCAAAATGGTGCCACCACTGCACTCCAGCCTGGGCAATAGAGTGAGACTCCATCTCAATTGAAAAAAAGAAAAAGAAAGAAAAGAAAAAGAAAAAAAGGAAAGAAAAGAAAAGAAAAATATGCCTTACTCTCCCAACTCTTTACCATTCCCTGGTTCCTTTTCCTAGAGCTTATACATTAAGAAATGTCCACATATTCCTGCTCCCCGACAATGCACACACACAAATAGAAGCCTAATATATGCATTATTCTGCAACTTTTTTTCTTTAATAACATTATAATTTTGAGACATTCTATACCAGTATGTTTTGTCAGACTCACTGTTTGTATCATGATTATATCACATTTATTTACCCACTCCCTCATCGACGGACATTTAGGTTGCTTCCAAGCTTTTGCTATTACAAACAACATTACAATGGCCATCCTTGTATCTCTCCCTTGTCCTCTGTACAGCACCATTATGTCATTGTAAATATCCATGCCGAGACTTACTTGTAAGTAGTAGCAGCAGCAGCAGCAGGACACAGTCAAAGGGAAGATGTGAAAACATGGAGCTTGCAGAAGAAAAGTCAGAGGACACCTCTGTTAGGCACAGTTTTAACTCTCCAAATGGACTGGGTACTTCTTCCAACTGTCTACTCCACAATCACATGAGCAGTAGCCGCCCCCACTGAGTGCTAGCTCAGCACACCCGGGTGTCTGATTGCCAGTGATTCTTATAGTAACACTGCCAGGTCTACAGTCACATTAAAGGAAACCAAAGTTCTCTGTCATGCCACACTACACACATCCTGTAAGTGTTCTGATGTCTGTCCTGTGATATCAACAAAGAGGAAGCAATACTTCAGTGGAAGAAAACGCTACTCAGTCATGGCACATAAAGAGAACCCTCTAATAATGTCTCAGATGAGATACACCTGAAATGGAGCATGTCCGAGTCCATCTGACTAGCGGGGAACACAAAGTACAGATGCATCATCCATGGATTCATTCACTCAAATCAGTCCCTTCATCAGGCCTGTGACCAAAGTTTATGAAGCCCCTACTTTGCACCAGGCACTGGACTAGGAAGTGGAACACAACAGTGAATGGCATGTTCCTTATCCTCACATTTACAGACCATAGCAACTCCCAGCATAAGCCTCACTCTCATCCTTCTTCTAACACAGATTAGGTTGTATCCTATAACCTTGCTGAGTCTCAGTTTCCTCATTTATATAATTTATAAAATGAGAAAATTGTATTAGATAATACATGCATGGCTCTCTGTTCTAATATTCTGACTTTGACCTTCAAACTTCCAACTCTTCAATTTAGAAAAAACATGTTCCTTTTGGCAACAGTTCCTTTCCTCTACTCTGAGTAGAATTAAGGGGATCTTGGTATCCTGTTTCATCTCATGCATACAAGGTGCCCCCTCTCCCCTACCCCAAGAGGCTTTGGCCATGAATGATCAGAAAGTGTTGAGTTCCAGCCACACTCCCATAACTGAGGTAACAGCTTAGACTCACGTAGCCTCAGCTCTGGGAGTGTGACCTTTATCTGGACACCTTAAAAGCAAAAGCTTTTTTTTATAAAAGGGAAGTGAGCTCACAGGCTGAGTGGTTTCTGAAAAGCCAGTGGCCTTCCTCTATGTCTTGCCTTCCTGAGTTTCTTTGTCATTCACATTTATGCCATTAAATGCATTGGGTATAAATACCAAATTTGTTCAATATAAACAAATGGCATTTAATATAAATATGCAACTTGTTCAATGTGTGTACTTCCCATAGCATTGCAGAGTGGCAGTTACTCAAGAGATCATAATCAATTTCTCATTTTATTTTATTTTATTTTTATTTATTTATTTATTTTTTTGAGATGGAGTTTCGCTCTTTTTGTCCAGGCTGGAGTGCAATGGCATGATCTCGGCTCACTGCAACCTCTGCCTCCCGGGTTCAAGTGATTCTCCTGCCTCAGCCTCCTGAGTAGCTGGGATTACAGGCATGTGCCACCACCCCGGATAATTTTGTATTTTTAGTAGAGACGGGGTTTCTCCATGTTGGTCAGGCTGTTCTTGAACTCCCGACCTCAGGCGATCCACCCGCCTCGGCCTCCCAAAGTGCTGGGTTTACAGGCATAGCCACCGCGCCCGGCCAATTTCTCATTTTATAGACAAGGAATCTGAGACTTCAGAAAATTGATTTGCCGAAAGGCACATGATTGGTGATTTAGAATGAGAGCATAAGCCCCCTAAGTGACAGATTTTTTCCACTATAAATTATGTTTTATTAATTTAATGTTTGTCTTCCCACATAACTAATAACCAGCAAATGACCATATTCAAGCATAAGGTAGAATAGATTAAATATGGGGTCTGGGGTTATTTTTATTAGCAGCATGAACTTGGTCAAGGCTCTTAAAAGCATCAGCCCTCAGTTTCTGTGTTTTGTTTTGTTTTGTTTTTGTTTTTGTTTTGAGACAGAGTCTTGCTCTGTCGCCCAGGCTGGAGTGCAGTGGCGCGATCTCGGCTCACTGCAAACTCCGCCTCCTGTGTTCAAGCAATTCTCCTGTCTCAGCCTCCCAAGTAGCTGGGACTAAGAGCGCACACCACCATGCCCGGCTAATTTTTGTATTTTTAGTAGAGACAGGGTTTCACCATATTGGTCAGGCTGGTCTCGAACTTCTGACCTCAGGTGATCTACCTGCCTCGGCCTCTCAAAATGCTGGGATTACAGGCATGAGCCACCGTGCCCAGCGATGTTTTGTTTTTACCACTTTGTTTTCTGCTCATTTCTAGAATTGCTACTGAGACCAGCTTTATAAAACATTAACAATTTATTAGTTCATTAAAGTCTAGATATGAAGGGGTCTAGAGATCTCCTTTAACTCTCTTGTGTGTGTAGGGAGCTGGTTCTGAACATTTTCATGTTCACTTAACTTTTATTTCCTGTTTATTTTCTTAAAAACTTTAGATAATACATTCAAATAGTTAAAAAGTAAAAGGAATATAAAAAGCTCAAGAAGCCTTGATCCCATGATCCCATCCTTCCATGTTTACCCCCATTTCTCCCACCTATGCTATAGGTTTTCTTTTTTTTTTTTTTTTGACATAGAGTCTCGCCCTGTCACCCAGGCTGGAGTGCAGCGTCACGATCTCAGCTCACTGCAACCTGCGACTCCCAAGTTCAAGCGATTCTCCTGCCTCAGCCTCCTGAGTAGCTGAGATTATAGGCACCTGCCACCGTGCCCAGCTAATTTTTGTATTTTTAGTAGAGATGGGTTTTCACCATGTTGGTCAGGCTGATCTCGAACTCCTGACCTTGCAATCTGCCCACTTCAGCCTCCCAAAGTGCTGGGATTACAGGCTTGAGCCACTGCACCCGACCAGGTTTTCATTTTCATAAGTTTCTTGTGTATACTCCCAATGCAAACCCAAGAAAATAAAATATATATTCTCATACTCTCTTTTCTTAGACAAAATACCATATACCTTTTTTGAAACTTGCATTTTCCTATTGTTATTTGCTGAAATATTTATTTTTAAAATTTTATTTATTTTATTTATTTTATTTTTATTTATTTATTTATTTATTTTTTGAGATGGAGTTTCACTCTTGTCTCTCAGGCTGGAGTGCAATGGTGCTATCTCGGCTTACTGCAACCTCTGCCTCCCCTCAGCCTCCCAAGTAGCTGGGATTATAGGCACCTGTCACCATGCCCGGTTAATTTTTGTATTTTTAGTAGAGACAGGGTTTTACCATGTTGGCCAGGCTGGTCTCAAATTCCTGACCTCAGGTGATCTGCCCGTCCCAGCATTCCAAATTGCTGATTACAGGCAGGAGCCGCCGCACCTGGCCCTTTATTTTTTTTTAAATTTGTTTTAATTTATTTTTAGAGACAAGGGTCTCACTAGGTTACCCAGGCTGGTCTCAAACTCCTGGGCTCAAGGGATCCTCCTGCCTCAGCCTCCCAAAGTGCTGGGATTACAGGTGTGAGCCACCATGCCGAGTCTGCTGAAATATTTTTAAACGAATCCCAGACATCGTGCTATTTCACTTTTACGTACTTTAGTGTGCAATCTTCCTTTTTAAAAAATGGGCATTCTGAAGCCGGGTGTGGTGACTCACGGCTGTAATCCCAGCACTTTGGGAGGCCGAGGCAGGTGGATCACCTGAGGTCAGAAGATCGAGACCAGCCTGGCTAACACGGTGAAAACCCCATCTCTACTAAAAATACAAAAAATTAGCCAGGCATGGTGGTGGGTGCCTGTAATCGCAGCTACTTGGGAGGCTGAGGCAGGAGAATCGCTTGAACCAGGGAGGCAGAGGTTGCAGTGAGCCGAGATTGTGCCACTGCATTCCAGCCTGGACAACAAGCGCAAAATTTCGTCTCAAAACAAACCAACCAACAAACAAAAATGGACATTCTGCTAATATAATCATAATATCATTATCGCACATAACAAATTTAATGATGCCTTAGAAGCACCTAGTACTTCAGTCTATAGCCAAATCTCCCTGATTATCTCAAAAATGTCTTTTTTCAATCAGTTTGTTTAAATCCAGATCCAAACAAGTCCCAGCATTGCATTTGTTTGCTATGTCCCTCAAGTCTCTTTTAATCGAAGACAGTCTGCCCTCCACCCCCTTGCCATTGGTTATACAAACCAGTTATACAAACCAGGTTTTGTCCTGTGAAATGCTCCACATTCAGGGTTTGTCTGTTTCCCTGTGGGGTCATTTACATTATTCCTCTTTTCTTCGAATTTGCTGAAAATGAAAGTTTGCTCTAGAGGTTTAGTTGGAACGTGGTTTGACTTCTTGGCAAAAACACGTCACAGCTGGTGCCTTGTGCTTCACATTTCATCACAATTGTCTGGTTGCTCCACAGCATGCAACCTTCTTTTTTAAATGTATTTAAATTTTTTTTTTTTTTTTTTGAGACGAAGTCTTGCTCCATCACCCAGGTCAGAGCACAATGGTGCAAACTCGGTTCACTGTAAACTCTGCCTCAAGCAGTTCTCCTGCCTCAGCCTCCTGAGTAGCTGGGATTACAAACACGAGCCACCATGCCCAGCAAATTTTTTGTATTTTTAGTAGGGACAAGGTTTCACCATGTTGACCAGGCTGGTCTCGAACTCCTGACCTTAAGTGATCCAACTACCTCGGCCTCCCAAAGTTCTGGGATTACAGGCATGAGCAACCGCGCCCAGCCTAAAATCTTTTGTTTCAGCTCATGTAGAATGTCCTCATTCTTTTTTATTTTTTCGCTCTGTCCCCAGGCTGGAGTGCAATGGCGCGATCTCGGCTCACTGCAAGCTCTGCCTCCCAGATTCATGCCATTCTCCAGCCTCAGCCTCCCGAGTAGCTGGGACTACAGGTGCCTGCCACCACGCCCGGCTAGTTTTTTGTATTTTTAGTAGAGACTGGGTTTCATCGTGTTAGCCAGGATGGTCTCGATCTTCTGACCTCATGATCCGCCCGCCTTGGCCTCCCAAAGTGCTGGGATTACAGGCGTGAGCCACCGCGCCTGGCCGAATGTCCTCATTTTTTTATTACAGCTACATAGACTCCATTAGATGAACTCACTGGGCCAGGCACAGTGTGCATAGAGTGTAACTCTAATTATGCAAAAGTTCATAAAATGGAAGTTAGAGCCAGATCAGGAGACAGGATAATATGGGTTATTTAGATGGCAGCATCCGGAAAATCTCAGTCCAACTAGAATCTTCCCTACACAATTGGGAAGTGCAGTGGAGTAGATACTGGGGAGTAACCACAATGACCACTTAAGGTGGGGACCCTATATGTACTTAAATTGAGTTGATAATTAACTTGGTTAAATCACATCTCAGGTTACATAGACCTAACTGAGATTAGTTCAAAATTTTGCAAAGGAAGAAACAGGTTGAATATTAAGGGTAAGAGGTTAAATTAAGCAATTGTGAGCCAGATGTTCTGACTTCCAGATTGTAACTAGCCACGTGAGTTCCCATGAAGGGTACTGTCACCTTGTGTGTTTGTACAGTACTTTAAAAACCTTTTTAAAAAATTATATAAATCATATTCACTGCAGAAAATTTTGAAAAATACGAATTAAAAAATAAATAAATAAAACAAATGTTGTCATAATCTCAGTACCATGAAATAGCCACTTTCAACTTAATGAGTCTTCTTTCAGATTCTTTTTTTTTTTTTTTTTGTAGAGATGGGAATCTCACTGTGTTGCCCAGGCTGGTCTTGAACTCCTGGGTTCAAGTGATCTGCCCATCTCAGCCTCCCAAAGTGCTGGGATTATAGGTGTGAGCTACTGGGCCCAGCTTAAGTTAACTTTCAACACTTTTGCCCTCCTCACCAGGTCCCAGCACTAAGAGGGCTACGTCAGACCACCAAGATCCTGGGCATACCTGGAAGAAACTTCAGGTTTTTCAGGGTCTTCAGAATAACGTGTTTACAAAGATAAATAAATTTCCCCTTTGCTATTGACTACCTCTCACAGCATGACTATGGCGTGTTCTTATATTGATTTTGATGCACCCATATGCCAACAAAACTCTCTTACCAAAGACTCCATACATTATTATGCTGCCAATGAGAGAAAACCCAACTCAAGCTGGCTTCAACTATAAAGTGAATTTATTAACTGACATTATGGAAAAATCCAGGTTCAGGCAAGGCTTGATTCAGTGGCTCTCAGAGAGGTCACCAAGAACCTAGTTTCTGACTGATGTTAACATTCAGTTGCCTCCAGGGCTGTCTCTTTTCTCAGATTCTACACAGTGCCCCTCTCTTGCACCCACAGAGCACACATCTGTGTGAATCACTCCCCTATTGGTTAAGGGATTTATACTCTTTCAAAGGCCCAAGTCTGGGTCTGAGTCACAGACTCATTCCTGAAAAATCACTGTCCCCAAAGGGTCAAAAAGCATTAATAGGCTTAGGCCTGGGTCACCTCCCCACACTTCATGTTCTGAAATGAGAGAAGAGTGATTCCCCTAAATAAAAACTGCAGTGCATTTCAGGAGGAGAGACAGAAGTTGGACAACAAAAACAAACATCCACTAGAGACCCCTTACACAAAAAGGGAAGAGGCAGGAGATGGGGAAAGAAACTTTCTCCTCCAAGTATATATGGTTTTTTTCTTACCTAAAAATGACATTTTACTAATGCAGCGTTTTTTAAGTTACAAGGACATGCTCTTCACAACCCTGAAGAGATGATAAAGAGCTCCTGTGTTTATAGAGAGTTTTTTATTTAGTAACCATGAATGGATGCCAGAGAGATTAAGCTTGAGGTCACACTCAAGTGAGTGCAAGGCCAGCTTAAAGCCCCTTCCAATATAGAATACAGTGGCCCAGGAAGGACAAGTCAGCATTCTGAGCTATCACAACATTTATCCAGCAAGTAATTTTTTAAAAATTATTTTAGTGACAGAGTCTCTCTCTGTCACCCATGCTGAAGTGCAGTAGTGCAAGCATTACTTACTGTAGCCTCAAACTCCTGGGCTTAAGCTCAATACTTACAGTTTATAAGTACTTACAAACTATAAATTTATGCTATGTAATGTTCTTTATTCTGTTATATTTTTCCATTAAACAATAGTTTAACCTTAAAGCCATAATGTGACATCTACATATCCATTGTTTTATAAAAAATTAAAAAGTCTGATGGTAGTAATACTGGCAGTGTCATGGAGCAAGATAAATACTTATCTTCCCTATTCAGCCTCCTGAGCAGCTGGGACCACAGGCATGAGCTACCACACCCTGTTTGTTATTTTTATTTTTGTACAGAAGGGGTCTCACTTTGTTGCCCAAGCTGATCTTGAGCTCCAGGATTCAAGCAATCCTCCCACCTCAGCCTCCCAAAGTGCTGGGATTACAGGTGTGAGCCACCGCACCCAGCCTTATCCATTAAGTAACTTCTAAGGGAAATTGATGCTGCTCCTGCCTGAGTAACTAAATGTCTTTCGAGTAGAGGAAATGGAGAGGGGTATAGAAATACTACACCCTTAATAGCTCAGCTAGGCTCCCAATGATGAAAATGAAAAGAATGAAAAGGGGTTCCTCACCCAAAAAATTCAGCTGAGCTATGTGAGTTACTGTGGGAAATCTTATCTGCAGTCTCATCTTGAAAGTGAAGGTCCCACAACCTCCTACAGAGGCCCCACTGGTGGGGGAGCAGCATGAGTGGTCTCTCATTCTGAGCATGGTTTCCAGTGTGGCATCGCCCTTATCTTTCTGTTTGCTGGTTATTAGCCTTTTACCCCGGGTTCAGATAGTTAAGCTTATCATAGTCTTCAATACATGGACGTACTCATCGTCAGTCCCTTGAGGTCCTTTGCTTGTTTTTGTTTTTGTTTTTTTTTTTCACTTTACTATTTCCCCCGCATTGTCTCTGACCCACATTCTCATTTTTCTCTTCTCAAAGGCATCCACCTTACAGGGGAATGTTGAGCAGCTTTCAAAAGCTCACATTCTCACCGACAGTGAGAACTCTTTTGATGTTCTATGCTGCTGCCAATATCAGTACCATCAGGCTATTTCATTTTTTCCAAAACAATGGATATGTAATGATGTCACAATATGGCTTTAAGGTCAAACTACTGTTTAATGGAAATATAACAGAATATAGGACGTTATATAAACATAAATTTATAGTTTATAAATACTTTGAAGCAAAAACTCAAGTAACTAGGACTCCAAAAAAAAAAAAAAAAACACTGCTAGTCTCCATAAGTCTCTTCTATTCCCCATGCCAAGACCATGTACTTCTTCCTGATCACAAAATCTTCCCAGCTTGGCACAGTGGCTCATGCCTGGGAGGCTGAGGTAGGAGGATTGCTTGAAGCCAGGAGTTCAAGGCCAGCCTAGGCAACAGGGCAAGACTGTCTCTCCAAAACAAAGTAGCTGGGTGCAATGGCTCACACCTGTAATCTCAGCACTTTGGGAAGCCAAGTGGGAGGACTGCTTGAGGCCAGGAGTTCAAGACCTGGACAACAGAGTGAGATCTCATCTCTACAAAAAAAAAAAAATTATTTATAAAAATCTTCCCTCTCTCCTACAGGAAATCACCCTGAATTTTGCAATTATAGTCTTTTTTATAGCTTTACCAGCTATGTGTGTATCCCAAAATTATATGTATAGTTTTCCTTGGGTTTGAACATTATGTGAATAAAATCATATAGTCTGTAGTCTTTTGTGTTTTATTTAAGTCAATAGCATATTTGTGAAATCCATTCATGCTGTTTGTATCCCTGTAGGTTGTTTATGTATTTTTACTAAACAGTTTTTCTGGGAATGAATATACCTCATATTCTTTGTTCATTCTAATTTATTTATTTATTTATTTAGAGACAGAATCTTGCGCTCTGTCTCCCAGGCTGCAGTGCAGTGGCTAAGTCTCACCTCAGTACTACCTCTACCTCCCAGGTTCAAGCGATTCTCCTGCCTTAGCCTCCCGAGTAGCTGGGATTACAGGTGTGTGCTACCACGACAAGCTAATTTTTGTATTTTTGGTAGAGATAGGGTTTCACCATGTTGGCCAGTTGGTATCAAACTCTTGACCTCAGGTGATCTGCCCACCTCGGCCTTCCAAAGTGCTGGGATTACAGGCATGAGCCACCACACCCGGCCACGTTCATTCTACTTTATCTTTTGTTTAGTTATCATAAACAATGCCATTCTGCACATTCTCATAGATGAATCCTGGTACACAAATAGAGAAGCTTCTCTGGACTACATTTCTAGAGCAGAATTACTGTGTCAGAAGGTATAAACATCTTGAACCTTACTAGAGAATGCCTAATTAGTTTCTAAGACTCCCAGCAGCAGTATACAGCAATTTCTTTATCCTACATTCTCAGCAACGCTTGGTATTATCAAAGTTGGCTTTTTTGTCTTTTTGTTTGTTTGTTGCCAAATTGGTAAAGGTATAATAACATCTCACTGTGGTTTTAATTTGAATCTTCATAGTTATTAATAAGTTAAGAATCTTTTGTTTCTTATTTTTATTTTTTTAACTTTTTTCATTTTTTGTTTTTTGAAACAGAGTCTTACTCTTCTGTCTAGGCTGGAGTGCAGTGGCACTATCTCGGCTCACTGCAACCTCCACCTCCCAGATTCAAGCAATTCTCTTGCCTCAGCCTCCCAAGTAGCTGGGATTACAGGGGTGTGCCACCACATCCAGCTGGTTTTTATATTTTTACTAGAGACGTGGTTTCACCATGCTGGACAGGTAGGTCTCGAACTCCTGACCTCAGGTGATCCACCCACCTCGGCCTCCCAAAGTGCTGGGATTACAGGTGTGAGCCACTGTGTCTGGCCATTTTTTTTTTCTTTTTGAGACAGAGTCTTGCTTTGTCACCCAGGTTGGAGTACAGTGGTGTAATCTTGGCTTATTGCAACCTCTGCCTCCTGGGTTCAAGCGATTCTCCTGCCTCAGCCTCCCAAGTAGCTGAGACTATAGGCACCCACCACTACACCTGGCCAATTTTTGTATTTTTAGTAGAGACAGGGTTTCGCCATGTTGGCTAGCCTGGTCTCGAACTTCTGACCTCAGGTGATCCACTCACCTTGGCCTCCCAAAGTGCTGGGATTACAGGCATGAGCCACCGTGCCCAGTCAGGATCCTTTATTTTGATTAGGAACTATTTGGACTTTTTTGGACAAATGCTTATTCAACTCTTTTGCCCATTTTCCCATCGAGTTTCTATATTTTTCTTATTATGCAAATAATTTATATATTCTGGTACTAGTTATCTTCTGTTTAAATCCATTGCAAATATTTTCTCCCACACTGGGCTTTTCACTTTACACTGTGTTTTCTTTTTTTTCTTTCTTTTTTTTTCCTTTTTACACTATCCACGTGGAAATATACGGTATGTTTTCTTGAACTTCCTTAATTTTAATATAGTAAAGTTGACTAATCTTTCCTTTTCTGAGTAGTACATTAGTATTAGTACTTTTTAAGAAATTCTCCTCTTATCCAGAGATTATAAAAATATTTGACTACATTAACTTAAATCTTTATAATTTTGCCTTCCATGCTTAAGCCTTTAATCTTCCTGGAATTTATTTGTGCGTGTTTTATCCCAGCCCCATTTATTGGAAATTTCATCATTTTCCCACTACTTTGTAATGACATCTCTATCCTATTTCAGAAATCACATAGTGCAAGATGACTGACTAGAGATGCCTGGCACTCCTCTCCCCCAAAAGAAAGGACCAAGGCAATAAATAATAGCTGAGATTTGACCAGATGTCAAAGGGACAGCACTAGAGTACAGTGGGAAAGTAGAGAGGCACCTGTGATGACTAGAAACCCAGGAGGACACTATGGGTGCACCCAGCTTCTGCAGCCCCCATCTCCCCAGCCCAGACTGGCCAAGAAACAGAAGAGACTTTCCCTTGCAAGGCAACAGTAAGTAGAAGAACCCCAGCAGCCCCCACTGCCACCAAAAATACCTACAGTCCTTACTACAGGAGAATCCTACAAGGTCCTCACAAGCCCTGAGCCCAGTTAGGAGAGGTGTAGGGAATTAATGCAGCTGTGTGCTCTGGATTGGGATACAAGGTATGCACTCCCCACCCCTACTCGGTCCCCCAACCTGGTGTGAGCCAAACTGGTGCAGCATAGTGCCATCTTGAGACCAGAGCCACATCTGGAGTGCATCCTCCTCTGCGGGCCAGTAGCCACTACATCTCTCCAGCTAGGGCTCCATCTTCATTCTGCCAAGCCCACACAGGTGACTAAATGTCACAACCCCAACTCTGCAGAGGCTGGGCCCAGGATTAGCTCTGACTCTGGCCTTGCCCAGCAGGGAAACCAACCCCTGCTGCTCACATATTCAGCTAGAAAAATAGTCTGGCAGTCCTGCCCCCGGCAAACCCACCCTAAAGCCAGCCAAACTACTGTAGGCCCTCCCCTGAGCAAGAGAGGTCCCTGAGCCATCCAACAGCTGACACATTTGTAAGCTAGCAGGGTGGCTACATGCCTGCATCCAAAGCCTGAAAAACAGCCCTGTGGCATCTAGCACCCCCTCCTACAATTGCAGACATACCTCTAGCCTGCCCAAAGGCCCTGCACCCCAAATCAGGACCTCAGAAATAGCCCTGTTGACTGCCCATGGCAGGCGCATACCCAGGCAGAACAAGCAGCTGTGTGACCATGTCTCAGGCTTAGAAAACAGCCCAATGAGCCATTCCTGGCAGTCAAGCCCCCAGGCCAACTGAGCAGCTTGGGCCAGGGAAACAGCCCCACAGGCCACTCCTGTCTGGCATGCTCCCAGGCTGATCAAGCTGCTATGTGCCCATGTCCAGGGCCTAAGAAATAGCCTTGCAGGCTGCTCCTGGCAGACACACCTCCAGGCCGGCCAAGCAACTGTGTGTCCCCTCACATCCTAGGCCTGAGAAACAGCCCCATGGTCCACCCCCACCAGACACACACCCAGGCCAGCTGAGCAGCTATGCACCCCATCCTGGGCCTGAGAAATAGCCCTGTGGTCCACCTTTACCATACCATATGGCCAGCCAAAAAGCCATATGGCCACATCCCAGGCCTAAGAAACAGCCCTGTGGACCACCCTAAGGAGACACCCCCCAGGCCAGCCCAAATAACCTTTACTCACTACTCAGAACTAAAAAACAGCCCCAAGGACCATCCCCAGGAGACACACACCCCCAGGCCAGCAAAGCAACCAGTGTACTGGACTCAAGAAACAGCACAATGGGCCACCCCTGGATGATCGGCCTTCAGGCTAGCCATGAAACAGCACACTGACGCCCTTAGTTAAAGTAAAAGCTCTGTGGTCCCAACCCTGATGAGTGAGACCCCAAGTTGGCCAACCCACCATGGGCATGTAGGCACACTGACCTGAGAAATAACCTGAAATAACCTGAAAGCCCACTTCCAGCAGAGCTGCACCACCACTGCCACAAACTCTCTTAGCCTATGCCACTGAGACACATGCAAACATCACTAACATGGATTACAGCTGAAGAAACTACATGGACACTGCACTACTGCATCCACCTAGAACCAAAGCCAGTGCACCCCATTGAACCAACACTCCAAGACCATCTATGCAAATAAGTCATTGCCTACTAAACCTACTGCATAGAATTGGAAGAGGCAAATGTTTCACTGACTTGCATAGAAATCATTGTAAGGAAAAGCAAGAAAACATGTCTCTTCCCAAAGAACACAATAGTTCTCCAATAACAGACCCCAATACTAAGGAAATATTAAAAAGGCCAGAAAAAGAATTCAAAATAATAATTCTAATAGAACTCAGTGAGATACAAGAGAATACAGATATACAATTCAATGAAATCAGGAAAACAGTTCATAATTTGAATGAGAAATTCAACAGATATATATCATTTAAAAAAGAACCAAATAGAAATTCTAAAGCTAAAGAATTCAATGAATAAAATAAAAAATACAATTGAGAGTTCTGACAATAGAATGGACTGAGCCAAAGGAAAAAAAAAAAAATCCCTGAACTTGAAGACAGGTCTTTTGAAATAATATAGGCAGACAGAAAAAAAAAAAAGAAGAAGAAAGAAAGAATAGAAAGTTTACAGGGTTTATGAGCCATCACTAAGCAAACAAATATTTGCATTACAAGCATTCCAGAAGCAGAAGAAAAGGGAAAAGTTATATTAAAAAAACATATTTAATGAAACATTCCAAGTCTTGGGAGAAAGATGGACATCCAGATCTAGGAAGCTCAAAGAACCCCAAATACATTAGATTCAAACAGGTCCTCTCCAAGGCACATTATGTCAAATTATCAAAAGTCAAAGATAAATACAGAATTCTAAAAACAGCAAGAGAGAAGTGTTGGGTCATATGTAAGGGAATCTCTATAAGACTAACAGTGAATTTCTCAGCAGAAACTTTATGGGCCAGGAGAGAATGATTTAAGGATTTGAAAGAAAAAAAAAAAAAGCCTGCCAGCCAAAAACTTCATACCCAGCAAAGCTATCATTCAGAAATGAAAAAGAAATACAATCTTTCACAGACAAGCAAAAATTGAGGGAACTCATCACCACTAGATGAGCCTTATAAGAAATGTTCATGGGAGTCTTACATCTGGAAGTGAAAGACAAGAACCACCATCATGGAAAGATACAAAAATATAAAACTCATTGGTAGAGCCAATACCCAAAGAAGAAATAGAAAGGAATAATACCTTATCACTAGAGAAAACCACTCAACTGCAAAAATAGTAAGAGAGAAATTAAGGAACAAAAGATACACAAAACAAAAAAAGTCAATAAAATGGCAGGAATAAGTTCTCATCTATCAATAATAATCTTGAATGTAAACTAATTAAATTCCATATTTAAAAGATAAAGACTGGCTGAATGGATAATAAAACAAGGCCCAACTATAGGCTGCCTACAAGAAACTCATCTTATATGTAAAGACATAGATTGGAAATGAAAGGATTGAAAAAGATATTGTTTTGCTTTTGGACAAAGATTTTTGCTCATGGAAAAAGATATTCTTTTTCTTTTTTACTCCTGCTTGCTTTTGAAAAGCAAAAATATAAAACTCATTGGTAGAGCCAATACCCAAAGAAGAAATAGAAAGGAATAATATCTTATCACTAGAGAAAACCACTCAACTGCAAAAATAGTAAGAGAGAAGTTAAGGATTTCTGATTTGGAAAGCCAAAGCAAGAGAGAGTAGCTATACTTATATCAGACAAAACAGACTTGAAGTCAAAGCTGTATAAAGAGACAAAGAAGGACATTATATAATAATAAATGGATCAATTCATCAAGAAAATCAAACAATTGTAAATATATATGCACCCAACACCATGCACCCAGATATACAAAGGAAATATTGTCAGATCTAAAGGGAAAGATCGATCCCAATACAAAGCAGTTGGGGACTTCGACACTATACTCTCAGCATTGGACAGATTTCTAGAAAGAAAATCAACAAAGGAACACTGGATATAAATTGCACCATAAACCAAATGGACCTAACAGACATTTACAGAACATTTCACTAGATAGCTGCAGAATACACATTCTTCTCATCAGCACATGGAACATTCTCCAGGACTGTCAGCCAGGCTGGAGTGCAATGGCAAGATTCAGTTTACTGCAACCTCTGACTCCCAGGTCCAAGCAATTCTTCTGCCTCAGCCTCCCAAGTAGCTGGGATTACAGGCACCTGCCACCACACCCAGCTACTTTTTTTATTATTATTATTTTTAGTAGAGATGGGTTTTCGCCATGTTAGCCAGGCTGGTCTCGAACTCCTGACCTAAGGTTATCTACCTGCCTCGGGCTCCCAAAGTGCTGGGATTACAGGCATGAGCCACCACACCTGGCTAAAAAAAAATTTCAAAATCAAAATCATATCAAGTATCTTACCTGACCACATGGAATAAAACTAGAAATCAATAAAAAGAGGAATATTCAAAATGATACAAATAGAGGGAAACTAAAAGACACGCTCCTGAATGACTAATGCATGAAGAAGAAATTAAGAATAAAATTTTTAAAATTTATTTATTTATTTATTTATTTATGACCAAGTCTCCATCTGTCTTCCAGGCAGGAGTGCAGTGGTGTGATCATGGCTCACTGCAGCCTTTACCTCCCAGGCTCAGGGGATCCTCCTGCCTCAGCCCACTGAGTACCTGGAAATACAGGTGTGCACCACCACGCTTGGCTATTTTTTGTAGAGACAGGGTCTTGCTATGTTACCTTGGCTGGTCTCAAACTCCTGGGCTCAAGCATCTCTTGCCTCATCCTCCCCAAGTGCTGGGATTACAGCATGAGCCACCGCACCTGGCCAAGAATGAAATTGCAAAACAAATGAAACAAATTAAAGAGCAAGTAAAACAAATTAAGAGAGAAATTAAGGAACAAAAGATATATATAAAAGATATATCACTCTTGGCCGGGCACGGTAGCTCATGCCTGTAATCCCAGCACTTTGGGAGGCTGAGGCAGGCAGATCACCTAAGGTCAGGAGTTTGAGACCAGCCTGACCAACATGGTGAAACTCCATCTCTACTAGAAATACAAAAAATTTAGCCAGGCATGGTAGTGCATGCCTGTAATCCCAGCTACTTGGGGGGCTGAGGCAGGAGAATCGCTTGAACCCTGGAGGCAGAGGTTGAGGTGAGTTGAGATCATGCCACTGCATTCCAGCCTGGGCAACAGAGCGAGACTCTGTCTCAAAAAAAAATATATATATATATATGTATATATATATCTCTCTTTGTTTCCTTGAAACAAATGAAAATAGAAACACAACACATCAAAACCTGTGGAACACAGGTAAAGCAGTATTAAGAGACAAGTTTTTTGTTGTTGTTTTTTGGGGGCTTTTTTGAAACAGAGTCTCCATTCTGTCACCAAGGCTGAAGTGCAGTGGTGTGATCTCGGCTCACTGCAACCTCCATTAAGAGGCAAGTTTATAGCAATAAATGCCTACATTGAAAAACTAGAAAGAGGGCCAGGCATGGTGGCACATATCTGTAATCCTAGCACGCTGGGAGGCCGAGGTGGGAGAATTGCTTGAGGCCAGGAGTTCAAGACCAGCTTGGGCAACATAGTGAGACCCTATCTCTACAAAAATAAAAAACTTTATTAGCTGGGCATGGTGGTGCATACCTGTAGTACTGCTAGTCAGGAGGCTGAGGTGGAAGGATCCCTTGAGCCCAGGAATTTAAGGTTGCAATGAGCCATGATTGTGCCAACAATGCAGCCATGATTGACTCCAACCTGACAGAGTAAGAACCTGCCTCAAAAAAAACAGCAATAATAAAAATTAAAAAAAATTAAACTAGAAAGATTTCAAATATGCTATCCTACAAAATAAATTCTAGAGAGAAAAGAAAAAAAGAAGGATTTCAATAAACAACTTCATGACATATCTCAAAGAACTACTAAAGGAAGAACAAACCAAATCCAAAATTAGAAGGAAAGACATAATAAATACCAGAGCAAAAATAAAAATACAAAAGATTAATAAAACAAAAGGTGATTTTTTGAAAAGATAAACAAACTTAATGAACCATTAGCTAGACCGACTAAGAAAAAAAGAGAGAAGACCCAAATAAAATCAGAAATAAAAAACGAGATGTCACAATGAATACCACAGAAATACAAAGGATCATTAGAGCCAGGTGTGGTGGCTCACACTGGTAATCCCAACACTTTGGGAGGCTGAGGTAAGACAATCGCTTGTAGCTAGGAGTTTGAGAACAGCCTCCAGCCTGGGCAACAGAGTGAGACTCTATCTCTACAAAAAAATTAGTAAATAAAAAAAATATTTTGTTGTTGTTGTTTTGAGATGGAGTCTCACTTTGTTTCCCTGGCTGGCATGCAGTGGCACGATCTCGGTTCACTGCAACCTCCCCCTCCCAGGTTCAAGTGATTCTCCTGTCTCAGCCTCCCAAGTAGTTGGGATTTCAGGTGCCTGCCACCATGCCTGGCTAATTTTTGTATTTTTCATAGAGATGGGGTTTCACCATATTGGCCAGGCTGGTCTTGAACTCCTGACCTCAAGTGATCCACCCACCTCAGCCTTCCAAAGTGCTGAGATTACAGGCATGTGCCACTGCACCCGGCCAAAATTTTTTAAAAGGATCATTAGAGACTATTATTAACAACTATATGCTCCTGAAAGCAAAGGCAAGCAGGAGTAGCTATCCTTATACCAGACAAAACAGACTTCAAGTCAAAAGCTGTATAAAGAGACAAAAACCTAGAGGAAATGGATAAATTTCTGGACATATACAACCTATCAATATTGAACCAAGAAGAAACAGAAAACCCAAACAGACCATTAACAGATTGAATCAGTAAGAAAAATTATCCCAACAGACTGGGCATGGTGGCTCACATCTGTAATTCTATCACTTTGGGAGATCAAGATGGGAACATTGCTTGAAGCCAAAAGTTCAAGAGCAGCCTGGGCCAACTAAGCAAAAGCCCATTTCTTTAAAAAAAACAGAAGAAAGGGAAAAAGAAAGACAGAGGAAGGGGGGAGGGGAGGGGAGGGGAGGGGAGGGGAAGGGGAGGGGAAGGCGAAGGAAGGGAATTCTCCCAACAAAGAAAAGTCCAGGATCAGAGGGCTTTACCACTGAATTCTACAGAAACCTTTAAATGATAATTCAAACCAATTCTTCTCAAACTATTCCTAAAAATTAAAGCAGAGGGAATTCTTCCTAACTCATTATATGAGGCTAGCATAACTAATAACAAAACTAGACAAGGACACAACAAAAAAAGAAAACCACAGGCCAATATTCCTGATGAACACAGATCTAAAATCCTCAATAAAATACTAGCACAGTGAATCCAAAATACATCAAAAAGATAATACACCATGATCAAGTGGGATTTACCCCAGGGATGCAAGGCTGGTTCAACATACATAAATCAATAAATGTAATATATTACATTAAAAGAATGAAGGACAAAAACCACACGATCATCTAATAGAAGCAGAAAAAGCATCTGGTAAAATTCAACACACCCTCATAACAAAAACTCTAAATAATTAGGTATAGTAGAAAAGTACCAGGCTGGGCATGGTGGCTCATGCCTGTAATCTCAGCACTTTGGGAGGGTGGATCGTGTGAGTCCAGGAGTTTGAGACCAGCCTGGACAACATGGTGAAACCCCGTCTGTACAAAAAGTGTTCTAAAAGTTAGGTGAGCACGATGGCCCATGCCTGTAGTCCCACTACTCAGGAGGCTGAGGTGGTAGGATTACCTGAGCGTAGGAGTAGGAGGTTGTAGTGAGCCAAGATTGTGCCCTTGCACTCCAGCCTGGCCAACAGAGCAAGACCTTGTCTCAAAAGAAAAATAAATAAAAGTACTTCAACACAATAAAGGCTATACATGACAAACCCACAGCTAAGATCATACTGAATGGGGAAAAGCTGAAAGTTTTTCCTCTAATAATTGGAAAAAAACAAGGATGCCCTTTTACTCAACATAGTGCTAAACACATTCAGTAAAGTTGCAGGACACAAATCAACATACAAAAATCGGTCACATTTTTATATAAAAACAACAAACTCATCAAAAAAAAATTTTAAAGTCAATCCCACTTACAGTAGTTACAAAAACATACCTAGGAATAAATTTAACCAAGGATATGAAAGACCTCTACAAGGAAAACTACAAAACATTGATGAAAAAAAGTGAAAAGGATAAAATAAATGTAAAGGCATCCCATGCTAATGGATCAGAAGAATTTATATTGTTAAAATGATCATACTACCCAAAGCAACCTACAGATTTAATGCAATGCCTACCAAAATACCAATGACATTCTTCAGAGAAATTGTTTTTTTTTTTTTTTTTTTTTTTCTTGAGACGGAGTCTCGCTCTGTCGCCCAGGCTGGAGTGCAGTGACACGATCTTGGCCCACTGCAACCTCTGCCTCCCAGGTTCAGGCCATTCTCCTGCCTCAGCCTCCCAAGCAGCTGGGACTACAGGTGCGCACCACCACACCCAGCTAATTTTTTTGCATTTTCAGTGGAGACGGGGTTTCACCATGTCAGCCAGGATGGTGTCAATCTCCTGACCTTGTGATCCACCTGCCTCGGCCTCCCAAAGTGCTGGGATTACCGGCATGAGCCACCACGCCTGGCTGAGAAATTGTTTAAAAATCTTAAAATTTGCATAGAACCACAAAAGACCCTCTGAACAAAAAGAACAAAGCTGGGGGTATCACACTACCAGACTTCAAAACATATTACAAAGCGGTTGTAACCAAAACAGCATGATACTGTGTGTCAAAAACAGACACATAGACCAGTGGAAGATAATGGAGAACCCAGAAATAAATCCATGTATCCACAGCCAACTGATTTTTGACAATACTCATTGGGGAAAGGATAGTCTCTTCAATAAATGGTGCTGGGAAAACTGGATATCCATATGTAGAAGAATGAAACTAGACCCTCACCTATAACCCTATACAAAAATAAACTCAAAATAGATCAAAGACCTAGATATAAGACCCCAAACTATAAAACTACTAGAAGAAAACATAAGGGAATTGCTTCAAGGCGTTGGTCTGAGAAAATATTTTATGAATAAAACCTCAACCACACAGGCAACAAAAGCAAAAATAAACAAATGGGATTATATCAAACTAAAAAACTGTACATCAGGGCCAGGCATGGTGGCTCATGCCTGTAATCCCAGCAATTTGGGAGGCCAGGGGGCGTGGATCACCTGAGGTCAGGAGTTCGAGACAAGCCTGGCCAATATGGCAAAACCCTGTCTCTACTAAAAACACAAAAATTAGCCAGACATCATGGCATGAGCCTGTAATCCCAGCTACTCAGGAGGCTGAGGTGGGAGAATCACTTGAACCTGGGAGGCGGAGGTTGCAGTGAACCAAGATCGTGCCACTGCACTCCAGCCTGGGTGACAGAGTGAGACTCTGTCTCAAAAAACAAACAAACAAACAAAAACTGCGCATCAAAGGAAACAATCAAAAGAATGAAAAGACAACCTACAGAATGGGAGAAAGTGTTTGCAAGCTATTCATTCATCTAGTGGAGGATAAATGTCCAGAATACACAAGGAACTCAAACATCTCAATAGCAAAAAATAAACAATCTGATTTTACAATGAACAAATGATCTGTACAAACATTTCTCAAAAGAAAATACATAAAGATGGCCAACAAGTATATGAAAAAAATGCTCAACAACACTAATTATCAGAGAAATGCAGTCCAGGCTCAGTGGCTCATGCCTATAATCCCAGCACTTTGGGAGGCCAGTGCAGGTGGATCACTTGAGGTCAGGAATTTGAGACCAGCCTGACCAATATGGTGAAATCCCATCTCTACTAAAAATACAAAATTAATCAGGTGTGGTGGCACACATCTATAATCCCAGAGGCAGAGGTTGCAGTTAGCTGAGGTCACACCATTGCACTCCAGCCTAGGCAACAAGAGGGAAACTCCATCTCAAAAAAAAAAAAAAGAAAAAGAAATGCAAAGCAAAACTATAATGAGATATCATCTCACCTCAAGACAGCAATTACGAAAAAAAGAAAACATAAATGCTGGTGAGGAAGTAGAGGAAAAAAACTTTTTTTTTTGAGACGGAGTTTCGCTCTTGTTGCCCAGGCTGGAGTGCAATGTTGCAATCTCGGCTCACCTCAACCTCCACCTTCCAGGTTCAAGCGATTCTCCTGCCTCAGCCTCCCAAAGTGCTGAGATTACAGATATAAGCCACCACTCCTGGCTGAGTATCTCATTTTTAAGTTATTGTTTGTTGCTGGTATACCAGAATAAAATTGATTTTTGAATATTTTTTCCTCAGCAATCAGTAAACTCATTAATAAGTTATCTGTGGGTTACACTGAATTTTCTATGTTAACAACCATTTTCTGCAAATAACGACAGTTTTGTTCCTTCCTTTTCAATACTACTTTTTTTTTTCCTTACCATGCTGGTTAGGAAATCTAGTACGTATTTAATAGACATTTTGATAGCAGGCATCCTTGTTTTACTCCAGCTCTCAAAGGAAATTTACAGGTTTTCATCTTGAGTATAATACATGCTATAGGTTTTATGGAGCTACTATTTATTATATTAAGGAAGTCTTCTTCTATTCCTAATGTTCTAAAGGTTTTTTCTTTTTCATGGATAGACGCTAATTTATTTATTTATTTATTTATTTTTTGAGACAGAGTGTCACTCTGTCACCCAGGCTGGAGTACAGTGGCACGATCTTGGCTCACTGCAACCTCCGCTACCTGGGTTCATCCAATTCTCCTGCCTCAGCCTCTCAAGTAGGTGGGATTGATTACAGGTGTGGGCTACCACGCCCAGCTAATTTTTTTTGTATTTTTAGTAGAGACACGGTTTTGCCATGTTGGCCAGGCTGGTCTTGGTCTCCTGACCTCAAGCGATCCACCTGCCTCAGCCTCTCAAAATGCTGGGATTACAGGCATGAGCCACCACGCCTGGCCAATGCTAAATTTTATAACTGCCTTTTGCATATCTTTTGAGATGACCAAGTGATTTTTCTTCAATTTATATTGTTGTGACATATTATCTATTCTATATTCCTGAGATAAACACAGATTAACCATAATACATTACCTTTTATTTTTACATATTATTGGGTCCAATTTGCTAGTATTTTGTGCTAGCCTCATAAAAACAGTTGGGACATACTTCCTGTTTTTCTATTCTCTGAAAGAGTCTGTATAAGACTGAAATCATTATTTATTTATTTATTCATTTATTTTTGTATTTTTTTCTGGCAATGTTTGGCAGACTTGCCAGCAAAGCTATTTTTTGTTTGTTTGGTTTTGTGTTTTTGTTTGCTTATTTGCTTTTGCTAATCAGCTGACTTTAAGATTCACCAGTATAGCTATTTGAACTTTTAAGTTTTCTTTGTGAGAAGATTTTGACTATTGATCCATTTATTTTAATTGTTAGAGAATTATCCTGGTTTCCTATTCCTCAATCTGTATTGGTAATTTTCTAAGAATGTGTCCATTTTGTCTAAATTTTCTAACTTATTAAAAAATCCATATTTTACTTTTTTACTATAATAATGTCCCCCCTTTCATTTCTGCTATTATTTGTGCCTTCCTCTTTTTTTTTTTTTTTTTTTCGTTATCAGTCTCCCCTGCAAGTAGCAGTGACTCAGAGCCCCAGAATCAAGCACCACTTAAGCCTCCAGGGCACTCCTGCTGCCCTTTCAGATCAGATGCTTCTGCACAGATGTTTAGCGGGCCCTGAGTATGTCGCTTCGAGGCAAATGAGTTTCAGAAAGAATTAGGATGGGTCTCCACGGCACGTGTTACCTATGCAACAAACCTGCACGTTCTGCACATATACCCCAGAACTTAATATAATAAGTATAATAAAAAAAAACTAAAAGAATTAGGATGGGTCTTCTCTTTCATTCTCAGCGTTAGATGGTACCTACGCTATGCGGAGATGTGTATTATGTTTACCATTGTTAAGGAAATTGAGTTTTATGGAAGTTTTTTCTTTTTTGAGACGTAGTTTTTCTCCTGTTGTCCAGGCTGGAGTACAATGGTGCAATCTCAGCTCGCTGCAACCTCTGCCTCACGGGTTCAAGCAATTCTCCTGCCTCAGCCTCCCGAGTAGCTGGAATTACAGGCATGCGCCACCATGCCCGGTTAATTTTTTTTTTTTTTTTTTTTAGACGGAGTCTCGCTCTGTCGCCCAGGCTGGAGTGCAGTGGCACAATCTCGGCTCACTGCAAGCTCCGCCTCCCGGGTTCACGCCATTCACCTGCCTCAGCCTCCCGAGTAGCTGGGACTACAGGCGCCTGCCATCACGCCCAGCTAATTTTTTGTATTTTTAGTAGAGACGGGGTTTCACCGTATTAGCCAGGATGGACCCGGCTAATTTTGTATTTTTAGTAGAGACATGATTTCACCATGTTGGTCAGGCTGGTCTATGAACTCCTGACCCCAGGTGATCCGCCTGCCTCGGCCTCCCAAAGTGCTGGGATTACAGGCATGAGCCACGCCGCCCAGCAGGAAGTTAATATACGAAACCGAGATATACAGCTGATTAAACAGTAGAGCCCTAGGATTCTGGGGTGTTTTCCAACACCAACCATTTCTCTAATTCAACAGACAAAGTACGTATCTAATGATTCAATTTAATTCTGACACTAACTACCCAGAGTTAAGTTAGGGTAAGCAGTACCTCTGAGTTTCTTCATTTTAGTCTACTCTGCAACCAGCTACAGCTCTTAAATCTGAGGTAAGAGTGCCACTTACTGGTAGCCTCATCACAACGCAACTTGAAACCCGCTCACAAATTTAATTCTAAGTGCCAGTGGCATGCAAAAGAAAAAAGGCTCAGTACGGTATGCATATATTAAAACATTACATTGTACCTCACAAATAAATAATTTGTCAATTAAAAATAAAATAAAACTTAAGTGCTTTGTAGCCATTCTCCTATTTAATCCTTGGATTAATCCTATGAAGAAGCTTCTGTAATTTATATTTCTGTGATTTTTTATTAGTAGCTTTGTGAAAACACTCCAAAGTTTAGAATCCAATTACCTACATCATAGCCCACCAGCCAAATCCAGCCTGCTGTCTGATTTTGTACTCTCACATCTAAGAATAATTGTACATGCTAAATAGTTGGAAAAAATCAGAATAATTCACATATGAAAATTATTGAAATTCAAAATTCAATGTCCATATAGAAAGCTGTATTGGAACCGAGCTCTCTTGTTTATGCATTGTCTATGGCTGCTTTCGACCCACAGCAGTTGAGTAGCTGCAATGGAAACTGTACAGTCCTCAATGCCTAAAATATTTACTAATTGAATCTTTACAAAAGAGTTTGCCAATTCCTGACCTAGATTCCAACCTGAGCAAACCTAAACTCTAATCCTCAATTTTCATTACTCATAAAATGGGGATAATACCTACTAAGAGTTTTTAGGAAGATTAGAATTATAAGCACAGAATCTCCTTAAGATACTCATAGAAGTCTAAGCTAAGACATAAGCACCTTAATATGTTCAAAGGGAACTCATAGTTTCCATCTATAAATCTGTTCAGCCCAGTATCAAGTAGTATTTGCAAGCATGGATTTTAGGGTCAAAATATTGGCTCCACTCTTGGTTTCGCTACTTACTTACCTACGTGACTTAGTAACAACATGAGGGAATGGAGAGGCAATGAAGTATGAAGGTTGAGTGTTCAGGCTTGGAAAACTAGAATGCCTAGTTTCCATCCTGGCTTTGCCACCCACTAGTCAGTTAACCTTGGGTAAATTACATAACTTCTCTGAGCCTCCACTTCCACATCTGAAATATGAGTGTAAAAAGAATACTGATTTCATTCAGTAGTTGTAAGGCTAAAATGACTTTATTTATACAAAGAGATTAAAACATTGCCAGCAACTTACAGCCATAAATACCATCAGATTTAGAAGGTTCTTCACAGGATTGTTCTAAGGATTAAATAAGAGAACAGCTACAAAGCACTTAGCACCATTTGCAGTACTTAGAAATCTATCAGAGTACAGCTAGTACCCTTCCTACTGATTCTCTGTATTTTAGTAAAATCTGATGAGAAATCAATTGCAAACATAATTTCTCATCAGATTTCAGATAAAAACCCAATTCCTTCCCTTGGTTCTCTAAATCATGCACATCTGTCCTCCACCTGCTTCTGAAGCTCCAACCTCCTCCCTCACCATATTGCAGCCATAGTAGCCTTTCTCATCCAAATTATGCCAACTTTCTATCTCCTCATGAGATATTTGCACCTGCCGTTCCCAGTAACCTCAGGGCTCAGTGCATGAGTTGAAGCTGCCTTTCTTTATGTTTTTGAGACATGGTCTCACTCTGTCACTCAAGCTGGAGTGCAGTGGCATGACTGTGGCTCACTGCAGCCTTGACCTCCTGGACTCCAGTGTCCCTTCTACTTCAGCCTCTGGAATGGCTGGAACCCGTCATGTGCCATCACATCCAGCGAATTTTTAAATATTTTTGTAGAGATGGGGTCTCCCTATGTTGCCCAGGCTGGTCTCGAACTCGTGGACTCAAGTGATACTCCTGCCTCAGTTTCTCAGTGATGGGATCACAAGTGTGAGTCACCGTGCCTAGCAAAGTTGCCTTCTAAATTCCTTAACAAATGTGAGGTTAGGCATGGTGGCTCACACCTGTAATCCCAGCACTTCGGGAGGCTGGAGGATTACTTGAGCTCAGGAGTTTGAAACCAACCTGGGCAACATAGTGAGACCTCATCTCTACTTAAAAAGAAAAAAAAAGTTTTAGGCCGGGCATGGTGGCTCACGCCTGTAATCCCAGCACTTTGGGAGGCCAAGGCAGGTGGATCACGAGGTCAGGAGATCGAGGCCATCCTGGTCAACATGGTGAAACCTCTTCTCTACTAAAAATACAAAACTTAGCTGGGCATGGTGGTGCACGCCTGTAGTCCCAGCTACTCGGGAGGCTGAGGCAGGAGAATCACTTGAACCAGGGAGTTGCAGGTTGCAGTGAGCCAAGATTGCGCCACTGCACTCCAGCCTGGTGACAGAGTGAGACTCCATCTCAAAAAAAAAAAAAAAGTTTTAAAAGACAAAAAAAAATGTACACATTCCTTGAAAAGGGAAGATAATGTGGACAAGGTGCTTTGAACAGGCAATAGGAACATAACTGGAAGCAAGATTCTTCTGAAGGTGCTGTAATGGCTGAGTGGTTAAGACACAAACTTATCACCTTCAAAAATTAACTCGTCTTATTATCTTTCTTACATTTTCCTTCGCCCTTCCCACACATCCAACAGTTAAACTAGTATCAGGCAGAGTGCAGACCACAGTAAGTATTCATCAAATGAATATCATGAATAAATGAATAGCTGGGGAAAAACTACTCTCATAAAGGGAATACAAATTTGTACAATCCGTTTATGTTTGTTATTTATATTAAGTTCACATGTGCCTGATTTGTAGTAGATCTCTCGTTATCGTTAGCTCAGCACCGCTTCCTTCCTCTGAGAGACAGACTGACTCTTCCATAAATAGACATAGCGGGGACTGTGAAATTCTTATGGGATCCAAGTCCCAGTTGATTTGCCCAGTTGCAATCAAGTATACAACCCCTAATTCCTCATGTCTAGCTCGTTAATTAACCTCCCCTCATTTTTTTTAAGTTTGCATTTGAGAGGGAACTCCCAGACAGTGGTAAACATAGAAATACTTAACCCTTAGGAACTGTCAGCTGCCATGTTCTCCACCTACATCATTAAAGAAGTTCATCTGTAAAGAGAATGAAGCTAACAGGAAAGATGGTCTCCAGGGCTACTAACTTAAAACTTCATCCACTTTCTGACCTTCTCATGGTTTATATATTCAACTTATCCTTCAATCAACATATCCCATATCCTTTCTTTTTTTAATTAAATTGTAAGAGAGAGAAGGTCTCACTATGTTGCCCCCATTGGTCTCAAATTCCTGAGCTCAAGTGATCCTCTCACATCAACCTCCCAAAGCACTAGGATTATAAGTGTGAGCCACCGTACCCAGCCCATACCCCATATCCTTTATATAAATTCATCTTTTTGCTTAAATTAGTTCAAGTAGGGTTTTTGTCAGCAGTAACAGAGCACTGATTAATGCAACATTCTGTAACCACTGCACAAGAGAATCATCTTCTGATTTCTTAAAACCAATGCTAGTACCCCAGTCCAAAAAATGAAATCAGAATCTCCGCAGTGTGGGACCTGGGCATTAGTCATTTCAAAAGCTGCTTAAAAAGGTGATCCTTCCAGATATTTCACTTCAATGAATCAATCTTTCAAGAATATTCATTATAAGTAGGTGTGCAGAGATATATTTTAACACAAGATTAAAAAGACCTTATATAAGGCCACTAGAGCTTTTTTTTCATTCCACTCTAATAGCAAGAGTTCATATCAGAACACTTTAGGAATTTATGTCAGGTCCTAGTCACAGACCTGCAAGATCAGATCCTCCCCAATGGCATTTTTTTTTCTAATTTGTTGTAGAGACACGGTCTCACTATGTTGCCTAGGCTAGTCTCAAACTCCTGACCTAAAACCATCCTCCTACCTCAGCCTCCCAAAGTGCTGGGATTACAGGCATAAGCCACTGTGCCTGGCCCCCCAGTGGCATTTTAATCCCTCAACGCCCCTCCCCCCAACACACACACGTTCATATATAAGTAGTGTTGTGGCTCTTATGTGATTCTGTTTTTTACATGCAAAGATTTTCAAAGTGGCCAAAAACTGGTTTTGCACCTCAACCCAACACCTTCCTCAAGGTTCTCAGAGTCAAAGAAAGAGAATTTTCTTTGGAGAGTTGTTCAAGTGCTAAGCAATTTCCACCTTTCTCCCTCACAAGGTGATGCTCCCTACTTCAATTTAAGCTTGAGAGCCTGAACTATGTCCTCTGGAGTCTCTGAGGCCCAAAGGTCTATACCAAACACATTACGTACCAGAAAAAAACAAAAGTTGAGACTAGCCAACCAACTGCCTATCTGATAAAGAAGTGTCTACCTAGGGATAACTTACAGTCCCTGGATCTGTGAAAGCACAGCATGCACATTTCATAGAGAACTGACCTATAGTCATACATATATACATACATACACATATATATATATATTTTAGACAGAGTTTTGCTGTCACCCAGGCTGGAGTGCAGTGGCACGATCTCGGCTCACTGCAACCTCCACCCCTTGGGTTCAAGGAATTCTCGTGCCTCAGCCTCCCGAGTAGCTGGGATTACAGGCGCCTGCCACTATGCCCGGCTAATTTTTGTATTTTTAGTACAGACGGGGTTTTGCCATGTTGGCCAGGCTGGTATCAAACTCCTGACCTCAAGCAATCCACCCACCTCAGCCTCCCAAAGTGCTAGGATTACAGGCATGAGCCACTGCGCCAGGCCCCTTATAATCATTTTAATGTGAACTTTGCTAGCTCTAGGACCAATGAAAGTTTAAGTGAGCAAATCCCTATGCTAGAAACCAGGGGCTAAGGAAGAAATAAAAAAGTAGACATCTGGGGAAAGGCATTGCCTCTCAATGGTTCTTTTTTGTTTTTGAGATGGAGTTTCGCTCTTGTTGCCTAGGCTGGAGTGCAATGGTGCAATCTCAGCTCACCACAACCTCTGCCTCCCAGATTCAAGTGATTCTCCCTGCCTCAGCCTCCCGAGTAGCTGGGATTACAGGCATGCGCCACCAAGCCCAGCTAATTTTGTATTTTAGTAGAGATGGGATTTCCCCATGTTGGTCAGGCTGGTCTCGAACTCCTGACTTCAGGTGATCCACCAGCCTCAGCCTCCCGAAGTGCTGGGATTACAGGAGTGGGCCACTGCACCCAGCCTCAATGTTTCTTAATCTTGAGCATGTATCATAATCACATAGGCTTCTTAAAATACAGCTTGCTGGGACCTACACCCAGAAGTTTCTGGTTCAAAAGGTCTGGGATGGAGCCAGAGAACCCTCATTTATTTTTTATTTTTCTGAACCTACGGATTATACTAAAACTTTTATTTCTAGTAAGTCCCCAAGTGATACCAATGCTGCTGGTCCAGGACCACACACTTTAAGAACCACGGGCCTACATTAAGAAAACGGCAGGCAGAGATCCTCAGACACAAGGTCAACTCTCCACTAACACCTTGGTGGAAGAGCAGATGGACAGTCGGGGGAAGAAGAGAAGAAAGTGCTCATATAAAGTCCAATTAGCTAGGGGCAGAGTGGAGTTACTGAAAGGAAGACTTAGTCCTCACGGTCATTCAAAGAACCAGACTGACAATCTTTGCCATCTTCGGTGGCTTCCAAACTTATCCTGGATACGACCGTCCAACCAGCAGCTGGGAGAAGAGAATGGAGGATCATGCAAGAAATGTTTATGGGGCAAGCCTGGATTCCTATGCCCACATTTCACCGCCTACGACTTAGTCATATGTTCTCACAGAGATGCTGGGAGTAGGGAAATGTCCCTGGCTGGATTGCCACATCTTGACAACATATCTTCAAAGAGCAAGAATCTTTGGTAGACACCTAGCAGTCTCTGCCATCAAACCCCTTTCCCATTGTGGACTTAAACAAGTCTGAGCTTAGCTTTAAAGAAAATGTATAGCTAATGACACAGACATCTTAATTACTAAAATTAATGTCTGTAACTTAAAGTGACCAAAGGACTTATTACCTGAGTGACTGGAAAAAAAAACAACAATTTATGGGACTTCCCTGCAAGAGTCCATTCAGGATAGGGAGAAAAGACTGAGCTAGTGGGTTTACAGAAGCAGTCATGAGGAAAAAATGAAGTTTCTATTTTATAACTCTACTGGGCTCCTCTCTATCAACATGTTATGCTACTTTTTGGAGCTTAAGCAAAATTTTTAATGGAATAAGTCTAAAGATTTCATAGTTTTACATGTAGAGAGCTTAATATCCATTTATCTATCATTCTTAAAGCAAATGCTAAATCCCCTTTTCAAAGACGAAAACTTTGCTATTATTGAGGTTATCATCAAAGTTTTACTGCAACTCTAAAACATAGGAATGTCCCATACAACAGCAGCTAACACTTTGCTTTTTAAAGTGATTCTTCTTAGTGCAGGGACACTCATTTGTCTATGCTTGTTATACAGCGAAATTACTGCCTATGACATCTCATAATTGAAAAATTTGGAGTCAAGATTAAAGCTGTTTACATTTTTAGTGAAACTTCTCTTAAGACTGTCCAAAAGAAAATGAACTAATATATGATGCTATTATCAAAAGGAAAAAAAGAAAAAGAAACATCTTTCATGGTCTTTCATTCATCTCATCAATTAGGACACACAAGGCAGCATCTTTCTCTATAATCTGATCTCTCCTATGACCTGAATTTTCTCTTTGATGTTCATTCTGTCCAGTACAATTGTTGCTATCATCAGCATCCATTGGTTCAGTTTTTACTCTCATTCCTGCTTCTGAATGAGGCAAATCATCAGGCAAAGAAGCCAAGCAATTCTGAATCATTTCAATTACTCGTTCCAGGTGCTTTTGAAATCTCTCAGCTGTTTCAAGCCGTTGACGTTTCTGGACCTCCATCATGACTCTCAAGGTCTCTCTTGCTTGGTGGGGTCGGTATTCATTTATAAGATGATGCACGTGTACAAAAAGCAGCTTAAGATCTTCTAGTTTCTCTTCTCGTTTTATACTCCCAGGGCTCCTTATTAAAATATCTAAAAGGTCCAAGAAATTAATAAGGATAGACATATTAAGTTTTCTCAGTTCTTTCTTGTGATCAAACTGCATAGGATGAAGCCGTTCGATGCCCTGACTTTCCAAAGGGCGGATGATAAGATCATCACATTGGAACTGATTGCCAAACATCATGTAACTGTCTTTTATTGGAGGGGGAGGCTTGGGAGCTAAGCCTTCTTGAATATTTTCATCCGTATATTCCTTGATATATTGCATTGGAGGTGGTGGAAGTGCACTCACTTGCTGTGGTTCACCCATTGTGGACTATCAAGAACCTATGGACACAGACCAAAGATTTATTAGAGCCACAAGACAAACCTGTTACATTTCATAACTACAGATGGAATATTTTCTTCCTTTTCTTCCAGCAGTTTGGGGCCGAAGACAAGATGATCTCCTTGGTTTCTAAAACTAACATTTATGATAGGGAAAGTCTGCCATCTTTTCTAAGTAGGCATTATATTCTCAACCATTCACATATTTTCCATTCTCTCTCTAATAATTTCATCAGCATTAAAAAATATGTAGCATCCTCTCATCTCTAAAGAAAATCTTCTGGACTCCATGCCCCTCACCACTTATGCCCCATTTCTTTACTCTTCCATAACCAAACTACACAGGCTGTCTCCCAATCTCATATCACAATCACTTTTGTTTTATGTTATAGATTTATTTCCAATAGCAAACACTTACTTGTATCTCTCATAAACACTCTGACAAAATTAACATTGCTAAATCCTAAACACATTATTATCCAAAGTTCCTGAATGAAATGATGATTCAGTTCCATACCCTTTTTGTCACAGTATACTATGCAATTTTATATGGACACATTAACTTTTGTTTGTTTTTTGAGATGGAGTCTTGCTCTGATGTCCAGGCTAGAGTGCAGTGGTGCAATCTCAGATCTCAGCTCACTGCAACCTCCGCCTCCTGGGCTCAAGCAATTCTCCTGCCTCAGCCTCCTAAGTAGATGGGATTACAGGCGTGCACCATGTCTGGCTAATTTTTGTATTTTTAGTAGAGACGGGATTTTGCCATGTTGGCCAGGTTGGTCTCTTTACTCCCCATCTCAGGTGATCCGCCCACCTTGGCCTCCCAAAGTGCTGGGATTACAGGCGTGAGCCACCACGCCTGGCCTGTATGGACACATTAACTTCTCTACAACTATCACAGAAATGTCAAACCCCAGGTTCAAACCCAGTATCTATGGCCATAATAACCTCTACTTATTCTACCTTAAGCCTAGGTATACCATCCAATGAGAAGATCCTTAAGTGCTCCTTTAGATTGGTGTTATCAGAGTTTCAAGATATAACACACTCTAACATCGGGTGGGGCAAGTATCCTACTAGAAGCAATATTATACTTAGAATTCGTGAGGTACTGAGGGCAGCTGTGGCGCAGCCCTGAGTTTCCACTATGCCACAGTGGTGCATAGGATGATGCAGCCTCGCCCTCCTAGGCTCAAGCGATCCTCCCACCTCAACCTCCCAAGCAGCTGGGACTACAGGCATGTCACCAAGCCCGGCTAATTTTTGTATATTTTGTAGAGACAGAGTTTTGCCATGTTACTCAGGCTTGTTTCAAACTCCTGAGCTCAAGCAATCCTCCTGCCTTGGCCTCCCAAAGTGCTGGGATTACAGGCGTGAGCCACCACACCCAGACATTTTAAAACTTTTAACATAAATTCAGATTACAGAAAAAGTGCATGAATACACAAAAAACACTTCATATTCTTCACTCAGATTCTCCAAATGTTAACATTTTCCTTCATTTGCTTTATTGGTTTTTCATTCCTTTACCCCTGAATACTTCAGTGTGTTTTCTCGTGACAAGAATGTTTTCTTCTACCCAAAGCACAATTACCAAAATCAAAGAATTAACAGTGATCTGGTACTTCAAAATACATTTTTTTTTTCCCTGAGACAGTGTCTCGCTCTGTCACCCAGGTTGGAGTGCAGTGGCACGATCTCGGCTCACTGCAAGCTCGGACTCCCGGGTTCACGCCATTCTCCTGCCTCAGCCGCCTGAGTAGCTAGGACTACAGGCGCCCGCCACGACGCCCGGCTAATGTTTTCTATTTTCAGTAGAGACGAGATTTCATCGTGTTAGCCAGGATGGTCTCGATCTCCTGACCTCGTGTTCCACCTGCCTCGACCTCCCAAAGTTCTGGGATTACAGGCGTGAGCCACCGTGCCCGGCAGAAAATACAATTTTTGACAGCTCACGTTTCATCCCACTCAAACCTTTTTAGGTGAGGAGTGCTGCTCTGTACTTTCCTACACGATGTGCATTCCTGTATTGCGGCTGCCATTTTCCTAAGGCCAACTACATGACAGGTACCATTTTTTATGGCCTCTGTAACATAATCTTCATTAACAATTCTATGAATTAAGGTTTTTGGGGTTTTTGTTGTTAGTTTTGTTTTTTGAGACAAGGGCTCAATCTGTCTCCCAGGCTGGAGTGCAGTGGTACCATCAGGGCTCACTGCAACCTCTGCCTCCCGGGTTCAAGGGATTCTCCTGCCTGAGCCTCCTGAGTAGCTGGGGACTACAGGTGCGCACCACCACGCCCAGCTAATTTTTGTATTTCTCGGTAAAGACAGGTTTTCACCATGTTGGCCAGGCTGGTCTGGAACTCCTGACCTCAAGTGATCCGCCCACCTCGGCCTCCCAAAGTGCTGGGATTACAGGCGTGAGCCACCACACGGTCCCACGAATTAAGTTCTATTATCAATTTCATTTTAGAAGTGAGGATCCGAAGTCTCAATGAGGGGAAGTGTTGCCCCAGATCAAAAGGTTAATAAATGGCACAACAGGAATTCTTATCCCAGGTCCCTTTAGCTCCAAAGGGCAAGCTCTCTTATATCCCTAAGCCGAGAAGCATCTAACTGTACAATAAGGACTGGCATATCACAAAAATTATATTTCTTTCTCTACTGTCTCTCTAGATGGAACTTTTCAAAGGTGATGGAGGTCTTATTTTTAATAAAAGCAGAGCCAAGCATCAGAGCTGGTTCTTAACTCAAGATCCAACATCTAGTGTTTGTTCTACTGGGGGAGAAGGAGCTTCACCAGAAGACGACAGACATTCCAGGGTCCCAGCCCCAGAGATTTGATTCATTCTGTCTACTGTGAATGGGCCCTAGAATGTCGCTTTTAAAACCTCTCCAGATGGACCTGACGATTAGGCTTGGGATCTACCGCCCTCGCCTGCCCCCATACCTCAGCTGTTTCATAACTGCTCCCAGAAGAAGGAAGGGCAGGGAGGGCTACTCTCATGTTACAAAGAGCCGGAGAGGGCAAATGACTCGCCCAAGGCCACACAGCTTAGAAAAACAGCGGCGCGGGGACTAGACGCCAGGTCTCCCAACCTCCACTCCGGCTCGGCGTCCCAACACGGAGGAAGCCCCGAGACTGCCACGCTTAGAGCCCCCTCCTCCAGGCTGTCCACCCCGAGGCCTCCGCGCTCTCGGAGAGACCGCACTCTCGGAGAGACTCGGGAGAGAAAGACGAAAGACCGCCTTTGGAGGCCGAACTCAGCCATGCCTCCCCAGTTCCCAGCCCAGCACAGAGGAAGCTGCGGGGTCCGGAAGAAAAAAACGCACACAGGCGGCGGCCCCAAACCGTTGCCGCCCACTTACCTCAGCTCTGGCTTTACACTGGTAGCCGCCTTCCCCTCTGCAGCCGAAACCAACTTCCGGTCTCCTCCGGGAAGAAGCCACCGACTCTGTCCTTGATTGGCTGTAAGAGCTGTCCTTTAACGAAATTCTAGCTCCGCCTCAGACCGATCCCTCGCTGTTGCGCCTACGTATGTTTGACTCCTCCCATCCACCCGTTACTGACTTTTAAAAGTCGTAGCTGAGGGTTCCGTTTCTTCGTTTCTTTTTGAATTAAGGCATAAAATTGAACAAGACACCTTATTGCTTTATTTTTTATAGACCCCTTATTGACCAGAAACAATCTTATGTTTTAATGTTTAACATGCTCTTGTAAGACTTAACGTGAATTTAGAAATTTATGACACGAAAATAACCTCCAAAAGAAACGCTTGCTATTGCGCCTGCGTATATTCCACCCCCTTCCCCATTACCACTCTTTTACTGACTTAGTCGCTGCTGGTAGTTCCATTCCTTTTGTCCTTTTTTAATTTAACGCATACAATTAAGACGTCTTACATACAAATTCGAAAATATAGACATGCAGGGTTTTTTTGTTGTTTTTTTCTTTGAGACGGAGTCTTTCTCTTTCGCCCAGGCTGGACTGCAGTGGCGCGATTTCGGCTCGCTGCAACTTCAGTCTCCGGGATTCAAGCGATTCTCGTGCCTCAGCCTCCCGAATAGTTGGGGTTTCACCTATTTTTTTTTCTTTTTTTTGTATTTTTGGTAGAGACAGGGTTTCACCGTGTTGGCGAGGCTCATCTCGAGCTCTTGATATGAAGTGATCCGCCCGCCTCGGCCACCCAAAGTGCTGGGATTGTAGGCGTGAACCACCACTTCCGGACTCCCCCATTTTAAATCCCTCGCACGTATCAATTTATTTCCTGAAGAAATCCATCTACGTTGAGCATAACCCAATCCAGCTTTTCTCCTCACCGCTGACCCCAATGTATCCTGCACCAGTGACTTCCAATGGTCGTTCCCAGTCCTCATTTTACTCCATCTGTCAGCAGCATTTGGCACATTTGATTAATGGATTGCCCCAGGACTCAGTTCTCCAACCACTTCTCAGTCAGATATCAGCTGGATGATTACATGCAGGCCCTGGAACACCGTTTCCTCTGCACTTCAGACCCTCATATCCAGTGGTGACAGACATCTTTCCCCAGTTGCACTTTACTCAATTGCAAATGTTCAATCGAAGGAATCACCTTTTTCTCCTTTCTCACATACCCCACCGAAACTACCATACCAGCCTTTTGCATTAGATCTATTTAAAAATAAGTAAATAAAGTTCCAAATATGACTGACCACCGTTCCCACTGCTATGGTCCTATGCCATGCCACCATTATCTCTCACCTGGACTTCTTTGATTTTTTGTCCTCCCTTAGTCTATTTACCACACCTTCTTAAAATATAAGACCGGTCTTATCACTCCTCTATTCAAAATCCTCCAAGGCTTTCTATGACTTTTAGAATAAAATCTGACATCCTTCCCCTGGCCTATATCACAGGCCCTACAAAATTGCCAAGTACATCCCGGCCTTGGGGCCAATGCATTTGCCTGGAACTCTTTGCACAGATATTGACACGTCTCATTTCCTTCTTTCCTTTTTTTTTTTTTTTTTTTTTTTTTTTTTTTTGAGACGAAGTCTTGCTCTGTCACCCAGGCTGGAGTGCAGTGGCCCAATCTCGGCTCACTGCAAGCTCCACCTCCCAGGTTCACGCCATTCTCCTGCCTCAGCCTCCCCAGCAGCTGGGACTAGAGGCACACGCCATCACGCCCAGCTAATTTTTTTGTATTTTTAGTAGAGACGGGGTTTCACCGTGTTAGCCAGGATGGTCTGAATCTCCTGACCTCGTGATCCGCCCGCCTCGGCCTCCCAAAGTGCTGGGATTATAGGCGTGAGCCACCGCGCCCGGCTTCATTTCCTCAATTCATTCAGGTTTCTGGTCAAATGTGACTTCAAAGAGTTCTTCTGGGGTTACACTACTCTATGCAAAATAGCGCATCCCTAATCTTTCTCTTGGGAGATGCCCCTGAAACCCTTACTATGTATTATCTTTTTTTCATAGAACCTCTCATCATCTGAAATCATCTTACATAGTATATTTATGTATTTTATTGCCTTTCTTATCCATCAAAAATATCAGGTTTATGAGCATGGGACCTTTGTTTCATTTACTGCTGTTGTGTTTGAACCTACATACAACGGTGCCTGAAATTGGCAAATACTCAATAAGTGTTTATTGAATAAGAAACAAAATGAATACAATCATCACTTTCAAATAAATTCATAGCGTGGCTTTGGTGGTTATACCACAGTCTCTTTAGCCAGATCCTCATTGTGTTAAATTATTTTTCTCCAAATTTGATCCAGTGTAACTACACAGGATGATGAGATCCCAGTACATATATGTTTGTGCATGTGTCCAATTTTGTTCTTTGAAATAAATTTCTAGAAATAGAATTACTGGGCCCAAAGGGGCAGTGTCTTAACAGTTAGTAGCAGAATCAAGGCTAGAATCTTGGACTCTTGACTATCAATCTAGTGTTCTTTCCAATAAACTTCAAATGAATAATGGATATGAAGTCCATATCATGAGAAGGGCTAGTGACAATATGATGTGTGTTAAACATTTAATTATATGACTATATTGGCAAAATCTCAATGGAAAGCTTATTACTTAAAGATGCCTACTACAGCTTAACAAGGAATATGCTCGTTGAATAAATCTGTATATTGTGTGTCTGTTGTGCCGGCACTGGTCTAGAAGGCTAAAAAGACAGACAAAAGCCAGTGGGGCCTTTGAAAAAAGTGTTCTTTCTAGAAGGTGTTCTAGAGAGACACAGACAAGAAGTATACAAACAAGTAAAAACTTCGAATAGTGGTAAGGGCTATGGGGGAAAGTATAATACAGATTAATGTGATAGTGACGTGGGTTGGGGAATAGCTACTTTACACAGGGTGGTCAGGGTAGCCTCTCACAGAAGGTTAACTTTGGAAACAAAATATGAAGGAGTGAATTCTGCAGAGATCTGGGAGACAGCAAATGCAAAGAGCGTGGGGCTGCCATGATCTTTCTGAATTAGAGAGAGGAAGGCAGCCTGTGTGCTCCATAGCTAGTGAGCAAAGAAAGAAAGAGCAGGGGAGATGAAATGGGCAAAGACACACGGTAACCGACTTCTTGCCTCCCTTAGGATCTTGGCACATTATAAAAAACATCGCTGTCATTTGAACCTAAATTACAAGCAGAAATTTTTAGTTTCCACCCTATTGATTTTTTAAAATGTAGATTTATTGAGGGATACTTTACATAGAATAAAATTAACTCTAGGTGAATAGTTATAAGAGTTTTGATAAATACATACTGACATAAAACCACTACCACCCGGATTAAGATGTAGAATATTTCATCACCCCAAACAACTTTTTTTTATTTCAATTCCTTCCCTTTATCCCCATCCTCTAGTAACCACTGATCTGATCCCTGTTCATATAGTTTTACCTTTTGCAGAATGTCATATAAATGAAATTAGAAAGTATGTAGTTTTTGGTGTCTGGTTCCTTTCACTTAGCATAATACTTTTGAAGTCCATCAATGTTGTTCAATGTATAATACTTTGTTCCTTTTTACAGATAAGGAATATTCCATTGTATGAATATACTGTAATTCATGTATCCATTCACTGGTTAATAGACATTTGGGTTATTTCAGTTTGAGGTGATTCTTAACAAAGATACTATAAACATTCCCATGCAAGTCAATTGTATGGACATATGTTTTCATTTCTTTTGGATAACAACATAGTGACAAAATTGCTGGACATTATAATAATTATATGTTTAACTATATGAGAAACTACCAAGCAGTTTTCTAAAGAGGCTGCTTATTTTTCATTTCTCAGCAATCTATCGGAGGTATAGTTGCCCTCAATCTGCAAATTGGTGTTATCCTTTTAATTTTTACTTTTTGCTATTCTAATATCTGTATAATGATTTTAATTTGCATTTCCTTAGTATTGGGTATCTTTCATGTGTTTACTGGCCATGTATATCTTTTCTTTGGCGAACTGTCTGTTCAAAATTTTTGCCCATTTTTTAAATTGGCATGTTTTCTTACTATTGAATTGTAAGGGTGCACACACACAAATACACACAAGATATAAGTCCTTGATAAGATATGTCTTTTACAAATATTTTCTCCTAGTCTGTGGTTAATCATTTCATTTTTTAAGTGTCTTTCAGCAAGCAGAGTTTTTTTATTTTGATGATGACAAGTTTATCAATTATTTTATTTTATGGCTCATACTTTTTGTGTCCTTTCCAAGAATCTTTGCCTAACTCAAAGTCAAAGATTTTTCCTCTGTTTTCTTCTACAAGTTTTCTAATTTTAAGTTTTACGTTTAGGTCTATGATCCTTTTGGGGTTAATTTTTGTATTTGATGCCCAGTAAGGGTCAAAACTCCTTTTATTTGTTTATTTATGCTTATAGAAGTCGAATTGTTACAGCAACTTGTTGATTTTGTTGGCCTTACTACCTCTGTCATTGGTAGGCAGGTTTATAGATAGTAATCCCTGAGCGTCTGTTAGTCAGTTACATTGTATCTTTGGCTTGCTGATCAGCCCGGCAGAATCATTGGAAGATAGCAAGTAAAAATTTTTATCTCCAAGCTGGGCATGGTGGCATGCACCTGGGGTCCCAGTTACTTGGGAGGCTGAGGTAGGAGGATTGCTTGAGCTGATATAGCGCCACTGTACTCCAACCTGAGCAACAGAGTGAAACTCTGCCAAAAAAAAAAACGGAAAAAAAAAGGCTGGGCATGGTGGCTCACGCCTGTAATCCCAACACTTTGGGAGGCCGAGGCAGGCACATCACCTGAGGTCAGGAATTCGACACCAGCCTGACCAACATGGAGAAACCTCTACTAAAAATACAAAATTAGCCAGGCATGGTGGCACACGCCTGTAATCCCAGCTACTCAGGAGACTGAGGCAGGAGAATCACTTGAACCCGGGAGGCAAAGTTTGCAGTGAGCCAAGATCGCACAATTGTCCTCCAGCCTGGGCAACAAGAGTGAAACTCCGTCTCAAAAAAAAAAAAAAAAGAAAAGAAAAGAAAAGAAAAATTTCATCTCCAGTCCCTGTTTCTTCCTGATTTTTATAAGCTCATATACTGTATATGGTTTTAACGATGCACTTTTTTTTTTTTTCTTTCTGGAGACAAGCTCTTACTGTGTCACCCAGGCTGCAGTGCAATGGTGTGATCTCGGCTCACTGCAGCCTCTGCCTCTCAGGTTCAAGTGATTCTCCTGCCTCAGCCTCCTGAGTAGCTGGGACTATAGATGCACACCATCACGCCCAGCTAATTTTTTTACTTTTATAGAAACGGGGTTTCACCATGTTGTCCAGGCTGGTCTTGAACTCCTCACTTCAGGTGATCCACCTGTAGCAGGAAGAGCCGCAGACAAAACTCCTCAGACACCGGATTAAAGAAGGAAGAGGTTATTTATTCAGCCAGGAGCGTCGGCAGACTTGTGTCTTAGGAGCCAAGCTCCCCGAAAAAGAAATTCTCGGCCTTTTTAAAGACTTACAACTTTAAGGGGTCCATGTGAAAGAGTCGTAATACATCAAGCAAGCGTGGGAAACGTGACTGGGGGCTACATGCATCAGCTAACAGAACAAAAAGTTTTACAATGCTTTTTTCATGCAGTGTCTGGAATTTACAGATAACACAAGTAGTTTAGGTCAGGGGTTGATGTTATTGTTACTTTTTTTAACTCCTAGGGCTGGGTGGTGTTGCCAAGGTTGTCTGGCTATTTATCTTACTTTTGTTTTTTTCCAACTTTTTGCTTTTTCTCTCTTTCCTCCTGTCTTGTGAACTAGGCAAGGTGAGGGGAGGAAGGCAGCAGGAGTAGTAGTGGTCTCCTGCCTTATACCCACCTTGACCTCCCGAAGTGTTGGGATTACAGGCATGAGCCACCGTCCCCGGCCTTAATGATGCACTTTGGATGAGAGTCATTGCTAATGTATTTTTTTTCTGCAGTCTGCAGTATAGTTTCAATTCCTAATCACTATTTTTTTGTTGTTGTTACTTCATGGCTGCTAATGACCTTATCACTAAAACGTCAACAATCCAGATCTGTGTGCAGCACATGGGTGGGGAGAGTGCTTGTGGTTTGCTTTGCCTACAGCATTTTTTCTTACCAGCAGGGGGAGCAGCAACCTTGGCATTTGGAAATAATCCCCAGCTTAAACTTTTCTATGGGAAAGATTTGTGTCTTGCATATTGGGTCCTCCTGAGTTGTTACTTGCAGGCTGAAGAACCTAAAATGAATTTGTAATCCTACAAAAAGGCAGGTAAGCCCTTTTGAATTTGTTGTAGCTGTTACTATTAAAATCTACATTTACCTTATGTGGAATTTCACCAGAGGAAAAAAATAGCCATGCCATCATCATACCTGTTCTTTGAATTATCACAAAATATACCCATTACGGCCGGGCACGGTGGCTCACGCTTGTAATCCCAGCAGTTTGGGAGGCTGAGGTAAGTGGATCACCTAAGATCAGGAGTTGGAGACCAGCCTGGCCAACATGGCGAAACCCTGTCTCTACTAAAAGTACAAAAATTAGCCAGGCGTGGCTGTGTGTGCCTGTAATCCCAGCTACTCGGGAGCCCGAGGCAGGAGAATCGCTTGAACCCAGGAGGCAGAAGTTGCAGTGAGCTGAGATTGCAGCATTGCACTCCAGCCTGGGCAACAGAGCAAGACTCCGTCTCAACAACAACAAAAAATAACTGTTTTATTGATTTATTGATTGATTGATTTTCTATACACTCCCTAAAGGATCTGGGCTCTGTCCGATCCATTTAAGTTCCCGCTTTAAGATCCATCTCAAAGATGGTCTTCTCCAAAAGGTTTCTCTCAGTTCACCCAAATAAAAATTACCTCTCACCAACTCAAAGCCTCTTTCCTTTACTTCTTACAGCACTCCTCTAGCTGAAGTTGTAATTATGCGCCTGTTTTATTTCTATGGCTGTAGCTAAGTTCCTGACTTATCTGGGCATCCCCTTAACAATCCCTGGAATTACCTCACACATGGCCAATGTTGAATATATTTTTGTTCAAAGACAGATTTGAGCAAAAGCAAAAGAAAGAAGAAAAAAAATCTCCTGAATGGTGTGTGTACAAATGTGAACTACCTGCTTTCAGTGTAGCTTCATATCAGGATCAAGACTAAGTGGAGGTGTGTAAGGAACACGCCTCATGCACAAAATTAAGGAGGAGCAAACTCAGTAATCAAGATAAATAATATCGGCTGGGCGCGGTGGCTTACGCCTGTAATCCCAGCCCTTTGGGAGGCTCACGCAGGAGAATTGCTTGAACCTGGGAGGCGGGGGTTGCGGTGAACTGAGATCGCACCATTGCACTCCAGCCTGGGCAACAAGAGCAAAACTCCGTCTCAAAAAAAAAAAAAAGATAAATAATATCTTAACACAATATTTTAAATTAAAAAATTAAGGGAAAAACTCATGATCTACAAAATATTACAATTTCTTTTCAGCTCTCGCAACTTCCACCTCCTTGGTTCAAGTGATTCTCCTGCTTCAGCCTCTCGAGTAGCTAGAATTACAGGCATGCGCCACCATTCCCGACTAATTTTGTATTTTTAGTAGAGACGGGGTTTCTCCATGTTGGTCAGGCTGGTCTCGAACTCCCAACCTCAGGTGATCCGCCTGCCTCGGCCTCCCAAAGTGCTGGGATTACAAGTATGAGCCACCACTCCCAGCCAAAATATTACAGTTTAAATAAAGACAGGATTAGTAGTTCACATACCACCATTTAGAGAAGAGAGGTTTTTCATGAAACTGTAAAAGGCCAGAATTATTTTCCCGAGGGTATGGGTGGTAGTGCCCTCTTAGACAGGATTTTAAAGTTTAATGATGCATTTATTCACCCCCAATATATATATTATATATCATATATATTTTAATATAGATTTGTAATGTATATTAAAATATACATTACAAAAATACAATATATTTATATATTATATAAATTATATATTATGTATTATATATTTTATATTATATATAATGTATTTATATAATTATATATTCTGTATTTTTATATATTATATATCTTTGGCGAATGGATGTATTTATTAGGAAATAAATATTTTGAGAAAGGGTCTCACTCTGTCGCCCAGGCTGTAGTGCAGTGGCAGGATCTCAGCTCACTGCAACCTCTGCCTCCCAGGCTCAAGTGATTCTCCTACCTCAGCCTCCCGAGTAGCTGTGACTACTGGCATGTGCCAACACGCCCAGCTATTTGGATATTTCTTGTAGAGACAGGGTTTTGCCATGTTCCCCAGGGTGGCATTCACCCAATATTTATTGCTCACTTACTACATGCCAGCTACTTTCCTAGGTGCTGCAGTCACAGTGGCCCAAACCATGGCAAGTCCAGGTGCTACTTCCCTACAGTTATCTGGGAAAGTCTTTACCCACTTGATTCCACCCTGCTTCAGGTCCAAGATGAACTTCTCTTAGAACCTGGGCTTCTGACAGAGACAGATTTTATGAATTCTGACCCCTGTGGGTTTCTTTACCCCATTCAGTCTCCAGTCTATGTATTGCACAGAATTTGACTATCTTCCTTCTAGTCTCCTTTCCTTTGTCTCCTTATCATCTTCCACCACCTCTGACACCTGAGTCCCAGTTTGTCTTCCAACATGTGTTAACCTGAGAATCCCCCCAAATCAATCAGGGTAAAGCAGAATGGAAAAGAGTCTGGCCTGAGATTCCATAGACCTGATTTCAACCAGTCAGATAGGTAACCTCAAGCAAGACACATTATTCTCAGTAAAGTGAGAATCTCAGGTCAAACCAGTGGCCTCCAAGTCACGGAAATGCATTCCAGGTGTCCCCTGAGGCAAAGGGGAGCCAAGCTGGTGGGGCTTCAGGCTGCCCACTCTACCCCTACTTTCAGCCAGAGGACCCTCACCTTCATCTCTTTTGTTTACTAAGTTCCATTTATGATTTTATATTTTTAATTTTTTAAAAAGAACAATATGTGCAAAAGTTTGACAAACACTGAATCATATAATCTCCAAATTTCTTTGAGATTTGATATTGATTAGTACTGTTATTATCTCCCTATGTATTTATTGTTGATTACATACAAATTAGAGAAAGCAATCTCACAGATTTCAAAGCGCATTTGAAGAGTCATGTCTGATGAGGGAACAAAACTTTTCTTCCAAGGGGTTAAAAAGATGCCCTGTAATTCCACAACCAGTCTACCTTCTTCCCTTTTCCTATAATTAAAAACTTTTTTTTTTTTTTTGAAATGGAGTCTCGCTCTGTCACCCAGGCTGGAGAGCAATGGCACGATCTCAGCTTCTGGATTCAAGCAATTCTTCTGCCTCAGCTTCCCAAGTAGCTGGGATTACAGGTGCCTGCCACCACACCCAGCTAATTTTTGTATTTTTAGTAGAGATGGGATTTCACCATGTTGGCCAGGCTGGTCTCGAACTCCTGACCTCACATGATCCTCCCACCTTGGCCTCCCAAAGTACTGGGTTTATATGCATGAGCCACCATGCCCAGCCAATAAAAACATACTTATAATAGAGACGGGGTTTTATCACGTTGCCCAGGCTAGCCTTGAACTCCTGGACTCAAGGGATCTGCCCACCTCAGCCTTCCAAAGTGCTGGGATTACAGGCGTGAGCCACCGTGCCCAGCCAACCACTCTACTTTACTTTTTAAATAGACTATTCTTTAGAGCAGTTTTAGGTTAACAGCAAAGCTGAGTGGAAAGTATAAAGAGTTCCTATATACCCGCTCCCCCCACACACTCACAGCCTCCACTGTCATCGACATCCTGCACCAGAGTGGTTCATTTGATTTTGATGAGCTGACATTGACGCATCATTAGTACCTGAAGTCCATAGTTCACACTGGTCTTCACTCTTGGTGTTATACACTATGGGTTTGACAATATATGATGACACGTATTCACCATTATGGTACCATAGACAAAGTTTCACTGCCATAAAAATCCCTTGTGCTCTGGCATGTCCTCCCTCTCACCAAACCCCTGGATATCATTATCTTTTGTTTGTTTGGGAGTTTTTTGTTTGTTTTGTTTTATTTCATGTTTTAGATTCATAGTCTCACTCTGTTGCCCAGGCAGTGGCACAATCATAGTTCACTGTAGCCTCAAACTCCTGGGCTCAAGCATTCTCCTACCTCCTTCTCCTGGGTAACTGAGACTACAGGTGTGCACCGTCATTCGTGGGTAACTTTAAAATATTTATTATTATTTTTTGAGACAGGGTCTTACTATTTCACCCAGGCTGAAGTGCGGTGGTGTGATCATGCCTCACTGCAGCCCCAACATCTCAGGCTCTGATGATCCTCCCACCTCAGCTTCCTGAGTAGCTGGAAGTCAGGAGTTTGAGACCCACCTGGCCAATATGGTGAAACCCCCTGTCTCTACTAAAATTTAAAAAATTAGCTGTGCATGGTGGCACATGCCTGTAATCCCAGCTACTCGGGAGGCTGAGGCAGGAGAATCACTTGAACCCAAGAGGCGGAGGTTGCAGTGAGCTGAGATCACGCCACTACACTCCAGCCTGGGGAACACATTGAGACTCTGTCTCAAAAAAAAAAAAAAAAAAAAAAAAACTACCAGACTGTTTTCCTCATTGGCTTTCTTTACATGCCCACTAGAAATGTGTGGGTGGTATAGTTTCTCTGGTTTTACATCATAATTTGGTGTTGTTCCTTATTTATTATTTTTGTTTTAATCATTCTAATATGGTTATAGTATTATCTATATGTGTATAGTATTAAACCATTGTGGTTTTAATGTGCATTTCCCTAATGACTAATGATGCTGAATATTTTCTCATGGGCTTATGTACTATCTGTATATCCTCTGATAAAAATTTGATATCTTTTCCCCATTTTCTAATTGGACTGTTTGTTTTTTTTAATGTTGAATTTTGAGAGTTCCTTATATATTCTACATACTAGTCCTTTGTGGAATATAAAGTTTGCAAATATTTGCTCCAGTTTTTAGCTTGTTTTTATTCTTTTCCCCGGGTCATTCATAGAGTGAAAGTTTTTAATTTTGAAGGAGTCTAGTTTATCAATATTTCCCTTTACTAGTTATACTTTTGGTGTTGAGTTTAATAACTCTTTTCCTAGTCCTAGTTCCCAAAGATTATCCCCCATGTTTCTTTCCTAAAAGTTTTATAGTTTTCTGTTTTTTAAAGTAAGTCAGTGATCTATTTTGAGTTCATTTTTTTAAATAAGGTGTGAGCCTAGGCCAGGTGCAGTGGCTGACGCCTGCAATCCCAGCACTTTGGGAGGCTGAGATGGGCAGATCACCTGAGGTCAGGAGTTCGAGACCAGCCTGGCCCACATGGCAAAACCCCATCTCTACTAAAAATACAAAAATTGGCCAGGTGTGGTGGCGCATGCTTGTAGTCTCAGCTACTCAGAAGGCTTAGGTGGGAGGATTGCTTGAGCCTGAGAGATTGACGTTTATGTGAGCCAAGATTGTGCCACTGCACTCCAGCCTGGGTGACAGAGCAAGACCCTGTCTCAAACAAAAAAAAAAAAAAAAGAAAGAAATAAAAAGAAAAAAACCCCTTTGTCTTTTCTAGAAAGTGTATGCATACAGTGCTAGTTCCTTTACTTACCTGTATCCCACACGTTTTGATATGATTTCTATTTCTATTTTATTTCTGGAGTCTCACTCTGTTGCCCAGCCTGGAGTACAGCGGCATAATCATAGCTCATTGCTACTTTGAAATCCTAGGCTCAAGCAAACCTCTTGTCTCAACCTCCCAAAGTGCTGGAATTATAGACATGAGCCACTGTGCCCTGCCAATTCAATGTAATTTTTATTTCCCTTAAGACTACCATTTTGACCCTCTTTGACCTCTTAGATTCTAACAACACAGTTCTAAGTGGAGATTTTCCTGTTACCTTTCTGTTATTGATTTCTAGTTTGATTCCACTGTGGTCAGAAAACACATTATATTATTTCAATTCTTTTAAAGTTGTTGAAGTTTCTTTTATGGCCCAGGATGTTGTCCTGATCTTGGTATACGTTCTGTGGTATCTTGATGAGAATGTGTATTCTGCTGTTGTTGAATGGAGTGTTCTATTAATTTTGATTAAATCTTGTTAGTTGATAGTGTTACTGATGTCTTCTGTATACTTACCAATTCTCTGTTTAATTGTTCTTTAAATTTTTGAGAGAGGGGTGTGGAGGTCTCAAACTACAAATTTGGTTTTGTTTATTACTTTCGGTTCTACCAGTTCTTACTATACATATTTTGCAGCTCTTATAATTGGTTGAAACACTTTTAGAATTGCTATGTCTTCTTGTTCCCTTTAATATCCTTTTTGTCATTATGCCACTCTGTGGTAATTTTCTCTGCTCTTCAGTCTATCTTATATTAATATAGCTATTTCTGGTTCACTTTGATTAATGTTTTTGTAATGTATCTTTCTTCATTGTTTTACTTTCAAAATGCCTATGTCGTTATATTTGTAGGGAGCTTTTGTTGACAGCATGTAGTTAGGTCATGCTTTTTTGTTCACTCTGCCAATGTCTTTTAATTGGTGTATTTAGACCATTTACATTTAACGTGATTATTAATATGTCAGGGCTTATGTATGCCATTTTATTTTTCGCTTTATGTTCTCTGTGTTTTTGTTTCTATTTTATTTTCCTGCTTTCCTGTGGTTTACTTGAGCAGTTTTTGAAATTCTGTTCTGGTTTATCTATAGTGTTTTTGAGTATATCTTCTTTTTAGCTTTTTTAGTGATTGCTGTAGGTATTCTATTATGTATACATAACTTTTTTACAATCTATCGCGTCATTTTACTAGTTTGAGTGAAATATGGAAAACTTACCTCCCTTTCTATCCCTTTACTCTCCCACATTTATAATATAGTGGCCTTAGATACTTCCTTTACAAAATTTTAATCCCATCAGACAGCTTAAACTGTCAAACATAACTTAGAAAATGCAAGAGAAGAAAAATCTACTGTGTTTTCCCATATTTTTGCTTACCATGTTCTTTCTTCTTTATCTTCCACAATCTCTCCCTACTTTTTATAAATCATTTCCTTACTGTTTACAGAACTTCCTTTAGCCATTCTTGTAGGATAGGCGTACTGATGACAAATTTTGTTTTCCTTCAACTGATGATGTCTTGATTTTCCCATTATTCTTGAAGTATTAATTTGCTGGGATGGGATTCTGGGTTTTCAACTCTTTTCTTTCAGCACATGAAAAACAATGTGCCACTTACTTCTGTTTTCCATGGTTTCTGATAAGAAATCCACTGTCATTTGAGTTGTTTTCCCCTGTAGATATTACACCATTTTTCTGTAGCTACTTAAACAAAAAAAATTTTTTTTTTTTTTTTTTTTTTGCGACAGGGTGTTTCTCTGTTTCACAGGCTGGTGTGCAGTGGTACGATCACAGTTCATTGCAGCCTCAGCCTCCCAGGCTCAAGCAGTCCTCCCAACTCAGCCTCCTGCGTAGCTGGGACTACAAGTGTGAACCACCATGCCTAGCTAATTTAAAAAAAAAAAATTTAGAAACGGGTTCTCCCTATGTTGCCCAGGCTGTTCTCAAACTCCTGGGCTCAAGTGATCTTCCCACCTTGGCAACATTTTTTGTTTGTTTGTTTTCAGAATTTAATTGTGCTTTGTCTTAGCATGGATTTCTCTGAGTTCACCCTATTTGGTGTTATTTCACCTTCTTCAATCTGTAGATTTATGTCTTTTGCCAAATTTGACGGCTTTCAATCACTATTTCTTCAAACTTACCCCTTCTTCTCTCTTTCTAGGACTCCAGTGACACAACGTTAGATCTTTTGTTATAGTCCCACAAGGCCTTGAGGCTTTATTTTTCTTCTAATCACTATTTTCTATGTTGTTTAGATTGGGTAGTTTCTATTATCCTCTTTCAGTTCACTGATTTTTTTCTCTTCTCCTCCATTCTGCAGTTCAGCCCAACCACTGAGCTTTTTTCTTCAGCTATTATAGTTTTAGTTCTAAAATTTTCATTTGGTTCTTCTTTTTCATCTTCTTTTTCTTTGTTGAAGTTTTTTTATTCTTTGCTGAGGATTTCTATTTCTTTCATTTGTTCCAAGCACATTCCTAACTCCGTTTTCATGGACGCCTTAAAATTTTTATGATATTAACTTAACATCTCTGTCTTTTTGATATTGTCACCTATAGTTTGTCTCTTTTCATTCCATTTTGAATTTTCCTATTTCTTGGTGTGACTCGTGATTTTTGGTTTAAGTCTGGACATTTATTCATTGGGAGACTCTGAATCTTATTTAAATTTACTTTCAACAGGCTTCTTATGACTCTACTCCAGCAGGAGATGGGGAGGGGGTGTGCCACCTCGTTACTTCTATAGCAGTTCAGGTTCCCTACTTGGCCCCCAGGGTGGACTTACCATGACTACTGGGCAAGGGTGGGAGTTCCAACTCCCCATATGGACACCACTAGCACAGGGAAGAGGAGGGAAGGGCTTCATTACCAGCTATCAGGAGTGAAAGTCAAAGTCCAAGCTCCTTCCTTGGCATTCTCTGATACTACACACTTGGGGTATAGGAGGCCTCGTTATAGCCTCATGAGGATGTTAATCTCAACTCCAACTCAGCCTTTGCTGTCATGAGTGAGGGTGGGGCCACAGCTTTTTTTTTTTTTTTCTTTTCTGTGATGTTTGGCTGAAGTTTGTGTTTGTGTAAAAGTTTTCTGCTTTTCTTGGCTGCCCCTGTCCTGGCCCTTTATTTATTTATTTTATTTATTTATTTATTTATTTTTTCCTGATCATATTTTTTGTTGGGATTTTTTTGGTATAGGTGGTTCCAGCTTCTTCACCTCCAGGTTGTGGAATATATGAGGCAAAAATTAACCAAACAAACATAAAACCCAGGGAAATAACCAGCATGTTGTTCCTCAGTTCCTGAAGTTCCTAGCTTTCTTTCCACCTTTCAAGTCTTCTGCTGTTTGTTTTATATGTAATGTTCAAAATCTTTAGTTGTACTGATCAGGAGGAACAGAGAAAAACACGTCTACTCCAACTTTCTGGAAGCAGTAAGAAGTGAATTATCGAAGCAATCAATTAAATATTTGTTTCCTTTTTTATCTCTACATGTTTTGAATTTTCTAAAATAGACCAATTAATTTGGCAGTAAGCAAATATACCTAGTTTTAAAATTATTTAAATTCAAAATTGTATATGCTACGTTATATCCTTCCTGGCTATCATCAACACTTTTCATAAGGTTAGTGAAGTCTCAAGGAGGTGACCCCAGCGCATTACACTGACATAGTGTTGTAAGTTGTGTTCTTTGTGAAGCGGATTTTGAGACAGAGTTTTGTGGGAAGGATGTTTGTTAAGGAGTGCTCTTAGGACCAGCACCTGTGGAAGGGAAAAGGGTGGAAGTAGGAGTACACAGGGAAGGAAGGTGAATTTTGATGCAGGCTCCTCAGGAAGCTCTGGAACTAGAATAGCCCTTCAGACTTGGTCTGTATTGGGCTGACAGCCAGACTTTCATACTCTGCATCACTCAGTTCTTGATGTGGGCTCTGGAAAGAGCATCACATTGGGTGAAAGAAATCTCTGCAACTGGCACAATTTCCAAACTCACTGCCAGCTGAAACTTGTCTGCCGGCAGCATTCTCAGCAACTGAGGACACAAGTCCTTCATTGAAGGAGGGTCTTGATAGTGCATCACCACGTATACCCCACATGGATATTTCTTTTTTTTTTTTTTTCTTTGAGACAGAGTACCGCTCTGCCACCCAGGCTGGAGTGCAATGGCCGATCTTGGTCACTGCAACCTCCACCTCCCAGGTTCAAGAGATTCTACTGCCTCAGCCTCCTGAGTAGCTGGGATTACAGGCATGCACCACCTGCCTGGCTAATTTTTGTATTTTTAGTAGAGACAGTGTTTCACCATGTTGGCCAGGCTGGTCTCGAACTCCTTACCTCAGGTGATCCGCCAGCCTCAGCCTCCGAAAGTGCTGGGATTACAGCCATGAGCCACAGCACCCAGCCATCACATGGACATTTCTAATGGGAACATGTCTTTCAAAACATCTCCTGTAATCTCATTTTATAGATCCTGCAGCAAAAGACAGGAATTACATAAGGACACATATTAACAACTACCTTCCCAAATATTTTTTTCTCACAGCAACTACAGTGACCTTTACAAAATACAAATCTGATCAAGTCACTCCTCAACTTAAAATGTTTCAGTGGCTTCTCATTACTAAGGACAGAAGTCAAAGTAGCATATGCGAACCTCAAAGCCTTGCACAGTCTGTCCCCTGCTGCTCCCTCTAGCATCTCGCCTTCCGTTCTTGCCCTGCCAGCCATGATGGCATTTGACATTTTGAGGCACCTTGCTTCTTCTCACCATAGACCAGTTTCCTCTGCTTCAAAGACTCCACCCTAACATGACAACTGCATGAGTGATCTTATACTGCTTTTGGCAAAATATCGCTTTGTCATCTTTGTTCTTATGTGTGTAATGCCAGACTTTAAGTTTGGAACATTGGTTAGTAATCGACCATCCACTGTCTCATTGCACTTGCAGCAGCAGAATTGTTACCATGGTGACAAATATTGCCGTTAAAAATATTGGCTTTTATCTGATAGGGGTATTGACTTGATGCCCCAATTGATAACTCCCTCTGAGGAAGAGGCCTGTTGCTTTGAAATACATAGGTATTTATGCATCTATCTCTTGATGAAGTATCAAGATAGAAAAGGAAATGCAGAGAAAGTGCATGGCACAGCACGCTGTGGTGGGCAAGTCCCCATCTCTACTTTACTTAAATTGCATTTGGGTGGATAAACTATATTCATGCTGAAGAAGCCCTCAGACAGGGGAGGGTGTATAAAACAAGACTAGAAGAAAGACAAAAGATAAAGCCATAGTCTACACAATTATGAGATTAAACCGTTTGTAGCTAGGATAATTCAGACTCTGGCATAGCTGTAAACCTGGAACTCCAGACCAAAGGCTTTGAAAGGAGTTTCCTTTTATCTCTCTCCTCTACCCCACCTGCCAACCTTTCACATTCCCGGGTGGCTTTCCCAAAGGCCCTCTCAGACTTTAGAGTATGTGCCTCTCTCTCTTTCTCTCTCCTTCTACCTGTACCCACTGTTTCAAGAGTCAACTCCCAGAACATCTTAATCTCAGCCTCTATGGTATTTATCAAAAATCACAAGATGAGATTTTCCAGCCACCCACTAGAGCAACTGAGAAGGGATTCCCCTGATACTGACAAGCCACCGCTCCTCCCAGAATACGTCGCTTCTCACCTCCTCCATCTTGGCTACACATATTTGGTGTTCAGAAAAGGTCCCTAAGTTTTGCCGGAAACCCAACTTCTGTCCTCCAAGGTACTGCTGCTGCAGAGAATGAGCAAAGACTTGCAAGGCTGGGCAGGTGCTCCCCTCCTGGACTTACATGGCTCCCAGAATCATTTTTCTCAAATCCAAATTTTATTATTTGGTGTTAATAATTTAATGTTTTCCATGGACTCATTTTACAGGTTTTTTAAAAACGGAAAGACAATTTTTTTTTACAGTAAAGGTTTTTAAAATTTATAATCCCATTTCTAATGTAGTGTGATTTTTTTATTCTGGGAATTAACTTGCACACGAACACATAATTTACATCATGTTAGTACACAGCATTTTGGACTATTTTACTTCTTAATATATTTAAACATTTTTCCGTGTTTCTGAATACTTTTTATGTCACTTAGAATTTTTATTTCATGCTTATTGAAAGATCTTTCAGACTTAGATATTCTGTCATAAATCTGTCATGTGTATGTGTAAAAAGGAAAACATTGGTGAAATAAATTGATTAGGGCATTTCTAAGGCAGTGATAGTGACATGCAATTGACACCTTGCTGACAGATTTAAAAACAATCCTGATTTCAGAGATATTAAAATAAAGATACAGTAACAACACCCCATGAATACAACCTCTTCTTTAAGAAATAGAATAATCACTATTCTGTTGAAACTCCTTGTGTGTGCCCCTCAGATCAGACATCTCTCCCTTTATCCTATAGATAGTCACTATCCTTAATTTTGTGATTATCATTTCCTTGTTTTTCTCTATACTTTTAGCAAATATATATCCCATTGTTGAATCTTATTTTTGAGCTGTTCTACAAATTGAACTATATCATATATATTTTTGTGACTTGCTTTTAGTATCCCACATTATGTAAGATTTATCCATGCCAGCCACACATGGTGGCTCATGCCTGTGATCCCAGCACTTTGGGAGGCCGAGGAGGACGGATTGCTTGAGGTCAAGAATTCGAGACCAGCCTGGCCAACATGGCAAAACCTTGTCTCTAGTAAAAATACAAAAATTTAGCTGGGCATGGTGGTGCATGCCTGTAATCCCAGCTACTCCGGAGGTTGAGGCATGAGAATTACTGGAGCCTGGGCAGCCAAGGTTGCAGTGAGCCAAGATTATCCCACTGCACTCCAGCCTGGGCAACAAACTGAGACTCTGTCTCAAAAAAATAAAAAATAAACATTTATCAATGCTAACATGTATAGCTGCTATTCATTTTCACTATTGTAGATTATGCACTGTAGTCCATTCCACAATTTATTAACTCTCCTGTTTGATGAACATTTGGGCAATTTCCAGGGTTTTGCTATTACAACTTGTTTTACTGTAAACATTCTCCTAGTTGTCTACTGGTAAGCATATGTGAGAATTTCTCCACTGTCTACACCTTGGAGGAAGACTTGTTAAGATTAGATCAAGAGTCAGCACACATTTTCTTAAAGGCCCAGATAATATTTTAGATTCTGTGGGCCATATGGTCTCCATTGCCACTACTCAGAGCTGTCATTTTTAGCGTGAAAGCAGCCATAGGCAATATGCAAAGGAAAGTCTGTGACTATGTTCCAATAAAACTTTATTTACAAATCCAGGCAGCTGGTAAGATTTGGACCTCAGAACATGATTTGCCAATTCCTGATCTAGAAGAATAGATTTCCTATTCTAATTGCCTACAAATACTGCTGTATTGCTCCTTCCTACCCTGAATATCCCCTGAGGGGATGTGAATCCTGTCTCTGCATAGGCTAAGAACTGGACTGAATGTCCATGTTCAGGGGCATTCAGGGAAAAGAGGAGAATGGGCGAGGGGACATGGTGGTGGCCATGCATCCCAGCTCTTAGTCTGTGGCTTTGACAGTCTCGGGGAAGCAAAAGGGATTGAGGCAAAGCTGAACACTCACGTTGGCTCTGCTGGCCGTGGGCGGGTGGTGGAGCTCTACTTGCCTGGAGGCTGGGGTCTCCAGCTGTAGCATAGCCACCATCACAGAAGCCACTGTGAGGTCACCACCAGGCTATGGGCAGAAAAATTCAAGCAGGAGATTGTATTTCTTTTGGAGTTGTACGATTTCCTTTATTATTTGAACTGCAGTAAAGAAAGCTGGGATGGGCTCCTCTAGGGATACTTCCAGATCCCTGGGCGGTTGTAGCCCTGGCTCCTCTTTAAATGGATTTGGTTTCAAAGACGATCATCTCCGTCTTCTCGGATGTCATAGTGCCACTGATCATCTCCAGCTCCTGGCCACCCTGGGCTTTCTCCACTTTGGCCTCTATGTTTTGCTTCTCCACCATCTTAGCCACGATATCTACCTCTCTGTCATGTGATGTGACCCTTGTTTTTGAACCAGGAGTGGCCCTGAGGCTCCTTAAAAAAGAGCTGATCTTACTGGCTTTCTTTTGTAAAGCTCCTGTGCTAGATGCAGATTGGTTCTTCCCCAGTTCCTGAGTTGTTCTCGACTCCTTTTTGGTGGAGCTGTGGGTGGAGCTCTTGCGAGAGGAGCCATGTCGCTTGCCCCTTACGTTGCTGTACCCTTTTTCTTTTTTGTCATCTCTCGTGTTTTTATGGCCAGATGCGGACCGGTGGGAAGACGCTTTCTGATTCTTGTCCCCCGCTCTCCTGCGGTGACTTTCACCTGCCTTGCGGTGATGAGAACTTTTCCTACTGGGATGTCTGTCCTTCTTTTCTCTTCTTTCCTTGTTTTCATTCCAGACTTCAGCACTGGGCTGGGAAACTTTCTGGCTTCCATCTCGTTCACTCATGTAGCCTTCGCTTTGCAAGGTGGAGATGAGGGGTCCCACTGCTGGTCCTTCAGTTCTTTCTGCTGCACACTTGCTGGTCGTAATACTGCCTGCAAACGCCGCACTCAAGCTGCTGTCTTGGGAGAGACTGGCGGCCCCCGCCATCGAGGTGGAAGTACCTTCCAAGGAGGTGCTTGCAGCACCCACCAAGGCCAAGCTAATACCCTCTGAGGATATGTTGGCAGCACCTGCCATGGACTTGCTGGATTCATTTTCTCCTGGATTTTTGATAGCTGCTCCCGCCAGCGCTGTGGTCACTTGACCTGGGCCTGCAGATTTGGTTGTTGCTATGCTCATAGCACCTGTTGCAGGACTCATTGCTGCCCCTGCTATTGCCACATCTGTTCTAGGTCCTGTTGCTGTTCCTGCCACTGCCATGCCACCTGCTGTCCTTGCTGCTCCTCCTTCAGCAGCCCCTGGAGTGCTCGTGGATGGAGAAGCCGCACTAGCCGTTCCGTGGGAGGCATGTTGGATTCCCTCTCCCCCAGCATAAGCAGAAGAGGTGGCTGCAGATACATCACAAGGCTTGTAGAGCCCAGTCTCACTCTGATCCCCTTCTCTGTGGAGCTCTGCAGCCTATACCAAGGGGAAGAGAAACAGATGAGATTGAGATGACTGAAAGGGAGATCAGAACTTTCTACTCCTCTCTTATCCTGGAGTTAATTCAAGGGCTTATAATTAGAAGAACCTGGGTCGGGTGTGGTGGCTCACGCCTGTAATCCCAACACTTTGGGAGGCCAAGGAGGGCAGATCGCTTGAGGCCAGGAGTTCAAGACCAGCCTTGCCAACATAGCAAAACCCCGACTCTACTAAAAATACAAAAAATTAGCTGGACAGGATGGCGCATGCCTGTAATCCCAGCTACTCAGTAGGCTGAGGTAGGAGTATCGCTTGAACTCAGAAGGCAGAGGCTGCAGTGAGCCAAGACTGCGCCACTCCACTGCACTCCAGCCTAGGCAACAGAGTGAGACACTGTTTAAAAAAAAGAAAGAAAGAAAGAAAGAAAAAAGAAAAAAGGAAGGAGAAGGAGAACCTCTAAAATCATTAAGTCTAAGTCTTTTGTCTTTTTTTTTTTTTTTTTTTTTGAGACAGAGTCTTGCTCTGTCGCCCAGGCTAGAGTGCAGTGGCACGATCTTGGCTCACTGCAATCTCCGCCTCCCAGGTTCAAGGGATTCTCCTGCCTTAGCCTCTTGAATAGCTGGGACTACAGGCGCCCACCACCATACCTGGCTAATTTTTTTGTATATTTAGTAGAGATGAGGTTTCACCATGTTGGCCAGGCTGGTGTCGATCTCCTGACCTCTGGTGAGCCGCCTTCCTTGGCCTCTCAAAGTGCTGGGTTAACAAGCATGAGCCACCGCACCCGGCCTAAGCCTAAGTCTTGCTCTCATTTCTTGCCAAGTTCCATCTACAGCACCCCTTCAATGGTCACTCAGTTTTGGTTGAGCAATTCCAGTACCAGAGAAAGTACTGATACAATTCCTCATCCTTGGACATTGTATTTTACACACTTATTTTTACGTGCTCTGCAGGACAGATTTCCAGAAGTGGGATTGCACAGTCAAGGGATACACTCACTTTACATTTTGGTGACTACTACGATTGTGCACGTGCATACACACACACAGGGTGTGCTGATTGACACAGAAATCAGTGCCTGGTAGTCACAGGGAGACAGACTGTGACTCAAATCGAAGAAAGACTTCTTCATTGTTAAAAATATGGCACAGCACTTTAGTGGATGATAGTGAAACCTCATCTCCACTAAAAAAAAAAAAATTATAAAAATTAGTTGGACGTGGTGGCAGGTGCCTGTAATCCCAGCTACTCAGAGGCTGAGGCAGGAGAATCTCTTGAACCCAGGAGGCAGAGGTTGCATTGAGCCGAGATCGTGCCATTGCACTCCAGCCTGGGAGATAAGAGCGAAACTCTGTCTCAAAAAAAAATTGCACAAAAATCTGTACAGTCTCCAGTTGCACATTGGAGACTCAGAAGGGTTGGAGGGGGTGAGGGATGGGAAATTACTTAGTGGGTACAATGTATATTATTCAGATGATGGTTACACTAAAAGCCCAGACTTCACCAGTATGCAATATAGTCACACACACAAAGCTACACCTACACCCCTTAAATTTATACAAATAAAAGTTCCACAACAAATCAGACCACCTGGGTTGGGGTATTAAGTGTTCAAGAAAAGACTGACGATCAGGATGGTGTAGAAAGGATTTCAACCCTGGGTGTGAGACCAGAGTAGCTGATACCTAAGGTCTCTGAAATTCAGCCTTATGGGACACACAAGCCCTCCCACCTCCCAGTGTGGTAAGTCCCCTAGTAGTGGCTCATTTGGTCCTGAGCCCTTGCACATGCAATACTTTTTCCAGGTGGGCCTCAGAAGGCACCAAAGGCTTTGTAGGACTGGCTTTGAACTGCTCCCCCAAAGAACCTGCCCCATGTTCTCGAGCCTTTGAGAGGCTTACCACTAGGCTTTTGTTGTCTTCGGGTGGTGCGTCCCCAGATAGAAGTGTTGGGGTACTGCAGTAACTCTCTACTGGTGGCCTCAGGAGATAGACAAGTTTTTCCCAATAGCAAAAGAGATCTTCCCGTGTGTCAGAAGAGGGACACAACTGCAGATAAAAAGTACGGCCAGTGGCGAGTTTCAGGCGCAGCTGCTGTTTCTCATGATCGTGGATGGAGATCTTCACAAATTTCAAGGGAAGCAGTCTCGTGAGCTCTAGAGTCTTGACGGGCCTGCGACCTCTCCCCTTGGCAAACCGGCCCCATCTGACATGCTGTTCACAGATTTTAGTTGGTTGGGCCAGAACCATGACGTCAGGCAGTGGGAGGATGGGGCTGGTGCAGACGATGCCCACTGTCACCATTCGGACACGGTTGTGTACATCAATCACCTCTCCCTTTTTGTTTATCTGAATAAAATTACTCTCGAACATTGGTGCATACTTGAAAATGTTGTACTCTCCTCTGTTGTACAATTGTCGTTGCAGGTCCCCCATGGAGGTTTTGAACGCACTCATTGAAGAGTAGCTGTGGGCTGTGTAATAAGGTAAACAAGATTCATTGCTCATGGTTCTCTTCGTTTAAGACAGCTCCACCAGCCACAAATAGAGTCCCCGAGAGAGAGACGGAGAGAAGGTAACTGCCCATCTCCCTACAGGACTTCTGCCTAAATCTCCTGGCACCACCACATTTATCCCCTGCAGTCCTTTGTGACCTGTGCGCATCTCACACCCCTTTGTCCTAGCCTCCATGTAGCTATCCCCTCTGGTCAGTGTCACCAGCCTCCCCCACAAAACAAATCAATGCCTCCACAGGGGAGAGGCTGACCCTGCCTGGGGTGTAGGTGTGGGTAGGCTGGGTGTTCTTTTCAATCAAAATGCTGGGACACATAATTTATGAACCATTCTGCTTTTATAAATATCTGGGTTGTTTCCAGTTTTGCTGTTGTTACAGTTACCCCTTCAAGGATCATCTTCTTGCAAAAATTTTTTTGCTTGGGCTGAATTACTTCCTGGGGGTAAAATCCTGGGTGTGTATGGTGTGCTTGCTAAGGGCAGGGGTGCTGTCTAGATGCTGATCTCTGTGTCTCCAGTGTGTAGGTAGCACAGTGCCAGCAGGCACTCAGGGATAGGTGTTGAATGAATGGTCTGAAGGGACTCCTGCTCCCCATCAGAACTACAGAACCAGGGTTCCATCTGTGTGCTGATTTTCAGGATATGGAGGATTTTCTCACCTAGTCTCTCATTTGAAGCAGTTAATTTTTTTTTTTTAATGGAGTTTCACTCTTGTCACCCAGGCTGGAGTGCAGTGGTGCAATCTCTGCTCACTGCAACCTCTGCCATCCAGGTTTAAGTGATCCTCCTGCCTCACCCTCCCAAGTAGCTGGGATTACAGGTGCCCACCACCACACCCAGCCAATTTTTGTATTTTTAGTAGAGTCAAGGGTTTTTCACCATGTTAGCCAGGCTAGTCTCGAACTCCCGACCTCAGGTGATCCACCCTCCTCAGCCTCTCAAAGTGCTGGGATTACAGGTGTGAGCTACCCCACCCGGCCGGAAGCAGGTTTATTTTTTAAAACATCATTTTAAAGTGAGAAAACCAAGGCTCAGGATTGTCTTACTTGAGGTCAGAGTCCAAAGCTGGATTCTAGGTCAGAGCTTTTTCTCTTCCTCAAGCTGCATGGCTCACTGATAATCTCATTCTGCATCAGAGCTAGTGTCATTGGTAGTTAGTGATGTGTGTGGGGATTTACTGGGAACCACAGGAATTCTTGGAGGTCTTGAATCACCGTAGGATTTCCCACACTGATATGTCTGCTGCTTCAGTCTTGATGCCTGCTTGATAAACCACTGACGTTCCGTTTCTTTTTAAAGCTCTTCTGAGAAATGGTGGCAAAGACATCTTTCTGGAGTTTTTGTTTTGTTTTGTTTTACTTTGCTCAAGGTGAAGAATCCAAATTCCCCCTCCCCCAGCTAGAGAAATACTTCTGAAATAAACATACATTCCGCCAAACTCAATCATTACCATGTGGAGGTCTTGAAATAAACTTCAACCACAAAATGTTATTTTTGTATCCCCCAGTGCCAACTGCAGTGCCTGGCACATTGCAGCTTCGCAGTAAATATAAACTTGCTTGTGCCCATTGAGATTCATTCTTCCATTTATTTATTCAAAAAAGTTTAATGAGCAAGTATTTTGTTTGGGACCAGCTAGAAAGTGGAAATGCAAAGATAAAGTTTCCTATCTCTGAAAAGCTGAAATATTTTTTCTAAAGATATTGAATGACTTTTTGGGGAAAAAAAAGAAAAAACAAAGTGGCATATATTCTGTTATAAGGGAATCATAACTAAAAGTCAACACAATTATGTTAAAAAGTAAGAAGTTGGAGCTATATATAGATGTAGCCATATATTCTTCTCATATGTTCATTTCTGATGAATAATTAATAATGACAGAACTATAATTGTATGATTGAGAACCTGCTATAAGCCAGGCATGCTGTTGCCACCATACATTCTTCTAAACATTTTAATTCTGGCTGGGTGCGTTGGCTCACATCTGTAATCTCAGCACTTTCAGAGGCCAAGGCAGGAGGATCACTTGAGACCACGAGGGAGAGATCAATCTGGGTAAAACATCACAAGACCTTCAGCTCTACAAAAAATAAAAAATATTAGCTATACATGGTGGCATGTACTCAAGAGGCTGAGACCTGTCTCTAAAAAAATAAATAAATAAAAATTTTGATCCTTACAACAAGCCTAAAATGTATAGGTCTCTCCGCATTGCGCCCCCAGCCCTCTTTTTTTTGAGAGTCTCGCTGTGTAGCCCAGGCTGGAGTGCAGTGGCAGCATCTCAGCTCACTGCAGCCTCCACCTCCCAGGCTCAAGCGATACTCCCACCTCAGCCTTCCCAGTAGCTGGGACCAGAAGCACAGCACCACCACATGCCTGGCTTTTTTGTAGAGATAGGGTCTCACCATGTTGGCCAGGCTGGTTTTTTAACTTCTGGCCTCAAGTGATCTGCCTACCTCAGCATTCCAGAATGCTGGGATTACATGCGTAAGCCACCACACCAGGTCAGGTTTCTATTTTATAGAGGGAAAATGAAGGCTCAAAAAAATTACAGGCAGATTGGACACAGTGGCTCACTCCTCTAATTGCAGCATTTTGGGAGGCCAAGGTGGGAGGATTGCTTGAGCTCAGGCGCTCAAGACCAGCCTGGCCAACATGGCAAAATCCCATCTCTACTAAAAATACAACAAAAAAAATTAGCTGGACATGATGGCACATGCCTGTAGTCCCAGCTACTTGGGGGAGCTGAGGCAGGAGGATCGCTTGAGCCCCAGAGGTGGAGGCTGCAGTGAGCCAAAACTGCACCACTGCACTCCAGCCTAGGTGACAAAGTGAGACCCTGTCTCAAAAACAACAACAAAAAAAGAAGTTACAAGAAATTTCAGCAAGGTCACATAAGACCAAAAGCACACCGACATCCCAAAATATGGCAATGGTTAAACTATACTAGACTGACTAGACTGGTGACACTAATAGGACAGATAGAATACAAACATACAAATGCAAAGCAGCATAAATTTATCCATTCACTCCATTAATATAATTAATTGTTTACTTTGTGCCAGACCCTGTTTTAGGTGCAGGAATATAGCAATGGACAAAATAGACAAATGTTCTTGGTCTCATGGAGCTGGTATACAGACAGTAAACAAGTAATTTTTTTCCTGGTACCTGTGTGCTCAATGATAAACCAATAAATTGAATGGCATCTCCAATGCTGGTAAGTGCTGCAGAAAAGTAGGCAAGCAGGATGAGAGTGTGTGTAGGGGAGGGGAAGGTGGTGGTTAAAGAATGCTCAATGAGAAAGGTGTTGCTGTTGTTGTTTTTGTTGTTTAAGAGATGGGGTCTTGCTCTGTCATGTTGCGGGAAGTCAGGGACCCCGAACGGAGGGACCGGCTGAAGCCATGGCAGAAGAACATAAATTGTGATGATTTCATGGACATTTATTAGTTCCCCAAATTAATACTTTTATAATTTCTTATGCCTGTCTTTACTGCAGTCGCTGAACATAAATTGTGAAGATTTCATGGACACTTATCACTTCCCCAATCAATACCCTTGTGATTTCCTGTGCCTGTCTTTACTTTAATCTCTGAATCCCGTCATCTTTGTAAGCTGAGGAGGAGGTATGTTGCCTCAGGACCCTGTGATGATTGTGTTAACTGCACAAATTGTTTGTAGAGCATGTGTGTTTGAACAATACGAAATCTGGGCACCTTGAAAAAAGAACAGGATAACGGCAATGTTCAGGGAACAAGAGAGATAACCTTAAACTCTGACTGCCGGTGAGCCAGGCGGAACAGAGCCATATTTCTCTTCTTTCAAAAGCAAATGGGAGAAATAGGGCTGAATTCTTTTTCTCAGCAAGGAACATCCCTGAGAAAGAGAATGTGTCCCTGAGGGTAGGCCTCTGAAAGAGCCGCTTTGGGGGTGGCTGTCTTTTACAGTCGCAGCTGTAGGGATGAAATAAGCCCCAGTCTCCCGTAGCACCCCCAGGCTTATTGGGACGAGGAAATTCCTGCCTAATAAATTTTGGTCAGACCGGTTGTCTGCTCTCAAACCCTGTCTCCTGATAAGATGTTATCAATGACAATGCGTGCCCGAAACTTCATTAGCAATTTTAATTTCGCCCTGGTCCTGTGGTCCTGTGATCTCACCCTGCCTCCATTTACCTTGTGATATCTTATTACCTTGTGAAGCATGTGATCTCTATGACCCACACCCTATTCATACACTCCCTCCCCTTTTGAAAATCACTAATAAAAACTTGCTGGTTTTATGGCTCAGGGATGTCACGGAACCTGCCAACATGTGATGTCTCCCCCGGACACCCAGCTTTAAAATTTCTCTCTTTTGTACTCTGTCCCTTTATTTCTCAGACTGGCCAACACTTAGGGAAAATAGAAAAGAACCTATGTGACTATCGGGGGCAGGTTCCCCCAACACTGTCACCCAGGCTAGAGTGCAGTGATGTGGTCACAGCTCATTGCAGACTCAAAACTCTTGGGCTCAAGTGATCCTCCTGCCTCATCCTCCCAAGTGGCTGGAACTACAGGTGCACCACACCATACCCTGTTAGTTTTTAAATTTTTCTGCAGAGGCAGGGTCTTGCTATGTTGCCTAGGCTAGTCTCAACCTCCTGGCCTCAAGCGATCCTCCCACCTCAAATCTTCCAAAGCATTGGAATTACAGGAGTGAGCCACTGTGATTGGCCCAGAAGTGACCTTTGAGCAAAGACATAAAGGAGATCAGAGAAGAAGCCATGAAGATGTCTGGGGAAAGAGCTTCTCAGTCAGAGGAAGCAGCAAGGGCCAAGACCCTGATATGAGAGCATGCCTGGTATGTTTAAGGAGCTCCAAGCAAGCTACAGTGATGAAAGTAGAGTGAATTAGGAGGAGGGTCGTTGGAGATGAGGCTGAGAGGCAACTGGGGTGGTGGTGGATGAGCAGATCATGTTGGATAGACCTTGTAGCGCTCTGAGAGGTCTTTGGCTTTGCTCTGAATGGTGGATGATCCAAACCATAAATATAGAAGATGATTCTGGTCACCATATTAAAAAGAGATTGTAGAAGTGCAGGGAAGACAGTAGTAGAGACGGGGCAACTCCTGCAAGAGATGATTTGGGGTAAGACGTGTGTGATAGCAGTGAGAGTAATGAGAAGTGCTCAGCCACCATGCATACTTTGAGGCAACTATTAGGTATGCTGATTTGAACAATTTCCAATAAATATTAGCAAGTAAAAAAGCAAGTTGCTTGGCCTGAGATACTGGGCACACAAAAAAGTATGTCGCAAAATAGCATATGTGGTACATCATATGTTATTTAATGAGAAATTTAAAGTGTGCGTATGTGTGCGTATGAGTGTGTGTGTGTGTGTGTGTGTGTGTTTGAAAGGAACTGGTAGTAGGAGCTACCTTGGGTCAACTTGCTCTCTCAGGGAAGTAGCAAGATGGAGACTTCATTTCTAGGACATTCCCTTCACAGAGTAAGACTTTCATCAGTCATGGATAGCCTTCTTAGGGTGTTGAAAATGTTCTAAAAATTAAATTGAGAGGGCTGTACAACTCTGTGAATATATACCAAACATTACCAAACTATACACTTTCAATGGATGAATTTTATGGTCAATGAAACATATCTCAATAAAGTTATTGAAGATAATAGCAACACGTCAGTCTTGACTTATAGATCCAATCCCATTGTCTTCCATCATTCTCTTAGATAATTAAATAATCCCTGGGCAGGCATGTTAAACAAGGCTTTAATATGACATCAGAAGTACATATTGCCTGCTTTACTTGATTTTTATTTACAAGTTTTGGGTAATGTTTCTTGATGAGGAATGTGGTAGAGCATGGATAAGCTAGAATCCAAATTTTAGAGAGCTTACAATCAGTAGAACACACACTGAAAAAACAGAAGAAAACAGGAGGGCAAGTAAATACACAGTAGAGTGATAACAAATTGGTTGAATGAACGGTGACTCTAATACCCTTTACCATTATATTCAAAACCAACAATAATTGTTTCTTAAGAAGAAAAACAATCAAAATCACAATTCTAAGGATAGTTTTGCATACATTTTAAGTGAGCCTAAGGTTGAAGAGCTGTGAAGAGTGATAACACAAAACAGTATATACAAGGCACAGTATATGCAGACATACAAGATTATAGAAGGCTGAAGTCTAAACGTGCATTGTGGGAAGTGGTTTCAAGTCAATAACTTTTATTCTTCATCTATGATTTTGAAAAGCAAGGGAAGTAGACAGCTATATATAGCCTTTTCAATGAGTGTGCAGCCCAGGGGAGCATTGTGAGCTAGGCAGGATGTGAGGGTGGGGAGATTTCCATACCATACACAGCATGTACAGGCTGGGTAAATCCCCTGGCCTAAAATACAATCCACAGTGCTTTTATGTCAATGTTGCTCAGCAGAGGTGGCGTGGGCTGAGCTGCGGTCAGCCTGGGGCACCTAGGACTTCAGGAAGCCAACCTGATTTCTGCCTTATCTTCTGGCTCTGAAAAGACTACAGTCACCTAACTCTTCCCCTGAGGACCATATGCAAATCAGCCTGCCTCTCTGCCTTGGGTTGAAAAGGAAAATGAACTGGTATACATACAAAAAAGAAGTCAGACAGGGGATCAAAATAATTTTATTTCTCAACATGATGATCCAACTAGCACCGCCTGTCTTCCCCCTCCTATCTCTCATCCTGTCTTGCTTCTTTCCTGCTCCCTGCTCAGCATATTTGGCCCCACTACCAAGCGGAATCCTTCCCTGCTCACACAGGCTTAGGACAACTTCACTGTCTCCACTCCCTGTTTTGCTCTGTTTACAAATCATGAGATGTCCTGCCTCCGTTTACATATTATTTATTTAATGTTACATTGAAGAAACTTGCAGCTAAATTCACACACACAGACACACTCGCACCATAATAAAACACTTAACATTAAAAATAAAGATCAGGCTGGGCGCGGTCACTGACACCTGTAATCCCAGCACTTTGGGAGGCGGAGCCGGGTGGATCACTTGAGGCCAGGAGTTCGAGACCAACGAGGGCAACATGGTGAAACTCCATCTCTAATAAAAATACAAAAATTAGCTGGGTGTGGTGGTGCGCACCTGTAATCCCAGCTATCTGGGGGCCAAGGCACGATAATCACTTGAACCTGGGAGGCGGAGGTTGCAGTGAGCCGAGATCACGCCACTGCACTCCAGCCTGGGTGACAGATCGAGACTCTGTCTCAAAAAAAAAAGATCAGAAACTGTCTACAGGTAGAAGGAGGTAACTGATCCAGTAGCTGGGATAAAATGATTATTCTAAGTAAATATTAAATTTAACTCTGAAAAAATACTGGAAGAATGTAAAATAAATATTAACATTGATTATTTCTGAAGGATGAGATTAGATGTAATTTTTATTTATTTGCTGGTCTGCTCTTTCCACCAAGAATATATTTTACTTTTGTTACCAGAAATATATATTTCAAAAAATTAGCTCTAAGTTTACTAGCCATTTCAGTCATTATTGTCTTCTACGAATCAAACCAATGATTTTTGACAAATGACATATTTTTCTTTTATTTTAAATTGGAAAGTAAAAAATCCTTCCATTTTAACATCTTTTAAATTATGTAAATTAAAAAGCAAAACATTTCTTTACCTTTCCAGTTTTATATGCTGGAATTTTGATATACAAACTTCCTGCTATCACCATGTACATTTAAACATACATTAATATAAACACAAAATATACCTGGAAAAGGTATAGAACAATATGTATGGCTTGTATGTAAAAACAAAACATAAAAACATACAAGCCAAACATATTGTTCTGCACCTTTTCCATGTTAACAATATATCCTGAAGTTTTTTAGGTTGATACATTATGAATATACATTATTGGTTTCCATAACCTTGTAGTGTTCCATTGTAAGGATGCACCATAGATTATTTTACTTGTCTCTCATTGATGCACAGAGAAGTAGTTTCCATTACAAAAAAATACTGCAATAGCCAGGCGCGGTGGCTCACCCCTGTAATCCCAGCACTTCGGGAGGCCGAGGCAGGCGGATCACGAGGTCATGAGATCAAAACCATCCTGGCTAAAGCGGTGAAACCCCGTCTCTACTAAAAATACAAAAAATTAGCTGGGCATGATGGCACATGCCTGTAATCCCAGCTACTCAGGAGGCTGAGGCAGGAGAATCACTTGAATCTGGGAGGCGGAGGTTGCAGTGAGCCACGATCACACCACTGCACTCCAGCCTGGCGACAGAGCAAGACTCCGTCTCAAAAAAAGAAAAAAAAAAAACACTGCAATAAATATCTTGTACAGATACCTCTCTGTGCTCACGCTATTTTTCCCCCTTAGAATTGATAGCTCTAGCAAACGTAAGGTGTTGTTGTTGTTGTTGTTTTCAGAAGAAAGAAGTTATGTAGGTGCCAAAATATTCTGGATATGATTCTTAAATGGATATTAATAAACCTAATTAAGTTTGGATGGGAACCACAAGGAAATTAAAGGGCTTCAAAGCCACATCCAAAGAGGACAATTGAAGGATGTCTTTGGCCTGGACACAAGAGGGCCCTGGAGTTATCCAAAGGGCAAGTCCTCGGACTAGAGAAGGTTGGAGTTGTAGGACTTCAAAAGATAAAGCAACAAAGATGGGTTTTAGGTAACAGTAAGAGAGCAATCATTTATCTGATCCAGCAGCCATTCCCCTACCTCTAGTGGCAACACTCTAGTGTTCCTCAGAGAACCATCCCTCCCCCATCTGTGGATGGGTAGGTCCATGTGGCTGGGTAGGGCTGACTCCACCCCACTCCCAGATCCAGGAGTGTGTCCAGGCCTGGAAAGGGTCAAATGAATATTCCATTGTCTTGGCTCTAATGATTGAGGTACCTGCGAGCATATCATGTGAGCTAGGCCAATGACTCAAAATTCTGGGACTTTTACTAGAACTATAAGGAAAGAGATCTAGCTCCACTGGTAAGATGTTAGCCCAGCAGCCATTTTGCTGCCATGGAGGACAGCTTGCCCATGCATGAAACCAGCTCAGAACTAAAGAATGAAAACCAAAACCTCTGATGTCGTCGTTAAATACCAGCGGACCCAGCAGTGCCAGGTTGAATTGATTTTTCCTTTGTTATAGAAATTGGGTTAAATTAGGTTTTTTCCAACCCAGTTTCAGTTGCGGCCCCAAAGCCCTATATTAATGTGATAAAGGGAATGAAGTACCTCCATCCACACTTGACGCATTAAGAGGCAAAACAGATTCTGCCAGTAATAGCGTTCGCCCACCTTCAGCCTTTAGAAAACAAGGCATGAAAATGCAAGAGAGAGAATGTTGGGGGCTCTGTGTTTCCTCTCACCACTAGCCCACAGGGGAAGGTGGGTGGGTGCTTATCTACCAGAAGCCAACCAAAAGGGACTTTAAGAGACTCTTCAGGGAGCTTGGTGTGAGTCCCAGAGTTTTGCAGCTATAAGGACTAGTGTCTAAATCCCACTGGAGAAACATAATGGTGGAAGTTTGTGGAAGAGCTACTTATTCGGTGTCAGAGGGAAAGGGGGCTCTACTTGGGGCAAATGGTATATCCATCATTGGCTGGGACAGGAGGCCCGAGTCTTCCAGTAGAACCATGGGAGGGAATAAGTGGTATGTGGTTCTGTTTCTTTTTTCTTCATTTGAGACGGGGTCTCATTCTGTCCCCCAGGCTGGATTGCAGTGGCATGATTTCAGCTTACTGCAACCTCCACCTCCCAGGTTCAAGCAATTCTCCTGCCTCAGCCTCCCAAGTATCTGGGACTACAGGCGAATGCTACCACACCCAACTAATTTTTGTATTTTTAGTAGAGACAGGATTTCACCATGTTGGCCAGGCTGGTCTTGAACTCCTGACCTCAAGTGATCAGCCCACCTCAGCCTGCTAAAGTGCTGGGATTACAGGCATGAGCCACCTTGCCTGGCTCTTTTTTCTCTTTATTTAATAGAAATGAGATTTCCCTGTGTTGCCCAAGCTGGTCTTGAACTCCTGGGTTTAAGGGATCCTCCCACCTCAGTCTCCCAAAGTGCTGAGATTACCAGCGTGAGCCCCCATGCCCAGCCTCTGTGGTTCATTTTCAAGGAAATTTTACCCAAGAGGACAACCTATGTCCTGACAGGACAAATGAATCCCGACAGGAGCTGGAACAGCTAAAGCCCAAGGGCTGAGGGTTGGGCTCCTTGGCCAAGGAGAGTGGCAACTCCTACATCAGGGAAACAGTTGTCAGAACCTTCAGCTGGAAAATCTCTGAAAACAGCAAAGCACATGAAACATGCAAGAAAAAGCAGCAATTGTTCATCCACCACATCCCAAGGACATCATCCCCAGATTACTGCTGCAGCTTCATGAACGTTGCACCCTTTACCCCTCTTCCTCTTTTCCCTCCAGCCTGAGCTTCCGACTCAGGTGTGTCAGAAACCAGGCTTGTGTGTGGGAAAAGAGAGGTTAGGACATGGTGGAAAAGCCAACATGCTTCAAATCCTGAAGCAAACCCATGCAAAGTTACGGAAAAGCATCAACTTGAATACATGTTTGGAGTTTTGATTATTACCTTGAACTGAACTGGGCTTTCTTTTTCTTTTCTTTGTATTGTTGTTGTTGTTGTTGTTTTGAGACAGAGTTTTGCTCTTGTCACCCAGGCTGGAATGCAGTGGTTCAATCAGCTCACTGCAACCTCCGCCTCCTGGGTTTAAAGCTATTCTCCTGCCTCAGTATCCCAAGTAGCTGGGACTACAGCCACCTGCCACCATGCCCAGCTAATTTTTGTATTTTCAGTAGAGACGGGGTTTCACCATGTTGGCCAGGCTGGTCTCAAACTCCTGACCTCAGGTGATCCACCCGCCTCGGCCTCCCAAAGTGCTGAGATTACAGACGTGAGCCACCGCGCCCAGCCCCTTTTTCTTTGCTTAACTTTTTATTATGGAAATTTTCAAACGTGCATCGGTGCAAGGAGAGTAGAATAATGATGTACCCATTAGCCAGCTTTAGCAATTATCAAGTCATGGTCAAACAGTTTTCATCCCTTCCCCTACCAATTTCTCCCCCTCCACTGGATTATGATGAAGCAAATCATAAACATTTTATTGTTTTATCAATAATTCAGTGTATGTTTCTATACAAAATAAGGACTATTTTAACATGATAATAGTGCCATTATTACATCTTTTTTTTTTTTTTTTTTGAGATGGTGTCTTGCTCTGTTGCTCAGGCTGGAGTGCAGTGGTACCATCTCAGCTCACTGCAACCTCCGCCCTCCAGGTTCAAGCGATTCTCCTGCCTCAGTCTCCCAAGTAGCTGGAATTACAGGCACACAGCACGACACTCCACTGACTTTTGTATTTTTAGTAGAGACAGGATTTCACCATGTTGGCCAGGCTGGTCTCGAACTCCTGACCTCACGTGATCCGCCCACCTTAGCCTCCCAAAGTGCTGGGATTATAGGTGTGAGCCACCACACCCAGCCCATTATTACATCTTAAAAAATAACAAGTTTCTCAGTATTATCAAACATCTCTTTAACATTCAAATTTGTCTAATTGTCTCATAACGTCTTTATACAGTTGATTTGCTTAACTCTTAATCCAAAGTCCAAACATGCTCATATGTCTCTTAAAGTCTCTTTTAATCTAAGGGTTCCCCCTTTGATTTATTTGTTGTTTTGTTTTGCTTTTGTTTTTTGAGACAGAGTCTGGCTCTGTTACCCAGGCTGGAGTACAGTGCTGCAATCCCAGCTCACTGCAACCTCCACCCACTGGGCTCAAGTGATCCTCCCACTTCAGCCTCCCGAGTAGGCGGGACTACAGGTGTGTGCCACCATGCCTGGCTAATTTTTTGTAGAAAAAGGGTTTCACCATGTTGTTCAGGCTGGTCTTAAGCTCCTGGGCTCAAGCAATCCACCCCCTTGACCTCCCAAAGTGCTGGGCTTACAGGCATGAGCCACCGTGCCCTGCCCTCTATGACTTATTTGTTACTGATACTGAGTCATTTGTCCTTAGCATGTTTTGTATTCTGGACTCATCCAATTGCATCTCCACAGTGTCATTTGTCAGGTTCGTTTATCTCTTGTATTTCCTGTAAACTCGAATTTATATCTCGAAGTTTGATTAGATTTGTGTTTGATTTTGTTTTCTCTTGGCAAGACTCCCGAGTTGCCAGTTTTGTGTACTTCCTCTTGCTTCACCTCAGGAGACATACAATGTCTGGTTGTCCTTCTTTTAAGATTAATCAGTGTGTTACAGTGTTGTCAGCTTCATATGACAGTTATACATTTTCCTATTGGCTTTTTGCGTAATAATTTTAACAGCCATTGATGATCATTGCCTACATTTATTATTTCATTGGCATTGCAAAACGATAGTATTCTGTCACTCCTTCATTGATTAGTTTCTTGGAAAAAAAGAACTTCCTCATTAAATACTTGATCACTGAATTGAAAGATAATTCTTCAAGAAAAGCAAGCAATATGTTTTATTTTTTTCCTTTGTTTCCAGTTTTCAGAAAAACAAGTTGGTTCTTCAGCATCCTCCAAAAGTGATCAAAAGGTTGGGATGCTTTTTTCAATTCTCTTTTGAACTCATTGTTTTAACATTTTTGCTGTTCTTCAATTCATGGCAATTATTATTCCTTTTGATACTCAAATTGTTCCATCTTTGGCAAGTGGGAACTCCTTGAATTTGGCTCCTATGAAGTGAACTTTTTAAAACCAAAACAAACAAAGGGACTATTTGTTTTTGTTTATGTTTTCCTTAAAGTGAGAAAAAAATATTGAGCCTCCTAAGTTTGCATTTAAAAGTTGGCAAAGATGAGTCTCAGTTAGTGGGTTTGATGGCTCTATGAGAAAGAGAATAAAATTACTTACGATGACACTCCATGTAGACTGAGCAAACGAAAGACTCCTAAGTATTGCAACAGCTACTGATGATATTTTGTTTTCCCGGATGAGAACACTTTGTGAAGTCTATAACTCTTTTCATCTGAACCAAGCAGGTGTAAAATGTACTTTCCTCAGAGGAGTTTGTAGTCTAGTTTGAGAAGATAGCACTGTATTATCTAGGTTTGCTGGTAGTGACAGAAACCTCAAAATAACTGAGACTTAGAAAATAGATATTAAAAAATGTAATCCAGGGCTGGCATGGAAGATCCATGGTCACCAGGGTCCCAGGCTCTTTCTATCTTATACTCCATTGTCCTCAACATTCAATTTCCACCTCATGATACTAGATAGCTGCTTCAGCTCCAACTGTTACCTCAATATTCTAGTCACAAGGCAGGAGGAAAAGGGAAAGAAAAGGGGATGACAGATCCCACTAAGGAAATTTCCTAGAAGTTGTGCACACGACTTCTGCTACATTCAGTTGACCAGAAGACAGTCATACAACTACACCTAGCTACAAGGGAGGCTAAAATTTGTAGTCTTTATTCTTGCTGGCCAGATGCCCAGATAACTGTCAGGGATTCTGTTACTCTAGTAAGAAGGAGAGAGTAGCTATTTGGGAATAGTAGCAATCCCTACCTCAAGCCCATACTCAGAAAAAAAAAATACTATCTTGTTTGGGCAGTGTATTTCCACACATATGTCTTAAGAATCTCAGAATGGGGGAGGTAATTTAAAATATACCAGTACCGTACCCTCCTGGGTGTCTTGATTATGCTGGGGCATCCAGTATATGAAATAAAATTAGGCTGTTGTCTGGTAATTTACATTTAAAAATAAACATTGGAGAATTTCACTCCTATACAGCAATAATTATTATTTCATTTATTATTTATCCCTACCCACTACATGCAATATCTGCTTACACTAAAATCTCTTGATTATTAACATAGTAGAGGTAACTGTCACACATTATACTTCAACTATGTACTAACTCTAAGGTGACATGTATGACTAGCACCTACCATTCATAAGATGTATGGGATTCAGTCCTCCAAAGGACCCTCACAAGGAAGCTAAGGATCAGAGAAGTCATGGCTTGCTCAAAGAGAAACAGCATAGTAAGTGACAGAGCTGGGAATCCAACACAAGTTTGTCTGTTTTCAAAGCCCACATATACTTTGTTTATTATGCCATTCTGAAGGATTCACTTATTTTTCACTCTTCCACAAAACGTCAGGACAGAAAGGCAGTCATCTATATGTAGCATTGAGAAATTTCTATGGGCTTTAATTTAAATCTTAAAAACTAATAAACTTCAGCAACATATTTCTTCACTTTAATGTGTGAGGGTTTTGTGCTCATTACCTCTTTTAATTGTCCAACCCAATTTGGTGATGATCCATTCAACAAATTTTTCTTGAACATCTGTTTTATGTGTCAGGTACTGTGATGGTTGCTGAGTATATCATGGTAAGCAAAACCACACATTGTCCTTACTCCTTGTGCTACATGATTTAACTGCTGGATGGATTAAACCAGGAACTATAAAGATTAAACTGTAATCCTTACCACAATTTTGAGTTTACAGTTTTTCAAATATCATTTCAAGCCATTAGCAAAGGCTGTATGTATTTTTTACATATGCCTCCTCGTTTTGTGAATTTTGAAAGGATGTGGTTTCGGCCTTTGACATCAGAGGAGAAGCTCAGCTATGTTGGCTGAACGTTGATAGAAAGATAACGTTGAAGGCAAGTTGCCCTTGAGCAGCTCTCTGAAGATCAACTGCCTCCACATTGCATTCTTTGCCCCAAAACTCTTTCCTTTGGTTGTGCTAAGAGGTGATGCCCAAGGTGCACCACCTTTCAAGAACTGGATCATGAACAACTTTATCCTCCTGGAAGAACAGCTCATCAAGAAATCCCAACAAAAGAGAAGAACTTCTCCCTCGAACTTTAAAGTCCGCTTCTTTGTGTTAACCAAAGCCAGCCTGGCATACTTTGAAGATCGTCATGGGGTATGTGAGCAGTTTCATTTGTCTTTTTTCGCATAGCATTTTATGTTTGGACTGGGCTAATGCAAAAATATATACATAGCATAAAATAGAGCACAGGAAACACAAACATGCTTATTGTAACAACATAAAAAGTACAGTAAAAGTAATCAGAGGAGAATGCAGAGAGCAGTCAAGAGGTGAAATGGTGGTGCTAGGTGATTTCAGTTCTAAAAACTGTAAATTTAACATTCATCAGCTTTTTCCCCCTGCAAGGTTATGTTTGGTTTTTAAATTATGAATAACATTTTAGGTAGCAAGTATTATGATTCGATAAAACTTGAACTTTCTATGAAACATACTAAATTTAATGAAACATACTAAATTTAATGAAACATAGATTAATACAACACTAGCATTCAATGGGATGATCTACCCCAGCTTTCTTATTTTTTAGTGGAAGAAACTGGTGTTTAGAATGGTTAAGTTTTGGGTTCAGTGTTAACGTTTTCATGAATAACTCTGTTTGTCTCAATACTCGTCGCTAGCCTGATCTTGAAATAAGATTTCCCAGGCATTTAATTATCTAAAAGTTGTAAGGCACAATGGCAAACCTCTTCATCTCTTGATAGACTTCTTAGGACACCAGGGTTATTAAGAACAAAGTTTCTGCAGTGCAGACCAGCGGTTCTTACCCAGAAGGAGTATGGCTGCTTTGCTAGGTCAGTCTATCTCTTTATCTAAAAATAGTCTTGTGCTTCTTAACATCACTAATAACAAAAGCAACAGGAATAATCCTAATAATGTAGTTTGGTAGAAAAAGCATTGGACAAAGGGTCAGGAGACCAAACTCTACTTCTCAGTAGGTGATCCAGTCTGGGCAAATGTCTACCTCCTGTTTCAGGTTCTTTCTTCATAAAATGAAAAAACTGGAAATAACAACCTTCAAGATCCCTTTCTTCTTCAAAACTTCTTTGCTTTATGCAGTGGCTCTTGTTTAGCCCTATGCTGCAATTTTTCAAAGCATGTTTGATTTCTTACTGTATGGTTATATTATTTTTACATCATTAGTGGGGTAGGACAAGGATTATCACTTATATTTTACTGAAGGGAAAATAATATTAGGTGCCTGATGGTCACTTAGAAACAAAAGTGCTCCAGTTCTTTGTTGGAGTCTGACTTAGTAGGTGGTGGCATGAGTTTGGGATTCTTTGGTGTGCCAGGGTTTAAAGCACTTCATGAGATGGAGCTCCAGAGGAGGTCAGGCTGGGTATAGAGCCTATGGATGCCTCACTTTTTAAAGTTGCAGGTGTTGCATGTCTTTTGTGAATTAAAAAAATACAGAAAACAAAAAAGTTGCAGGCGAAATAGCTCTGCCTCTTTAGAAGTGAAAAGAATTGCTTGTCTTATTATCAGACTCTTACTGATAACAATTTACCAGTCAATCAGAAAACACATGGAATTACGTGCAAGTCCTCTTTGCTAGGTGGCCAGGAGCCCAGTTTGTGAACTTGGGGGATTTATCATGTAGAGCTAATAAATCGCATGGCATTACTCAATGCTTTTTTGTGAATGGAACATTTAAAGTTTTTGTTTCATATTGAAAGAACAGTCATGTACCTTTAAATATTTTTTTCAAAGTCCATTTTGCAGTTTTCACCAGTTCGTTTTTCTGATTCAACATAGTATCATCTCATTTAGTTAGTATTAATAATTCCTTAGCCCAACTGCTATTTGTGAACTGATTGTGAATTCAGCTCAATATTATTTGTAAGTAATCACAAAACCAGATGGCCTTAATTCAGAATATTATTGGTCATAATTTGCATGTAGACAAGGTTGTAAAATCACCCTACTTCTTTATCTGAGCATTATGGAAAATTTCAAGACAATTACTTCATTCTGGGGAGCCCTAGGCTACAGTTTCTAATTCTTCCATGTGAGATATAGAGAATACATGTCCAAACATCAAATTTCTTGTTTTCTAATGCCTTTTTTACTCTTATAAATAACATTTTAAAAGTATTTCTTTAATTATTTAATTATTATAGAAGTTTATTAATTAGAAATTTATCCAAGTTCCCTGAAAAAGGTAATATATGTGAATTATTATTGTTCATGTCTTAGGTATACTACATGGTTTCAGGCCACCAATTTGCACACAAGGCTGCATTAATATTACTCATAAGTAAATAACATTACACTTATGGGAAGAACATTTTCATTTTTAAATTAAAGGCTTCATTTTCAATCTGTAAAATGGGTGTGATAATAGTACCCATTTCATAGGAAGATGGCAAAGACTCAGAGGTATAATGTCTTTAGGCTGAACTTTTTGAAATTATTTGGCAGATCGAATATCAGATATTAGAAGTTTCAAACAATTCAACTTAATATATTAGGTACTTAGCATAGGCCCTGTCATCTGGTAAGCATCTAGTAAAAATTAACCATTATTTGTATCCCTTTCATGTCTCTACAGAAGCTAGCAGGCTGTCATAACAATTCATTTTCAAATTATGGGAGATATTCAAGGATTCTTCAAAGTCAAGCTAAGATCAGGGTCCTGGATTCCTTCTATTCTGTGGCTAAATATAAGTTTTGTGGGGTAGATATACATGCATTATGAGCTGTTTGGCCAGTTATTGCCCCTCTTAGGGTGTCGGGTGTCAGAGCTTCTTTTTCTCTTTTCTCATGTGTAAAATTATGATTCTTGCAGTTCTCATATTCTATGAATTTATAACACCATATGAAAAATAACCCTTCTACATACTCAAGAACATATTCTGTAATTCTAGAAATCAAGTATGTTTATTCTAACCTAAAAAATCATGCCTATTGTCATTATAATACTAATTGATTGAGGTTTTACTTTAACATGGTTTTAGTTCTGGTGTTCGATGCCTGTTTTTCCTGTTGAGATGTGCAAGTGTTTTCAGAGGGGCCAAGAAGCGCCTTCATCTTGCTGGAGCAGTGGGCCAGAAAGAAGCATAGATTTGGCAGGTGGTAGCTTGCAGACAGACATGATTTCAGAGGCTCTCCTGTGCCTGTCAATTTTTTTCCAAGTTGTCCCTGATGCCTGAAATTCTATGACAGAGGACAATGAGAGATAAGGGCACATGGATGTCCTGGTAAATGCTTAGGAATCCGAGTACAGGGCTTGTTGGAGAGCCCTGATTCATAGTGTTTGCCAATTCCTTTGGTGTAAATATTCCCATCATGGCCCATTTTAAACTACCAATGTGATGTCTGCTGGCTCACAGATTCCTGAAAACTTAACAATTAGCTACCTCGGGCCAGTACAAGCCGAGTCCAGCACACCGTCGGCAAGCCTAAGTACAAATGATCCTTGGAGAGGTAGCCACCAACTAAACAGCATACTTAGTTGCATGTGACTGATATCGGATCCTTTTCAGCGGTAAAGGGAAAATGGAGAGCCTCAGGCACTTTGAGTAAGCACAGGATGGAAGAGGCAGCCTAAATGGGAATAAAGCATCATAGATTGGTGTGGCTCACGTGGCCACTTTCTAGATGTGGGATCTCAGACCAGACACTTGACCTCTTTCTGCCTGTGTCCTATTTGTAAAGTAAGGACCCCAACACTACCTACTTCAAGTGATGTTGAGTATTTCATGAGAAAAGTATGTTATAAGCTTTTTACCAATTGCTACATGGTAAGGTGATTATTACTCACAATTTTGCCCAAGCACCACCTTGGTCTTCTGAAAGCCCCTCTGGAGAACTGGAAAGGTTCTCCTATTTTGATGACTCTTTGCCCCTTAGGGATCAAGTGTGCTGTGCTCCTTATGATGTGGGAGGCATTATCATTTACATGGAACAAGAGAAACAGTCAAGATCACCATTCCAGTAAGCATCTGGGTGAGGGTCTCCACTCCTCATGGCCTTTTCCCTTTAGCCTACAGTCTTATCTAGCAACAGAACCATCTCCTGCTTGCAGCAAGCATCCTTTCTAAATTAAAGATGGTAGGTGGGGAGATGGTCCCCTTTCCTTGCTTTTGAAAGCATTACTGCTAGTGATCACAAACACTGCTTCTGGAATCAGACAGATCTGGGTCAAAAACTAGCTCACATTTGATCTGTGTGATTTTGTATAAATTATATAATGCTGTGCAATTCTCTAAAAAGCTATCTTTTTTTTTTTTTTTAGACAGAGTCTTGCTGTGTCACCCAGGCTGGAGCACAGTGGTGCCACCTTGGTTCACTGCAACCTCTGCCTCCCAGGTTCAAGTGATTCCTCTGCCTCAGCCTCTTGAGTAGCTGGAACTACGGGTGCGCGCCATCATGCTTGGCTAATTTTTGTATTTTTTTTTAGTAGAGACGGGGTTTCACCATATTGGCCAGCTGGTCTCGAACTCCTGACCTCATGGTCTGCCCACCTCGGCCTCCCAAAGTGCTGGGATTACAGATGTGAGCCATCGCGCCTGGCCTATGTTTTTAAAATAATTAAGCAAGGCCAGACACAGAGACTCACGCCTGCAATCCCAACATTTTGGGAGGCCTAGGTGGGCGGATCACTTGAGCCCAGGAATTTGAAACCAGCCTGGGCAACATGGTGAGACTCCGTCTCCACAAAAAAAAAAAAAAAGCCAGATGTGGTGCTGCATGCCTGTAGTCCCAGTTACACAGGAGGGTGAGGTGGGAGGATCCCTTGAGCCCAGGAGGTTGAGACTGCAGTGAGCTGTGATCATGCCACTGTAATCCAGCCTGGGCAACAGGCTGAGACCTGGTCTCAAAAATAAAATAAAATAATTAAACATTCCTTCATGATCTTATTTCCTTTTAATAAGATGGAGGTCACCTTTATTCTCATAAGATAGTAACTAACATTTACTGAGCACTTACTACATGTCCAACACTGTGCAAAAATGTGAATTATTTCACCTAACCATTATAACCACTCTGTAAGTTAGGAACTGTTATTACCCCAATTTGTAGGTCAAGAAATTGAGACAAAGAGGGTTTAAACAACTTGCCTGATGTCCCACGTCTCTAGAGTCTACATTACTCTCTGATAAATAGTACTTATTACCATAGTTGTTACTCATAGGTAATCAGGGATTCCATTGGGTTATTACACAGTATGCAATACATTCTTGCTCTGAAGTCCCCAGTGTAAAGGACAGTCCTGAAAATTGGTACCCCCTGCCAAATGGGTCTTCTGCAATGAAATATTTTAGGACCTCTACGTTTTCCACAAATGCCCCAGGACAAATCCTTGTCTTTATTCACTTCAAGAAGCCCCGCTATGTGTCTTAAAAAAAAAAAAAAAGAGAGAGAGAGAGGCGGGCACGATGGCCCATGCCTGTAATTCCAGCACTTTGGGAGGCTGGGGCAGGTGGATCACCTGAGGGCAGGAGTTCACGAGCAGCCTGGCTAATATGGTAAAACCCCATTTCTACTAAAAACACAAAAAGTTAGCCAGGCATGGTGGCAGATGCCTGTAATCCCAGCTACTCGGGAGGCTGAAGCAGGAGAATTGCTTGAACCCAGGAGGCAGAGGTTGCAGAGAGCCAAGATTGTGCGATTGCACTCCAGCCTGGGCAACAAGAGTGAAACTCCGTCTCAAAAAAAGAGAGAGAGAGAGAGAGAGAGAGAGAGCCTTGGCAAGCTTTGCCTCCTAAAGTTCTCCTAGAATCTCCCCAGATTCCCACAGGATATCTCTCACCTGGGACTGTCAGCATATCTATCACCTGGGACTGCTACCACCTCTCATGTTGTCCCTGCACCCGCTTCACCCCTGCCTGCCACTTCATCCTCCACATGGCAACCAGCACCAGCTTTTCACATGTGACTGTAGTCAAGTCCTGATGACCTTCATCAGACGTTGATGTGTCCCTACAGCGGCTCTCCCCATTGCCCTAACGATGGACACCAGCAGAATCTAACACATGGTCTCGTCTGTCTCAGCTCATGTCTCACTTTCCCTCATCTCTGGAATCCAACCACACCAGGTTTTCTTCAACGTTAAAGCCTCCGTTTTAAGTGTCACTTACTTGGGAAAGCCTTCCTTGATGTCCCTAGACTAAGTCATGTCCTCCTGTCCTGTTCTACCACAGCACCAGGTGTCCTTTCTTCACAGCACATGCTGAAGTTGTAACTACTCATTTGTTAATGTGATGATGTATTAATGTAATTTCCCCACCTCACCCTCCATTGAACTATCAGCTTTATGAGAGCAGGCACCCAAGTTGATAAAGATGGCCTTGCCAGTGTCTACAAGAGTGTCTGGCACACACTATTCACTCATGCATCATTTGTGGAGGGAATAAAAGGAGAAAGGGAGAAAAGAAAGGAGGGAGTAAGGACATAAGGTATAGATTCAGCTGGAGAGGTTAGAGACACAAACGAAGCTCAAATAGAGAAGGTTCAATACCCAAATAATAGAGACCAAGGCAAGTGACATAGGACTTCAAAAGGGAGATTACTGGGTGTAGAAACAAGTAACAAAGACTCCCTGGAGGTAGTAGTGTGTGGCCTATCGTTGAACAAGGAAGAGGAAGATTCAGATATTCAGGTGGTTGGAATTTTAAGTGCTGGGTCAGAAAGGCACATGTAGGAACTAGCAGGAGGGCCGGGTCCCAGCCCTCAACTCTTTTTAGGAGAATTAAGCAACTCTTTTCTCCTTTTTCCTCTGCCTGTCTTACCCCTCCTTCCTTGCCTTTTACAGCTAAAGCCTCCGTAGATAATATTCTTTTTTTTTTTCTTGACCCAGAACCTTGCTCTGTTGCCCAGGCTGGGGTACAGTGGTGGGATCACAGCTCACTGTAGCCTCAGCTTCCCAGGCTCAAGTGATCCTTCTGCCTCAACCTCCTGAGTTTCTGGGACTAGAGGCATGCACCATCATCCTTGGCTATTTAAAAAAAAAATTTATAGAGACAGGGTCTCACTATATTGCCCAGGCTGTTCTCAAATTCCTGGGCTCAAGCAATCCTCCTGCCTCAGCCTCCAAAAGTGCTGGGATTACAGGCATGAGCCACCATGCCTCGCCATGCAGATAATATTCTTAAAACTACCCAGGCATTTTTACTTGTGACATTGAGCAGTCATGGGCTCTCTTCTCTTCATTCCCATGTCATTCAGTTGCCTTCCAGCTGGGCTTCTGCTGGCATTTGAAGTTTTTTACAGTCTGTTATCCACACAACACCTAGAATGAACCTTAAAATTTTAAATCAGATACTACTTTCTACCTTAAAACCCTCCATGGCTATTTAGGGTATTTAAATAAATTCTCAACTATGCCCTTCAAGACCCTTCATCCTGTGGTCCCAGCCTGCCTTCTTTATTTCACTTCACACCACACTCCCTTTATGTGCTTCTGTCACATCTGCCTTCTTCCTGAACCATAAGCACTCCAAGCTCAAGGTCTCAGCAGGGCCTTTGTACAGGGCCAGGACTAGGGTGAGACAAGTGAGACACACACATAAAATGGCACTCATTCTCAGGATGCAGGATCTTTGCATTAGCTGTTTCCACTGTCTCAAACACCCCAGATTTTTGCAGGAGGGTTTGTTTGTTTGCTTGTTTGTCTGAAACATGGTCTTGCTCTGTTACCCAGGCTAGAATGCAGTGGCGGAATCTTGGGTCACTGCAACCTCTGCCTTTCAGACTCAAGCGATCCTCTCGACTAGCTGGGACTACAGAAGTGCATCACCACGCCTGGCTAATTCTGTTGTTGATTTATTTCCCATCTCTTCAAAGCACATAGATACCTTAGTATCTGCATTTATTTGTTAGGTTTATGGATCTGCTTCCCTGTTTAATTTCTGTCTGTCCATCTAATGGAAGGGCAGTTCCATGAGAGCAGAGATCTTGACTGTCTTCTTCATCACAGTATCACCATCATCTAAAACAGTTCTGGGCACTGGTTAGTTGTAGTAGGTGATCAGTAAATATCCGGGGAATGAATGAAGGTCACATAACTCATGTTGCATTCAGAAAAGCATCTGAAAGCTAAAAATGTGGGCCTTGTCTAGCCACACAGAGACAAGAAAGGGCCCAAGCAAAGTACTTTGCAATTGAGACATGCACAGTTTGCATCTGTTTTAATGGAGTGTCATCATGAATTGATCTTTGCCTGTGTAATGTGAGGTTAATGTTTTATGGAGATAACCGTTGTATTGATATTTTCTTTTCTCACAATAAAATTAGATTTGATTCCTACTGTTCAGGGACTGGTACACCCATTCATCAGTTTCTGCAGTAGAAATAGCCCACAGAGAAATACTATAAACACGAGAGTTTAGATTCTGACTCAGTCTGAAAGAAAGCAGAAGAGCTCAGTTTCAGCCTGGGCACAGTGGCTTATGCCTGTAATCCTCGCACTTTGGGAGGCCAAGGCGGGCGGATTACCTGAACTCAGGAGTTTGAGACAAGCCTAGCCAACATGGCGAAACCCTATCTCTACTAAAAATACAAAAAATTAGTCAGGCGTGGTGGCATATGCCTGTAATCTCAGCTACTTGAAAGGCTGAAGCAGGAGAATTGCTTGAACCCAGGAGGCAGAGGTTGCAGTAGGCTGAGATCGCACCACTGCACTCCAGCCTGGGCGACACAGCAAGGTGCTGTCACAAAACAGAAAAAAAGGAAAAGAAGAAGAGCTCAGTTTCTTGAACTACAAGCTCCATGTAAAACAAGACATGTAAATATCAAACGTGGAAATCGTGTCTACAAAAAACTATTTTAAAGCTCTTCGCAAATGTTCATGGACCAAATAGTAAATCCTCATTCCACCCTCATTTTCTTAACGAACTAATAATACATTCCTCCCATTCATCAGTGAATTATGAGGCCTACTGGAAAAAGTAGACCTTCCAGGACATAATTTTCATCCAGAGGTCAGTTTGGGTTTGGCTTCATGACACTCAGAGGCCTCACTAAAAGTGATCCTAAGGAGAAAACAGGTCTGTAATGCCTTCCCATGCATATAAAAGTCCCCTTTTGGATCAACAGTCTTCTCAGTTCCTTGAAATTCAGTAAAAGTTTTCTGTATTTTAATAAAATAAGAGCTAGATACAGGTTCTTATGTCTTATGTTGCCATATAATTCCTATTAACCTAAAGTTATTTGTAAGTAGGCTTCTCATTATATTTTTCCTTTTCTGATATTTAAAAAGTCACAGAAATTATAACTGTTTGTTATAAAAATTCAACTATAGGGATTTTTCCCCCCAAACTTCATATATTTTGCCATATCTTTATTATGATTATTATTGGTTTGTTTGTTTTTATTGACTCTGTATCAAGGAAACGTTTCTGTGTTGGTACATTTCAATTTATTCATTTGTTCCGCAAACATTTTGTAAATAGCTGCTCTGTGCCAGGCACCACGCTAGATGTGAGGAACGCAGTGGTAAGTAATGGAGGCAGGTGTCTTAGGTTGGTGCACAAGTAACTGAGGTTTTTAATTGAGGTCAATTACTTGTGCACCACCCTAATAGCTTGCATTCTAGGGGATGGGACAGACAGCAAGCAAGTGTATAACTGCATAGGGCAGATAGAGAATGTGGTAGGTTCTATGGCAAGACCAGGCAGCCACTCTGGCTGAACTGGGAGGTGGGGTGGTCAGAGAAGGAATTTATAGCTAAACTGAAGTTTGAGGAAATAACTAGTTAAATGAAGAAATGGGAAAGAGCATTCTGGGCAGAGGGAACGGCAAGTACAAAGACCCTGAGGAAGGAAAAAGCTTGGCTTGCGTGAGGAACAGAGATTTGAACATGCAGAGTTCAAGAGAGGGGCACAAGACGAGGGGCAGAAGCCAAACTCTGCAGGCCCTTGTGGATCATGGCAAGGAGTTTGGATTTGATTCCAACTCCCATGAAAAGTTTCCAAGGTTGAAGCAGTGGGTGTGAGTCCCTCCATCTAGAAGTGAACTGACAGCTATGGGGTCAGCAGATTATACAATGGCCAAGAATAGAAGCCAGGAAGCTGGGTACAGTCTCCTGCAGTGGTCTCCTGGGCCATTGTGTAGTGTCCCATCCTACGAGTTGTTCTTCAGTTGTCTTATGTTTTTTTATTTATTTATTTATTTATTTTATTTTTTTATTTTTGAGACGGAGTCTCACTCTGTCACCCAGGCTGGAGTGCAGTGGCACAGTCTCGGCTCACTGCAACCTCCGCAGTGGTCTTATGTTTTAACTTTTTTGTGGCATCCTTCTTCCTGGGGGTACTTTGTCCAGAATCATCTCACTCCATGTTTTGATGGGAAAGTGCCTGGTGTATAACCTGCGTCAGGATCAACACTGAGCTCAGATAGACAGTAGCAGCAAAGACTGAAACCAAATTAGAATTGAGTTAAATCAGCTTTGATTAATCTCAAGACAGAGCAAGGAATATTCTGATCCTCATATTGTCAAAAAAAATTAATGAACCAAGTACATTCAGAATGTTTTCTATAATTTGGTCTGAAGACATCAATTTACTATCTGTGTCAGCACTGGTCTTTTCCCTCATGCAGATGTATCTTTTGCAGAGTTATAATCATAATGCATGACAATTTTATATTCTACTTTTCTATCTATTCTTTCATATAAATGTATTTCCATATATCTACAATGCCTCCAAAGTAATCATTTTTCATATATATGATTTTTTAATGGTTGAGTCAGTTCATTGCAAGAACATGCTTATCTATTTTATATACGTGGAGGAATAGGTGAACTTATCTGTTAGCTATGGTTCAACATTCAGGTTGTTTCCAGGTATAATGAAAACACCAAAAAAAAGCAGTATACATAATATAGGGCTGTCTCATTTTTAAAATCAGCTTCTTAGGATAGAGTGCCCCAAATAGGATAATTGTGTCACAGGATAAGAACATTTTCTGGTCTTGATCATTTATTGCTACATCATCTTCCAAAGAGATTGAAGAAGCAGTGTGTGGGCCACCAAAAGCGGCACCATGTTTGTTTTCAGAACCATTAGAGAAGATTATGTTTCTAAAAAGGAACTAATAGAAACAAAAGAATCTCACTGTTGTGATTTTCAAGTACTCCATTTTGAATGTTTTAGTGAGAGAGAGGGGAAAATACGTGATCTTTTATACATAGGTGAGATGGTTTGGTTTAAAGTCAGTGTCACATGTATGTAGATGAACCCACCACCTGCATAGTTGGATTTAAGGGGTGCCAAAAGGTCTCCTACTCTGCAAAACCTGAATGCCCGAACTGACTGTCACAGAGTAGGGGTGGTCTGAAAGGTTCCCATGAATGAGCTCTTTGGGTTAGGTCATGAAACACCTTATCAAGGAGCAAATGAAATACAAGAAGGTGTCACAGGAGCCACTTTTGACTGTTCCGTAGAAGTTAGTTTTAATTTTAGACAGGGCCTATGACACTGAAATTCTCAGGCTGTAATTCCAGAAAAGCGGATGAGGTGAGCAAGGAACAACAGGGCAGCCTAATAGAAAAGAGATTTGGACCCGGGTCACCGGGCTAATTCTTTACTCTCTCTGGGATTTAGCTTTCTTGTCCATAAAATCAAAGGATTCAGCTGATCAATGCTTTTTCAAAATTTAAAAAACATTTTAATATAAAATTATACAAGCCATCACCATCCCCACATATAAAACAGAGAGAAGTGGAAGTTCTCTGCTTGAAGCAGGGCAGGGAAACTGCCCAGAACCCTATGCCCCTTGGCCTGTCCCTTACTTTCAGGGATCAACAAGTTATCTTCCAACTCTGTGACCCTTCCCCCTGGGATGTAAATTGAATAGTAGAAATGAAAAGACAAAGCCAGTTTAGAAAGTCACCTTGAAACCTCATTGTCCTCATCTCTAACATTATAAAGTTGGACTGAATGATTTCTAAAGACTCTTCCAGTTCAAAAACATGGAAACTTGGCTCACATTTGTAATACCAACACTTTGAGAGGTTGGCATTACAGGATCTCTTGACGGCACGAGTTTGAGACCAGCCTGGGTAACATAGTGAGATCCCATCTCCACAAAAACAAAAAATAAAAAAATTAGCTGGGCATGGTTGTGCACACCTATAGTCCAGCTATTTGGGAAGCTGAGGGAAGAGGATTGCTTAAGCCCAGGAGTTTAAGGTTGCAGTGAGCTATGATTGCACCACTGCACTCCAGCCTGGGCTACAGAGCGAGACCCTATCTCTCTTTGTTTTTAAGTGGAAATTGTGTATCTCTGCCAATTATATCAGGAATTCACAAAAAGTGATGGAGATTAGCCAAACATGGAAATCTTTCCAGGAAGTAATACCTTTAGGGTGATTAATAACTGTGTGGCTCATGAGAAAGCATGTTGTCAAAATACAAGCATGACCCCAAGAACGCACCCTAAAAATGAAGTCAGACATTTCATGTGTAACCAATACAAAATCTGAAATAATAACAGCCAATATTTAATGAGTTCTCGCTGTGTTTCATAGCATCAAGGTTAAGTGTTTTATATGTCTTATATCATAAATATTCACAATAACCACATTCATTATGTTATCCTATTGTTATCCCCATGTCATTTATGAGAAGGCTGAGGTTTATAGAAACTAAGTATCTCTATCTAGGTTACACATATAGGACGAATATTAAAAGTTGGATTAAATGTTCTTCAATGGACATTTTCAGATCTAAGCTTGTTTGGGTCTGATAAGTCTTTTAATAGAAGCTGAAAAGGCAGAGTTGGGGCAAGGATTTGTTGGTGAGTTTCTAACATAATCCAATAGAGGTGTTGAGTCGGGACCAGCAGGCTTGCTCCAGATTGCCCAGCAGACTTACCCGAAAGACAGCAGAAACATCATCAACAGCAACAATTTTTTTTAAAAAACCACAATAGTTAGCATCACTACAAGAAGAGGACTGAACACTTTGTTAAGTATTTTCTCATTTCCTCCTTACAATTCTTTGAACAAGATAAAAGTAAAATTTTGTTTTGGTGAGGAAGCAATGGAGCTACGAGGACGGTAAGTAATTTACCCAAGGAAGCAAAGTGAAAAGTGTAAAGGCAACAGCATGCCTTAGGACATAAGGATTCCCTATACTTTGCTCCTACATACATTAGTGTGACCTGTCCTGATATCTCTGTGGTTACCCAAGTAGAATTACATTTTGCAAGAAGGTAATTCTACTTACCTTCACGACTGCGAGCATCTCAGCCAGTTTCTCGCTGCGAGTTTGTGAATTCGCCAGTCTTTGGTGACTTTGCAGAGTGTGTTTCCATTCACCTGAACTCTATGGGCTGACAAACATGAGTTCCTGGACTTGTAAACCTGAGGATCTGTTCCTGGGGTGGCCTCTGACAAGGAAAGATGCTGTATCCGCCTCAGCACTATTTAATTTTCCAGATTAACAACTAATAGCAGCATTAGCCACTTATTGAGCCTTTTCTGGGAATAACATTCTGGGAAAGCTATATCCAAAGTGGTAATACAAGGAGTACCAGGAGGAAAGTATTAGCCTAGCGAAGTGACCCAGAAAGGGAGTTTGAGGGAGCTAATACCAAACCTCACCCTTTTCCACAATCCATGCTGAGGCCATTTCCATGACAATGATCCAATTTGGTGTTTCCCAAAGTGGGGTACTATCAGGAGCACACAAGATGGCACATGGACAAATCTGGTTTTAACATGTCTTTAATAGTTATGTATCTACTATAATTTATGTTAGAAATAAGTGTTTTAAAATTTATGGTGGTAATTTAAAGTTTCCTCCTAGAATAAATTTGTTTATGTGGAAAAAATAAGTCAATTGAAAGAATACTATTGAGCAGACAATACTATTTGAGGGAACTAGGGTATGGTAGAAATTGCCAAGCTAAGTTGGAAACTGAAGCCTGGGAGCACTGAATCCTTGGGATAACAACATGAATCATAATTCATTATAATTTGCTTTTAAGTAGTTCCAAGAGTGAAATGTAATAACCTCCACTGGACATTTGGAGACGCAGAGGTGATCCACAGAGTCCAGGGCACTTGAAGATATTGGGTTGCTGCAAAAGTAATTGTGGTTTTTGCCATTAATAGATATAAGCACAGAGGAGCAGGGAAGATGGTCAAAAGAGATCCCAGGCCCCCACGTTCTGCCAGAGCACAGTGAGCAAATGAGCCTCCTGCCACAAACTGAACCCACATTTCTCTCAATCCAAGAAAAGGCTGTTCTAATTCCAAACAAGCTCATTGTAAACCTCAATAACATGAAGTTAGTATTGTTCACGTTGCTTTCCAACTGTGTTTCAGATTTATATAACTGGTTCCTAACACATAATTAACTGCTGTTGGAATGAATCTTTGTCCCCTTGCCTCCGTGCCTGCTGGACTTCATATCTGTGTATTAATAGTCACTTTTGTTTGGCGATCTTGTGAAAAATGCAGACTAATTTTTAATCCTTAAAGAGATAATACATTCACATAATTTTATTTTTATTTTTTCAGATAATGGCCTTTCGCCATGTGGCACATTTCAATAATTTTAAAAAAACAGTTGCAAAATGTTATGCAGTAACAAATCTCCCATCTTTGTCCCAAGTCACATTGCTGTCCTACATCACAGCAACCACGATAGTTAATTTCTTATAAGTTCTTCCAATAATACTTTATACATATACTTGTAATACTAATAAACATTCTTCTTTTCTTCCTTTTTAAATAGTAGTAACATACTCTGCACACACTTCTTAACTTTTCTTTTAGTTGGTTAACAATGTATCCTGGAGATTGATCCACACTGATACACAAAGATATTCTTCATTCTGTTTATGGTTGCATAATACTTCATTGTATGCATGAAAAATTTCTTTTAATGAAGGTTGGTCTGTTTCCAGTTTTTGTTATTATGCACAATGAGAAATGAACAGCCTTGTAGATGTGTCATTTTCCATAAATACTTTTATAACAGTGGTTCTCAACCAAAGGTGATTTTGCCCACCAGGGGACATTTGACAAAACCTGGGGAAATTTTTGGTTGTTATAAGTGGGGAGGAGGGTGCCACCAACATCTAGTGGGTAGAAGCTGAGGGTGCTGCTAAATATCCTACAATTCACAGGACAGACTCACAACAAAAAATTATTCAGCCCAAAATGTCAATAATGCTGAGGCTGAGAAGCTCCAGTCTGTAGAAAACATTTCTAGAAGTGGAATTGCTGAGTCAAAGGATATTTGCATCTGTTATTTTGTTGACTATGAGCAAATTACTCTCTACAGAAGTTGTACCAGTGAACATTCCCCAGGGCCACATGTGAGAAGCATGTTTTCTCAAAACCTCACAAACACCATTATCTTATGTTTTGATCTTTGCTAATCTGATAGGGGTTTAAAAAATAGTACTTAAGTATAATTTATTTGCATTTCTGTTGTTATAGTGACATTAAGCATCTTTCCATATGCTTAAATATATTCCTTTTGTTCATTTTCCTATAAGTTTATTAGTATTTTATTTAATTTGTAGGAGCTCTTTAACTACCAGCTAAACACTTTGGGCAGACTAGTTTTAACCTACATTTTCATTGTCAAGAGATTTTTATCCACCTGCCAATTTTTCTGGAAATCTTATTCCAAATCATTTCCATTAAAAGTTTTGTCATAGGGTTCACAATAATCACTTTCTGCTGCATACTTGGTTTTACTTGCTGTTCCTTCAATCAATTAACAGATATTAATTGAACATCGCCTCAGTGCAAGCAGTTATTTCCTGAAATGCAATGAAGTTTTTATGCACTTATGTATTTTGGCTACTGGTCCTTCAGTGCTTAAAAAGAAGACACAAAAAATACGTTCTTTCAAACTCATTTAACATTTCATATTTCTTATTCTGGGAGGAAGGTCTTTGAAGGAATATTCACAGCTCAGAGATACTGACAGAAACAATACAGAGGATGCCTTGAGAATCTACTTTATGCTTGGAAAATATCACTTAGTTCTTGCTCCTAATTTCCACATAAGTCCTTTTCTCTCTGCTCCCTTTTGTAAGAAAATCTAAACACACATGTTTTCAACATGCTAGGATCATGTTACCTTGATCTAGTAAGAATGGGGCTTGGACATTATTCCTGAGTTATCATTTCACTTATAAGATAAATATACCCATATAAAAGCACACTGAATTACTTTATTAGAATCTATGAAGAAAAAGGCTATCCCTCAAGAAGAACATGAGAGAGACTGTCATGTACTTGAACCCCCATGGATACAGATGAGCAGGTGGCAGGTGCTCTCTAGCTGCTGCTCACTGCTAATGGGGTTATGCGGTTACAAGGGCGTGCATCATTTCGCACACCCAGCATTTGATGCATACCCCTTATTCCTCTCCCATAATCATCTAAGTTGACACTATGATGTTTTTGAAACTTCTAACTGTATTAAAATATTATTTTCATTTCTCTGCTTTTCCTCCTGCTTCACACTCTCTGTAAAAACTTCAAATATCATAAGAATATATAACTTTGTGAAATTCTGCCACAGTGGAACCTACAACAAAGAACCAGTGTTAGCAGCTTGGAATGTTTTTCTTCTTGTATTATTTCTTTGGATATTGCATATACTAATACATAATCTCTTCTTCCAAAAATGGGATGATGCTCCATCTGTTGCTTTAAATCTGCTCTTTAACACTTGGTATATACTTTTGTCCCTCTGTATAGATGAACTTTATTATCTGTTAATGGTTACAGAGTAGTCATTATGTATGATGACGAATTTAACCATACACAGATGGATGTTTAACCATAACTAATTTAACCATTTGTCTATTGATGGATATTTAAGTTTTTCCAGTTTATTTTAGTGTAATAAATAATGCTTCTGTGAAAATCCTTTTTATTACATCTTTATATATTTTGAACAAATGTTTCCATAGAATAAATCAGATCAGGGAAATGTATTTATTCATTTTAGTTAACTGTTTTTAATATTATAAAAGAAATACACATTCATGGCAAAATATTCAAAGAGTACAGAAGGATACAAGGTAAAAAGAAAAGCTCCTTGGGAGGCCAAGGCGGGTGGATTGCTTGAGACCAGGAGTTCAAGGCCAATCTGGACAACAGAGCAAGACTCTATCTCTTAAGAAAAAAAAAAAAAGGAAAGAAAGAAAGCTCTCTTCACACTCCCTACTCCCAGCCCCCAGGACCACCCACACAGGTATCTGCTCTTCATAGTTTCTTATGAGAAAACACATTTTAATAGATGATCCTAAATTGCCCTCTGAAAACTGTATGTAAGAATAATTCTTTTTCTTTTCTTTTCTTTCCTTCTTTGTTCCTTTCCTTCTTTCCTTTTGAAAAGTCTCACTTTTTTCATTTGGGTGGCCAGGGTGTTACTATTTTCAAATGGCAGGTTTTAAAGGAAGTGAAATTGTTTTCCTCATAGCACATCCAGCCACATGGTAACCCACAGTGCGAAATGCTGAGGTGGAGAAAGCCAGCCAACGGTGGGCCAGTGATGAGTAAGAGGTCTTATGGAAAAGAAGAGAGAAACGAAGACAGGTGTGGGATGGATCAGTTTCCTGGCTTTAAGGTGGTCCAGGGAGCCTTGAAATTAATGGTCTTAGCTCCAGACTTTCCCAGAGCTTTAGAATAGAGGGAGGTTAGGTCTAGCTGAAGATGGGCTGGGGAGGGAGGAACTAGGAACAGCTCATTGCAAATTGCTCTGGTGTTTTACAAGATGCTAATTTTTCCATAGAGACAGTAATGAGCATATCTTTTTTGTTTTGTTTTATCTTGTTTTGTTTGAGACAGTGTCTCACTCTATCACCCAGAGTGCAGGGACATGATAATGACTCACTGCAACCTCAACCCCCCAGGCTCAACTGATCCTCCTGCCTCAGCCTCCGGAGTGGCTGGTACTACGGGCATGTGCCACCACACCTGGCTAACTTTTAAAATTTTTTTGTAGAGACAGGGCCTCACTATGTTACCCAGACTGTTGTTGAACTCCTGGCCTCAGGCGACCCTCCTTCTTTGGCCTCCCAAAGTGTTGGGATTATAGGCATGAGCCATTGCTACTAGCATTTGCTAGTAGGTTTATGTAATTTTAAAAAATTCTCTTAATTAACTTAATGATTCAGAGACTATTCTTATGTCGCTTTTGAAAAATGAGGCAACTGAGAGGTTGAGACACTTGCCTCAGGTTGCACAGCTGATAAGGAATGAGGTTAGGATGCAAACCTGAGTCTGCCCTACTTGAAAGCTCCAGTTCTCCCCTACTCTGCCTTACCAGAGGAGAAAGCTGAAAACTGCTATTTTTTTAGAAACGTGGAGATGTCCTTTTCCCATGGGTAGCAGACACATAACTTCTCATCGACACATTTGCTGGGCTAGTCCAGCAGCAAAAGAGCCAATGTTGTTGGAGCAAAGAGGAGTGGCTATTCTGAGGAACCAGGGAGTGTGTTCCACCTTTGCAATCCAGCATAAGCATTGCTCAGTCAAATGGGACAGAAACAAAGCTCTGCGAGTCCATGGCTTGGTGAAATGGGTCACACAATTGATTTTCCAGCACTGAGTTCAGGGAATGATAGTCTTCTGTGGAAAGTCCCAGCAAGTGCTAAGCCAGGAAGCATAGTAGTTAGGTTATCAGGCTCTGGAGTCATAGAGTGGAGCTTGTACGCTGCTCTTCTACGTATTAAGAGGGTTGGCCTCTGTGAACTTCAATTTTCTCATCTATAAAATGGGGAGATAATATGTTGTAGGATCGTGATGAAACAGGATGGAATGTTGAATGCCTGGAATATAGAAAATGTTCAAAAATAGTATCATTTTCATGTTTTTTCCTGCTTCTCTCTTTGAAACTTATAATCCAAGCTCTATTTCATAAAAATATTAACATAAAAAGCCGCCCTGCCCCCTCATCTATCTATCAAGCAATGCACATTTATGGGAAACCTGATGCTGACCCATTTGTAAACAACCTGTTTCTGGGTTGGGGTTTTGTACATAGCAGAGCAGCTCCTTCTCTGTGAGATCTATTGAAAGTCAGCCCTTAATACAAGGGTTTGTTAAAAAAGAGAAAAAGAAAAAGAAGGAAAGAAAGAGAGAAAGGAAAGAAGAAAGGAAAGGGGAAAAGAGAGAGAGAAATAGTAACATAAAAAGAAAAAAGATATAAAAGCTGATTGCACAAGCTTACCCTTGTGAAGATTTGTAAGCATCAGCATCTTGAATTGTGTCTGACACGTGTCAGATGCTTGGGATGAAACATCAGACTATGAGGATGGCATATCTTTGAACGTGGCCAAGAAAAGAGACAAGGGTAAGCAAGGTCCTGTGACTTTCGCCCCAAGTAATGCAGACAGAATAACAAGTAAGAATGAGAGCAGGTTGTACTTGGCCTCTCCCTTTCTCTGGTGGCTTTTGTGTGGTTTCCTTGGAAAGTTTTACCCTGGCATTTTTCAGAAATAGCACAGTTGTTTGGGATGATTATAGGCAATCACCCTTTCCCAGAGACTGAACTGTGTCGGGCTCATTGACCAGCCACCCCCCGGGGACCAACTAGGGAGGACATAGCTGGTCCTGCTGTTTACCAAGTATTGGATCTTGTGAGATGCCAGAAGAACCAACCTCAGGGTCTTTGGAAAGACTGACCAACCAGTCAGGATGGATTGTGGTGGTGGATCCCAAGCACTCATTTGGGAATGAGAGTGACGTTGACGGTGGAACATGAAATCCATCCCAACAGAAGAGCAAGCCTGAGAGCAAGCTCATCTGACAGCCTGTTAAGGCACAGGCACAAAGGAGGCCATGTGAGTTGGTAGGAGAACTCCTCCTTGGAAATCTTGGAGTCTCGCTGTCCACTAAGGTAACCACTAGCACCTGAAGTCTACTGGCATAGGGGTCTACTGAGCACCTGAAGTATGGCAAGTGCAAATTGAGATATGCACAAAATATACAATTTCAAAGACTTAAGTACAAAAAAAACTCATTAATTTTTGTGTGGATAACAATTTTTTTAATATACTACAACCAAGTAAGATTTTATTTTCACAAATGCAATGTTGGCTCACTATCCTAAAGTCAATTAAGATAATATACAATATTACTTGAATAAATGTCAAAAAAGAACATTTCAATAAACAAAGAAAAATATTTGACAAATCCAACACTCTTTGTGATAAAACCCCCAGTACACTAATAGAAAAAAAATTTTGAGTCTTGCAAAAAGTCATCTATGAAAACCTACAACTAACATTATACTTAATGGTGAAAGACTGAGTGCTTTATCTGTAAGTTTGGGAACAAGACATAAATTTCCACTTTTTTTTTTTTTTTTTTATGGAGTCTTGCTCTGTCACCCAGGCTGGAGTACAGTGGCATGATCTTGGCTCACTGCAACCTCCACCTCCTGGGTTCAAGGGATTCTCCTGCCTCAGCCTCCCGAGCAGCTGGGATTACAGATGCGTACCACCATGCCTGGCTAATTTTTGTATTTTCTTAGAGACAAAATTTTACCATGTTGGCTAGGCTGGTCTCAAACTCCTGACCTCAAGTAATCCACCTGCCTCAACCTCCCAAAGTGCTGGGATTACAGGCATGAGCCACTGTGCCTGGCCAATTTCCACTTTTAACACTCTATTCGACACTGTTCTGCAAGTACTAGCCAGATAAATTACACTATAAAGTGAAATGAAATTCTCCAGATTGAGAAAAAAAAGTAGAACTCTTTTTCATTGCACACCACATAATTTTCCACAAAAAAAAAAAAAAAAAAATTGTAAGGAACTTCCTAAAAACCCACTAGGACTATTAAACAAATTCATCCATGTCAAAAGATACAAGATCAACATACAAATTAATTTTTTTAACTTTTATTTTAGGTTCAGAGGTACATGTGCAGGTTTTCATATAGGTAAATTGCATGTTGCAGGGGTTTGGTGTACAGATTATTTCATCACCCAGGTAATAAGCATAGTACCCAGTAGGTAGATTTTCAATTCCCACCCTCCACCCTCGAGTAGGTGCCGGTATCTGTGGTGCCCTTCTTTATACCCATATGTGCTCACTTTTTAGCCCCCACTTACGAGAACATGCAGCATTTGGTTTTTAGTTCCTGTGTTAGTTCACTTGGGCTAATGGCCTCCAACTCTACCCATGTCGCTGCAAAGGACACAATCTCATACTTTTCTATGGCTGCATAATTCTCCATGGTGTATGTTTACCACATTTTCTTTTCTTTTCTTTTCTTTTTGAGACAGAGTCTTACTCTGTCACCCAGGCTGGAATGCAGTGGCACGATCTCAGCTCACTGAAACCTCTGCCTCCCGAGTTCAAGCAATTCTTGTGCCTCAGCCACCCAAGTGCCTGAGATTACAGGTGTGCACCATCATGCCCAGCTAATTTTTATATTTTTAGTAGAGATGGGGTTTCACCATGTTGCCCAGGCTAGTCTCGAACTCCTGGCCTCAAGTGATCTGCTGCCTTGGACTCCCAAAATGCTGGGATTACAGATGTGAGCCACCACGCCTGGCCTCACATTTTCTTTATTCATTCTTTTGTTAATGGGCATTTAGGTTAATTCTATATCTTTGCTATTGTGATTAGTGCTGTGATGAACATATGTGTATATGCGTCTTTATGGTAGAATAGTGTATATTCCTCTGGGTATATACCCAAGAATGGGATTGCTGGGTCAAATGGTAATTCTGTTTTAAGTTCTGTCAGAAATCACCTAACAATTTGAAATGATAATATTTTAGATATTGGGTTAAACAAAATTTATTGTTAAAATTATTACTTGTTATGTTTTGCATTTTTGAATGTGCCTACTGGAAAAACTTTTAAGTTACATATATGGCTCATGTTACATTTCTATTGGACACTATCACTTTAGAACTTCACATAGAATTTTTATCCCTGTTCACAATTCCAGTTAATATTTGCCTCCACTGTCTGCCCTCATCACAATGCTGCTAGGCTGTTAACAAGCCAGACTTACCCAGTATTTTTCTACCCCAGGATTTTGCCCTGGCTGCTTGCTCTACCTGGGATGCTCACTCCCCTAGACCTTCTCCCAGATGGCTCCTGTTCGACTTTTTGGTCTCTTCTTAGATGCCCTTTCTCTCTCCAGAGAGGTCTGCCTTGGCCACAGTTTGGTCACATCAACTGTTCTATTCTCTTTCCAGCACTTCTTTGTTTTGTCTGCCTTCCCAAGTATACTACGGGCTCTGTGAGAGTCTATCATGTTCATCAGTTCATTTCCTGAACTCAGAATAGCACCTCACTCATAGCTGGCCCTCCATAAATATTTCCTGAATGGCTAAATGTACTAGCCTTAAATCTGTTTAAGATTGTTTAAACTGTGTTCCAACCTGACACCCTTTGTTTTGAGCTAATTAAGCTCCACTGAGGGCCAGCCACTGCTGGGCACTGGGTATATGGGAAGATGCCCTGGTCTCTGACCTTAGGGAGCTCAGGACCTAGTAGGTTCCAAAGACAAAAATGTCAGCAAATGGAGTTGTCATATCACATGCCATGAGCCTGTTGTTTTTATTTCACTATGCATGCCCTAAAGAAAGAACCCAACAGAGGTCAAAACACAGCAACCTCAAGCTCGTGCACCCTGTTTACCAGTAGCTGCAGACAGTTCTTGAAAAGGCAGCTCCGCTGTGCTCTACTATTTGTGAAAAAACAGGTTAACCATTCCAAAGAACTGTGATTATGGGCAGGACCAGAGCTTGCATTTCTAACAGTAAATGAGAAGATAGTTTGAGCCCAAAGGGCACGTTTGCAGAGGCTTTTGCGGGAAGACAAACCTCCTAATTTAGCATTAGACTACAAAAGCAAGTTCTAGACTGATATGTAGAGCAAGACACTCATTTTCCTTTATATATACCCTATAAAAGTGCAGGGAAAAGACAAATATACTCCAAATGATTAACTTTGGCTACCTCAGGGTTATGGGGAAGGGTGGGATAATAACACACTATAAATATTTTCTTCACATGCCTCTGTAGTATTTTGTTTTGTTTGTTTGCTTGTTTGAAACGGTGTCCTGCTCTGTCACCCAGGCTGGGGTCGACGGCACCATCACTATCACAGCTCACTGCAGCCTGAAACATATGGGCCCAAGTGATTCTCCCACTTCACCCTCCCAAGTAGCTGGGACTACAGGTGCACACCATGAGGCTTGGCTAATTTATGTAATTTTTTGCATTGTCTCACTATGTTGCCCAGGCTGCTCTCGAATTCTTGGGCTCAAATGACCTCCTACCTCAGCCTCTCAAAGATCTGGGATTGGCTGGGCATGTTGGCTCATGCCTGTAATCCCAGCACTTTGGGAGGCTGAGGCGGGCAGATTGCCTGAGCTCAGGAGTTCCAAGCCACCCTGGGCAACATGGTGAAACCCCATCTCTACTAAAATACAAAAAAAATTGGGGACCAGCGCAGTGACTCACGCCTATAATCCCAGCACTTTGGGAGGTTGAGGTGGGTGGACCACAGGGTCAGGAGATGGAGACCATCCTGGCTATCACGGTGAAACCCCCTCTTTACTAAAAATACAAAAAATTAGCTGGGCGTGGTGGCACATGCCTGTAGTCCCAGCTACTCAGGAGGCTGAGGCAGGAGAATCGCTTGAACCCAGGAGGTGGAGGTTGCGGTGAGCCGAGATCACACCACTGCACTCCAGCCTGGGCGACAGAGCAAGACTCCATCTCAAAAAAACAAAAAAGAGAAAAAAAAAAGATCTGGGATTACAGGCATTAGCCACCATACTGAGCCTCTACAGTGTTTTCATTTGTCACAAAAAACATAAATAGATTTTGTACTTTCAATAATGGATAAAGTTGTTTTTACTTAAAAAACTAAAAACCAGACACCACAAAGCTTTCCTGTATTTGATAGGGTCTGCTTCTCGCATCTTGAATTTTTTTTATCTCAGTTCTGTTCCTCAGCTACTAAATCAAAGATCAGCTTCCGGGCTGAGGACCCAAAAACAGGAAGTAAAGACTGAATTCACTTTGGGAGAATTTGATGATGTAATGGGTCCCTGGATATCAACCAAGCACGCTCATATATCACAAATCTCTTGCGATAGTTAAGGCTTCCTTAACTTCTTTAATTGGGAAGATACCCTTTATTGAGGGCATCTGTTATAAGCCAGTTAATTTGTTGACATCATCCTATTTTATTCCCCAATCAACTCTCAAAAGGTAGGTATTATCCCCACTTATCAGATGTAAAAACCAGGGTTCTGGGAAGTTTAATGAATTGCCCAAAGTCACAGAGCTCTTATAGTAAGAGGCAGAGACCTACTTTAAACATAGCTTTCCCAAACGTGTGCTCATTTCACCATCATTTGCTACCTCCTTAAAAAAATAAGGTAGAATGGGGTTTGGGCCACAATCCTGAACACCATAATCCCAAATATTGAAATACAAAATGTAAAAATACCCAAAAATATAATTCTGGAAAAAATAATTTTAAAAACTTTTTTAAAAGACATTTGTTTACATTTTAAAGTGGATTTATTTGAGAAACATATGAAGACATGACGAAATGCTTCATAGGCCACCTTGTGCAATAAAATAGGCAATAATAATATACATATTTTTGCAAACATAAACACCCAAGTATACTAAGGACAGTCACATGGGTATAACAGTTATGAGCAGACAAACTATATTCCTAAAGAAATAGCTGGTATTCAAGGGGAACGCCTTCAGCTTTCGCCCATTCAGTATGATGTTGGCTGTAGTTTGTCATAGATGGCTCTTATTATTTTGACGTACGTTCCTTTAATATCTAGTTTATTGATAGTTTTTAACATGAAGCAATGTTGAATTTTATTGAAAGCCTTTTCTGCATCTATTGAGATAATCGTGATTTCTGCCTTTAGTTCTATTTACGTGATGAATTACATTTATTGATTTGCATATGTTGAACCAACCTTGCATTCCTAAAGCCTACTTGATCATGTAAAAAAGGATTAGCCTTTTTTTTTTTTTTTTTTTTGAGTCAGTATTGCTCTGTCACCTATGCTGGAGTGCAGTGTCATGATCTTGGCTCACTGCAACTTCTGTCCACCTCAGCCTCCCGAGAAGCTGGGACTACAGGTGTGCACCACCATATCCAGTTAATTTTTGTAATTTTTTGTAGAAACAGAGTTTCACCACGTTTCCCAGGCTGGTCTCGAACCCCTGGGCTCAAGTGATCCACCCTCCTCAGCCTCCCAAAGTGCTAGGATTACAGGCATGAGCCACCACGCCTGGCTGGATTAGCTTTTCGATGTGCTGCTGGATTTGGTTTGCAAGTATTTTCTTGAGAATTTTTGCTTCGATGTTCATCAATATTGGCCTGAAGTTTTCTTTTTTGTTGTATCTCTGCCAGGTTTTGGTATCAGGATGATGCTGGCCTCATAGAATAAGTTGTGGGGGAGACGCTCCTCCTCAATTTCTTGGAATGGTTTCAGTAGGAATTACATTGGCTCTTCTTTGTACATCTGGTAGAATTCGGCTGTGAATCCATCTGGTCCCAGGCTTTTTTTGGGTGGTAGGCTATTTATTACTGATTCAATTTGGGAGTTTGTTATGGATTTGTTCAGGGAATTAATTTCCTCCTGGTTCAGTCTTGGGAGGGTGTATGTTGTCCAGGAATGGATTCATTTTTCTAGGTTTTCTAATATGTGTGCATAGAGGTGTTCATAGTAGTCTCTGATTATTTGTATTTCTGTGGGGTTAGTGGTAACATCCTCTTTGTCATTTCTAGTTGTGTTTAATTGGATCTTCCTTCTTTTCTTCTTTATGAGTATAGCTAGTGGCCTATCTATCCTATTAATTTTTTCAAAAAACCAACCCTTGGATTCATTGATCTTTTGAATAATTTTTTGTGTCTCAATCTCCTTTGGTTCAGCTCTGATTTTGGTTATTTCTTTTCCTGTATCTTAATTACAGAGATTATGACACAAATGTATACATTTGTCAAAACTCACTGAAATGTACATTGGTAAATTTTATTATATGTAAATTATACTTTAATAAAGCTGATTTTTAAAACAAAAAAACTAATATGCAATATATTTCACCTTTAAATTTTTTTAAAAAAGAAACAGCTTATATAACCATGGTCATCTGAAATGCTATGATAGACAACCTAAGTCTTTTAATGAGATTAATCAAAAACAGCAGAAGAAAATTCTGTCCCAACTCTCAGAGACAGACTAATTTGCCTTCAGTATTTGTTCTCTTAGGGTCCCTGGCTGATTCAATGGTGTCCACCAACACTGAGGGCAGATCTCCCCCACCTCGCCCATTCTGATACACATACTAGTCTACTCTGGAAACACCCTCACAGACACACCCCAAAATAATGCTTTATCACGTATCTAGATACGTCTCTTTTTTTTTTTTTTTTTTTTTTTTTTTGAGTCTTGCTCTGTCGCCCAGGCTGGAGTGCAATGGTGCGGTCTCCACTCACTGCAAGCTCCGCCTCCCGGATTCACGCCATTCTCCTGCCTCAGCCTCCAGAGTAGCTGGGATTATAGGCGCCCGCCACCACACCTGGCTAATTTTTGTATTTTTAGTAGAGGTGGGGTTTCACCATGTTGGGCAGGCTGTCTCGAACTCCTGATCTCAGGTGATCTTCCCGTGTCGGCCTCCCAAAGGGCTAGGATTACAGGCGTGAGCCACCATGTCCAGCCTTAGATACTCCTTAATCCAGTCAATTTGACACCTAAAATTAAGTCTACAAGTCCATCCCTTGTCTATTTGGCACCCATACATATCTTAAACCACACGTAATTTCCAAATGAAGACAATAACAAAGTAATAGTTCTGCCTAACAAGATGCAACTAACATAATGAGGCTATCCTGTGTACAACAGAAAATTCACTAATCGTGATTTTTGAGATTTTAGATGTTAAGGACTTAGACTTCAGGGATTTTTATCATTCAGGATTTCAGCATTCAGGACTATGACATTCAGAATCGTGTCTTTTGGGATTGATTGGTAGTGGGTATAATGACGTATTTTGCAACTGGTTCCATAGCTGAATTCCATAGCTGAATTCTCAATGGCAGCTCAATTCTAGGTACCTGTGAGAGGCTTCTTCCATCCAGAAGCACTTTCCTAACTATCTTTCCTTGGAGCCTGATAGACCACCAATGGAATTTGTTCCATTGGCTAAAGCATCAAATCCCCTGAGATCCATTCTCCAAGCACAAGGATCCTTAGAAATAGGTAACATGTAACATCATTATAAATCACAAATACCATCATGTGAATTAGTTATCAGGGAAATACAGCTAGCAAGTTTCCAAGGAAATGAGACACAGGCCCAGTAGTATTTGATGGGGAGGTTGGGGAGGACATGGAGAAGGGATAGTTATAGATCAGAGTCAGGAATGTCCTTTGGGAGTGTCATTGTGGGACTGCGGATAATTAAAGGACATGGAGAAGCCAGAGGCAGAAAAAAAAAGGTGCCACTAAGGGTATGCACCACAATCCAGGTCGGGTCCGAGCTCAATTACTATGCTAATATGGTCATGGATAGACACAGAGAAGAGAAAATTGTCATATGTGTGTCCATGGATTTCTCTACGCATCTCAGCTACAAGTTCTGCCAATGCTGCCATTTGTCACAAGGGCAGTGGGGTACATGACCCCGTGTCTCACTGAGTGGAAACCTGTCACCAAGAAGAAGACTCTAAAGGCATGTGTCCCCAGGAGTCTGCTCAGAGTGTTTATCCCACACTTAGGGCCAGGAGGCAGTTTTGGATATTTGGTTTGGAGGGTTGGAATAGGTTTAAAAAGCCAATGGATCTTATCTAGCAGTAGATTTCTGGAGCAATCTGGACAAAAATATTGTCTTCTTTCTTACATGAATGGGATGTTCTTCTCTCCCCACAGAAGAAGCGCACGCTGAAGGGGTCCATTGAGCTCTCCCGAATCAAATGTGTTGAGATTGTGAAAAGTGACATCAGCATCCCATGCCACTATAAATACCCGTTTCAGGTAAGTCCATCAGGTGGGTAGTTCCCCATTCCCTGGACTGTGGTTAAAATCTTCAGTCACAGCCGGGTGCAGTGGTTCAAGCCTGTAATCCTAGCACTTTGGGAGGTTGAGGCAGGCAGATCACGAGGTCAGGAGTTCAAGACCAGCCTGGCCAACATGAAACCCCATCTCTACTAAAAATACAAAAAATTAGCTGGGCGTACTGGCGGGCGCCTGTTATCCCAGCTACTCGGGAGGCTGAGACAGGAGAATTGTTTGAACCCAGGAGGCAGAGTTTTCAGTGAGCCAAGATCGTGCCATTCACTCCAGCCCAGGCAACAGAGTGAGACTCCGTCAAAAAAAAAAAAAAAAAATCCTCAGTCACTGTGAGAGAGGGTGGACACGGATGACTCTCTGCCTCTCTGCTCCAAGGTTAGGACTTAGACAAATCCCATTAGGAAACGTATGTGTTCCTTCCATCAGTGACATTTATTTGTTAATTCTTTCACTTATTGAACAAAAATTAAGCACAAAATCTTGAAAAGGTGGTTATTCCTTATACCCCTTTCCCTCATGTCTTCTCTTCCTCAAGGAAAGTCCTAATTAGTGAAGGAAGAAATAAAGCTGCTATCAGCGGCCTGAAACCTAATGTGCTTTAAGTGCAGTTTACTCATGATTTGAGGCAACATATTGCAATTGCTGGGTATGAATTGCTTGGAGATTCTGAGGCAAAAAGATTCAGATTTTATAATCTGAGGACTATCTGGAATCGCACTGTCTAGTACAGTAGCCACTAGCCACACATGGATGTTCACATTTAAATGTATTAAACGATATTAAAAATTCAGCTTCTTAGTCACATTGGGCACATTTCACATGTTCAATAGCAGGACATGGCTGGCAGCTACTGTACTGAAACAGCACTGGTTATAGAATGTTCCTATCACTGCAGAAATTTTTTTTTTTTTTTTGAGACAGAGTCTCACTCTGTCACCCAGGCTGGAGTGCAGTGGCGCAATCCCGGCTCACTGCAACCTCCACCTCCCTGGTTCAAGTGATTCTCCTGCCTCAGCCTACTGAATAGCTGGGACTACGGGCGTGTGCCAACACTCCCGGCTAATTTTTGTATTTTTAGTAGAGATGGGGTTTCACCATGTTGGTCAGACTAGTCTCAAACTCCTGACCTCGTGATCGACCCGCCTCGGCCTCCCAAAGTTCTACTGAACAGAGCTGGTGGAGGGTATCTTTAAAGTCCTTGTATATGAATCTTGGCACTTCTGGCTTCAAAGGCATGGATATCTCCTTGCACATCCCAGGGTACCATTCCTGCTTGCCAACCTGAGGGATGAACATATTTTTAACATGGCATAGAAAAGAACTTTTTTTCTACTAGAAAAGTGACCCTCATGAGTTGGAATTTTGAGGACTGAAAATAAAAGGAATAGCATGTATTTTTCAGTTGTTCAAAATCTCAATGATAATGAGTGCCTAAAAGAGAGGTGAAATATAAAGAAGACTGCAGTTTAGTTAACAGTATTGTACCAATGACAATCTCTTGGTTTTTTTTTTTTTTAATTTTTTTTTATTATACTTTAAGTTTTAGGGTACATGTGCACATTGTGCAGGTTAGTTACATATGTATACATGTGCCGTGCTGGTGCGCTGCACCCACTAACTCGTCATCTAGCATTGGGTATATCTCCCAATGCTATCCCTCCCCCCTCCCCCCACCCCACCACAGTCCCCAGAGTGTGATATTCCCCTTCCTGTGTCCATGTGATCTCATTGTTCAATTCCCACCTATGAGTGAGTTTTGAAAGATGTGTTGTGGTTACGTAAGATGTCATCAGTGGAGAAAAGTAGGTGAAAAGTACACAGGAACTCTGTACTATTTCTGGAACTTCTTGTGAGTCTTAAACTATTTCAAAATAAGAAGTTTTCAAAACTCTCATTGCACATTTGTCATATAATATCTTTCTCTTCCATGTGCCAGAAATATTTTTTTAATCACTAAAAACTTAAGATGAGAAATAAATGTGGTTTCTAGTCAAGAGGAGAACTTTCTCCTGCTGTCTTAGTTTAGTGATTGCTCTCTTGGGGCATGGAATCTGAGACGAGCAGCTGAAACTGCTTACCCTGTGTTTTTGTAGCACCCAAACACCTGGATAAAAAGGATACTGGCCCCCTAATTACCCAAATGTTTGCCTATATGACGATAAACACCCGAGACCCCACTCTCGGCTCAGTAGGTCTGCTGTCAGTCAACTATCTCCATGCACGCTGCTCACCTTGAACTCTGTGTGTGTGTCTCCAGGTGGTGCATGACAACTACCTCCTATATGTGTTTGCTCCAGATCGTGAGAGCCGGCAGCGCTGGGTGCTGGCCCTTAAAGAAGGTAATTAAACTCCTTTGCCATTGAATCACTGACACTCTTGATCCTATAGTAGGGTTGGGTTCCACAATAGAATAGAGTGTGGTGTGAGAGCAGCTGATGGCTGATTTCTCTTTTGGGGTTGGTGGAAGTTCCCAAGTTTTCATCCTGGGCCCAGGAAGCAATAACTGGTATCATTCAGGGATTGACCAAATCCAGCCTGCTGTCTGTTCTTGTCAGGCTCTGAGCAATATTTGTATATAACTCATTTCAAATAGTTTAATAAGTACCTACATAAGATGCTTGATTTTGTCTCATGGTCAGTAAAACCTAAAATATTTACTGTCTGGCCTTTTAAGAACAAATTTGCCAACTCCTCGTATAGTATGAAGAAGCAGAGCATAGGCCCTCATGTGAGATGACCTGGGTTTAAATCCCAGTCTGTCACTTGCTATGTACACTTGGGCGAGTTCCTTAATTGCCTGTGCTTCAGTTTCCCATCTGTTTAAAAGGAAGAAAAGGAAGGGATAACAGCACCTGCCTTTGGAGCTGATGTGAGCAAAGTCCTAGAAACTAGGTTGGCCCATAGACAGCATGCAATAAATATCAGCTAGCTTTCAAGCTTTTCAGACCATTGGTAAGGGTATTTCTTAAGCCTTACCTTCCTGATGGCACAGTTAGAGGCAGCAGTGTTTAAGCACATGGGATGTGGAGCCAGGCATGAAGGTGAAAATCCCAGCTCTGCCAATGATTAGCATGTGACCCTGGGTAAGTTCCTTGACCTTCGTGTGTCTCTATAAATTTTGACTAAAAACAGTCATGGAGCTGTTGTGAGAATTGAATGATTGAGGACTTAGAAAAATACCCATCCCAAAGAAAGCCCTGGATCAATGTTACCATTATTGTTCTTTAGCCTGAAGCACTGGATGTGTCAGAAGATCTGGGTTCAAATACTAATCTGCCTCTACGAAGCTGTGAGGACCAAGGATAAGCAAACTATTTGTTATCTCTGGAGCTGCAATTCCTCTATCTGAAAAAAATGAGAATAGAAATACAAGTTGTATCTTATCCCGAGGTTGTTGTGAGCCTTAAATCGGTTATGAGCAGACAAGTGCTGGGTGAATGGGGAAGTGCTCTCCGTTCTTACAGTCTTGGGACATACAGCAAACACAAAAGTAAGAAGTAATCAAAATGGGCTGGGCGCAGTGGCTGACACTTGTAATCCCAGCACTTTGGGCAGCCAAGGTGGGAGGATCACTTGAGCTCAGGAGTTCAAGGCTACAGTGAGCCATGCTCATGCCACTGCACTTCAGCCTGAGCAACATAGTGAGATCTCATCTCTACTAAAAATAAAAACATTAGGCAGGCATGGTGGCACATGCCTGTGCTCCCAGCTACCCGGGAGGCTGAGGTGGGAGAATCACCTGAGCCTGGGAGGTCAAGGCTGCAGTGAGCCAAGTGAGCCGAGCCTGGGTCACAGAGCAAGACCCTGTTCTTACCCCACCAAAAAAAAAAGAAGAAAAAAAAGGAATCAAAAGGGCCCCAGCTATGGTCATTGGCCATTTGCCCTCTGTGAAGGGATTTTATACACAGGGTGTTAAAACTGGAAGGAATATTAGAGATTAGATATCTAGTTCTGTGGTTGGTTCATTTATTTATTTATTCATTGAGACAGTGTATTAGTCCATTTTCACACTGCTATAAAGATATGCCCGAGAGTGGGTAATGTATAATGAAAAGAGGTTTAATTGACTCACAGTTCTGTATGGCTGGGAGGCCTCAGGAAACTTACAATCATGGTGGAAGGTGAAGGGGAGGCAATCACCTTATTCACAAGGTGGCAGGACAGAGAATGACAGAAGGAGGAACTTGCCAAATACTTATAAAACCATCAGGTCTCATGAGAACTCACGTATTATCACAAGAACAGCATGGGGGAAAATATCCCCGTGATCCAATTACCACCACCTGGTCTCTCCCTCAACACGCAGGAATCATGGAGATTACAATTCAAGATGAGATTTGGGTGGGGACACAGAGCCAAACGATATCAGACAGGGTCTCACTCTGTTACCCAGGCTGGAGTGCAGTAGCACAAGCATGGCTCACTGCAGCCTCGACCTATTGGGCTCAAGTGATCCTCCCACTTCAGCCTCCTGAGTAGCTGGGACTACAGGTGCATGACACCATGCCCAGCTAACTTTTTTCTTTTTTTTTGGTAGAAAAGGGGTCTCGCTATGTTGCCTAGGCTAATCTAGAACTCCTGGACTCAAGTGATCCTCTTGCCTCGGCCTACGAAAGTACTGGGATTACAAGCATGAGCCACTACACCCAACTCTGTTCTGTGCCTTATGTATGTATTTGTTTCAGTAGCAGACCCCCCTTTTTTTTCCAACCAAAATCTTACTTCAAAGCCACAAACCTAGAAGGGAGAAAACCAAAGTGGCTGTGGTTAAAGGTAGGAGAGGTGGGGGGTGGTAATTCCACCTTCTCAACCTTCTCATTACCCTTAAGGCACCTTTGTAGAGCCCAGTGTTTAACAATCTCATTGCATAGTGGGGGAAACTGAGGCTCAGATAAGGGTTTGCCCAACTTAAGAACACATAACTAATGCAAGGCAGAGCCAGACGCAAGCCTAGATGTGCTGATGCCTAAATGTAACATGAACTACCCCAGTAAATAGCACAGTGCATTTATGCGCTCAGATCAACCCATGCTTCTGAGTGGTCTGGGCAATACTCATTCAGGCTCACTCAGCCAGGTCTAATCTCGAGGTGTTATAAAATTGGTAGCCCTTGATAGACTGACCTGGAAATAACTCTTCTGTTGGTGCCAACCTGTTTCAGAAACGAGGAATAATAACAGTTTGGTGCCTAAATATCATCCTAATTTCTGGATGGATGGGAAGTGGAGGTGCTGTTCTCAGCTGGAGAAGCTTGCAACAGGCTGTGCCCAATATGATCCAACCAAGAATGGTAAGAGACTGGGAATTCCCTCTAGTTTTTGTGAAATGACCATAAAAAAGTAAAAGCTTTTGGCCTTTAATCATTGAGGGTGTCAGGAACAGAATGCAAAATTCTACATTTTCAGAATTTTCCAAGAGGAATCATCTGTCTTTCCTACCAGCCTGTTGGTGCTTCCATCTCAAAGCTGATGTCTACAGCTCCTAACCACTTGAAGTGTGCTCTTTGGACCAGCAGCATCAACATCTCCTAGGAGTTAGTTAGAAATGCAAATGATCTGGCCCCACTCATGACCTACTAGATCAGAATTTTCATTTTAACAAGATCCCAGGAGACTTATGTGCACAGTACAGTTTGAGGAGCCCTGCTATAACCTGCATTTGAATGGCATGGTCTATTTAAATCTTAATTAAAGAGGCAGCCTTAAGAGATATAAAATATTTATGTCTTACAGTGACATCATGTCACACATAAATTTAATTACACAAATTCAACTCTATACCCTTAAAGGTGAGAGGAATTTTTTTTCTTTTACATTTTACTCTGTGATTTCTCCTTGCCTCCTCTTCAAACTTGCCCTTGACCTCCACAGTCTCAGAGAGGAGAAGGCCGCAGTCTAAATGCAAAGTGAAAACAAAAAAAGCTGTTTTTTTGCCTTTGACAGTAAAGGCTCAGGTCCAGGGGATTGGGCTGCAACTGGATTTTATTGATGACTTTGGAACCTTAACCTCCAGTCGAGTACAACTCCACTCGAATGCATTTCACATTTATTATGCTCTTGTTCCTCTCAACCATCTGGGGTACATGGCGTGATGTTAAGGGAATGGGCTGCCTTGAGCAATTCAGTATGCTCCGGGTCACACCGCTGGAAGTGCTCTGCAAATCCATTGTCGAATAGGAATAATGGCCCATGTGGATTGTTTTCCTTCCATTTTCCTCTCTTCTCAACCTCTTTTGCCATAGTTTCCCTTTCTCATTTATTCTTTTGTGCGCTAAAACTTAATACTGAAAATTGGCAACCCAAGGCGGATGTAACACATGGCTAGGTTTTCTGTGGCTTCCTGATTCATAGGCCCTCTCATTGCCACTTTAAAAACCACCACTTTTCACCCTGCACCTTGGGGAAAAAAGCTCTTAGACATAATCGATCCCTGGGCCCAGAAGAACAATACTTAACAAGTTTTAGAAATTGGTAACTATTCAAGTGATCCTACACATTAGTCCTGTTTACCATATTCATGCGGGCCAATATTTAATAAAAATGAAATGGAAAGTTTTCTCTGGATAGGATCCACCATAATAACAGAACGGCATGGGCTTACCTCTGTGAGTGAAAGCCCTTTCCAAAGTCAGTGATCTGGTCTCCAAATTTCTGCCAATGCCTTGCTGTGGGCCCTCAGATGAGTCACGTGGCCATCAAGGGCCCCAATGTCCTCATCTCAAAAATGGCAGGGAGTTCTGAGGGGCTTAGGATGAAATAATACCTAAGCCCTTTTCCAATTCTGAAATTCTTTGACTTGGTATTTCCATTTTGTAATTTTCACCATGCATGCTGCAGCTATTCCTCTTCGGGGCGCAAGTATTTCCCTCCTCCAAGTGATACACATGTGACTGAGGTGCTAGGGACATCTGAATGACTCACCAGAATGCCAGTGGGGGAGGACTGGTCATGCTGAGCTGTTCCCCATGTGAAACCAGGGCCTGAGCACTCTTGGGGTCCTGCTGTGGTTGTCATGCAGTCACTGTGCTAATGGTTTTGCTTTTGCATTGCAACCCATTGCCATATCCTCCTCTGAGCATCTCCTCACTCTACCCTCTTCTGATTTGGTTAAATAACTTCATGGATCTGAGTTTTGCACAGTTGAGAGCAGAGTTTTCAAGAAGCACACTGCACTGTGAACGCAGCTTATGGTCATCACCCTGGATGAAGGCTCACAGGATTCCTGGTACCGAGCACATTGGCAGTGCGGGTCTATGAGCACTGGGCTTTGGATAATCCCTCTGAGCCTCTAAGAGCATTTTCTCACCTGCAATATGGGGATAATGATAATAGATAGCTATGTGTAAGGCTGGGAGATTCAATGGTGTTGTGGAAAGCAGTACAGCTGCCAACATTTACAGAGTTCTTGATAAATGGTAATTGTGTCTACTTGTCTTCCTTATTGGTGGATGAAAGAATCTGAGGCTGAGATATAGCCTCAGAACTTGTATGGGTCTGGGAAGCAGCAGAAGTGGATGAGTAAAAACAGACCCAGCCACACCCAACCCATAGTAACACCCATTTCTGCAACCAGAACTGGCCCTGATCTCCCCACTGTGGGGAGGGAAAGGAAGGAAGGGAAAAGCAAGGCCAGAGGACGAAGAAAGAGAGACCAGTCATAGAATGTCCAGGGCTGGAAGTGGCCAAGGCTCACAGCTAGTATTGGTGAAGCCAGAGTTAGAACACCAGTCTCCCAGCTCCAAGTTGAGTTCTAAATAGGAACCATACTTCCTATTACAGGGGTTTTCCTTCTTCTGTGGTCATTGTATACCCAGGTCACTATCCCAGCCTACTCTTTCTTGGCAAGTCTGCACGGGACTGGGCTCCAGTGTCAATGTGTGACTCTCCTCTACCACATCCCTGATGTGAGCTGTCCAACTTCAAGTCAACCTCATACAGAAATGAGGAACTCATCGTCTACCTATGCAGCCCATTCTCTTCCCATCTCTCGTTATTAAGGACGTCTTTGTATTAGCCTGAAGTCTGTGCAGTGCCTCCCGTACCACAGAGAGCCCCAGACACAGCCACACACCTTTGATTCATTGAGTCCAGGAATGGCCTTTGCAGAGCTACAAAGGAGAAATAGTGAGAGATGCATATGAAGAGATGAGAGGAAGGAGAGAGAGAAAGAGAAAGAGAGAGGAGAAGAGAAGAGAAAGGAGGAAAGAGGGAAGAGAGAGGAGAGCTAAACAGACGGAGACATGGAAACAGAGATAAGCAGAAAGACAAAGACAGAGAGATGCTGGGGTTGGTATAGTTTGAAAGAGGCAGAAAGAACACATATTCAGATGCCTTAAGGCAACTAAAAGTGGATCCCAGCCCACTCAAAAAGCAGCACAATGACCTCCCACCTCAGCCACCCCCTCCTCAAGCCCACAACCATATCAGGAAGCTAGTGAGTCACTGTCCCCCTGAGTCACCAATTCCCACTCCTGAGCTTAGCAGGTGGCAGAGACATTCCCGGAAGTCTCTATGCCTACAGGGAAGGGTGCAAGTCTAACCCCACTGGCAGGCTTTTCCTGGGAATACAGAAAGAGAGGGCCCCCGAATATGGACTTCTGGAAGCTTCTGGTGTGTACTAGAAAAGGGAATCAGAAACCAGCAGGCCCAAGGAGATAAAAGACAGCTTCTGACAAGGCCAAGTCAGGTTTCACTGTGTCTTATTGCTCCTTCTGGCCCCCTTTCTTCTGTTGTTTTCCCTGGGCCCTTTTTCTCAGAAAAACCCCCTGGCTGCTCACTTCCGGTTGGGTCCATTAGTTTTCATGCTCATTTTTTCTTTTCCTGTTTTTCTCTTTTCAGCTTCAAAGAAGCCTCTTCCTCCTACTCCTGAAGACAACAGGGTGAGTGAGAGCGCTAGCTCCGGGTGCAGGTGGGCCCACAGGCTACCTGATTGGCATGTTCCTATTTGCATGTCCCCCTCTCCCCATAGTTTTCAAACCCTGGCTGCATGCAGCAGGCTGTCATGATTCAGCAGAACTCAACACATTGGGTATTTTTGGGCTTGAACTCTCTTGGGGGGTCTGTCCACTTAAAGGACCATTCAGCTGCTAAATCTCCATCTCACTTTATTTATTCAACAAATACTGATATCAAATTGGGTGGCCATTCACCTGACCACTTTGGAGTATAGTAGCAGCTCACTCTACATAAAAGTGTGTCTGGCATGGTGGCTCACGTCTGTAATCCCAGCACTTTGGGAGGCCAAAGTGGGAGGATCGCTTGAGCCCAGGAGTTCGAGACCAGCCTGGACAACAAAGTGAGACCCCCATCTCTAGAAAAAATTTTTAAAAATTAGCTGGTGTGGTGGTGCACACCTGTAGTCACAGCTACTTAGCAAGCTGAGGTGGGAGGATCACTTACTCCCAGGAGGTCGAGACTGCAGTGAGCCATGACTGTGTGCCACTGCACTTCAACCCGGGTGACAGAGCAAGACCCCGTCTCCAGAAAAAAAAAAAAAAAAACAAGGTGCACATCTACTCTTCGCAAGCATTTTGGAGACATACATTTGTTGATATTTTATATATTTCAAAGCACTTCCACCCCTTTATTATCTATTTTAAAACTTACTATCCGTTCTATCCACTTCAGAGGGTTTTAGTTTTATTCTCATTGTAAAGCTTGGGAAATCAAATCCCAAGACAGGTCTTGAGGCTTTTCCAAGGCCATTCAGCAACTTAGTAGGATGCAAGGTTTCTGGCGTGGTGGTCTTTAACTCGAGTGGTGGTTCTCAAAGTATAGTCCATGGACCAGAAGCATCTGCATCACCTGGGAGCATGTTAGAAATACAAATTCTTAGGCCCCACCCCCAGACCTGCTGTGTCCAAAACGCTGGGGGAGGGGCCCAGGAATCTGCATTTTAATAAGCCTCCTCACTGATCTATAATATACTGACTTACAAGTCTTAGATGGCATAGTACCTACTCTAGGGCAGCTTATTTTGTTAAGGAGATGAAAAAAAAAAGATGGGGGAAAGGATCATGACCTTTAGGTAGGGAATATGACCCTGACCTTATGATAATATTAACACCAATATCCACTTTTCTTTCTTTTTTTTTTTTTTTTGAGATAGAGTCTTGCTCTTGTCACCCAGGCTGGAGTGCAATGGCGTGATCTCGGCTCACTGCAACCTCCGCCTCCCAGGTTCAAGCGATTCTCCTGCCTCAGCCTCCTGAGTAGCTGGGATTACAGGCGCTCACCATCATGCCCGGCTAATTTTTGTATTTTTAATAGAGACCGACTTTTACCATGTTGGCCAGGCAGGTCTTGAACTCCTGTCCTCAGGCGATCAACCCACTTCAACCTCCCAAAGTGCTGGAATTACAGGCGTGAGCCACTGTGCCTGACCAATACCCACATTTGAGTACTCGCTCTTCATTCCAGAGCAAGTTCTTTAACAAGAGCTTTCAGATTCCATTTCCTCATGCTTCTTCCTGAAGAATGAGCTCTGCCTTTTTTCCCTTCAGCCAAAATGGTGACATTTCAAAACTGGCAGCGTCCCCATAAAGGAAGCTCTAAATCCTCAAAGCCCCAGCCTGGTGTTTAGATCTGTCATCAGCCTACTCCCTCACAACATGAGAGAAATGTACTGAAACTGTAGCAGAGAATGAGCTCTCTCTCCTTTTCTTTCACTGACCTTCTGCAGACTATTTCACCATCCCCTTTGAAGGCCTGGTTCGGAACCCTACTGCCCTCCCTTGCAGACGGTTCCCTCAACAGTCCCGCCTAAACCCACACCTCCCATCTTAAGTGAGGCTGCTCTTGTGTCTTTATTTTTGGTATCAATGAAGGTGAAAGCCAGAAAACACTGCTGGTCCTTCTCTCCCTACACTCTGCCATTTGGCTTTTCAGCCTTCTTGGAGGAGCATCGTGGATACTGTTTTGAGTGTTCTGACCACAAAGGTTTTGGAATCATTGTTCTAGTTTCAACCGCATGTCTAAATCCAATGCAACGGTTCTCTTGTCTGAGCCACTTGAAATCATTTCTCTCCTCACCTTCTTGTTCTGCTGCCTGAGTGGTAATGACATCTCGGGTTGTCATACAGAGAAACTGTTTTTAATCCAGTCTGAGCCAACAGGTCTCATGCTCTATGTGAGAAACACTGTGAGCAGGGCCAGTCCTCCGGGGACTGGCCAGTCCTCTGGGGGTTGGGGGATGGCTATTTTGGTTCAAGATGTAAAATATCCATGGTCAGAGTGAAGGACAATCCTAGGCCTCTTTTGCCTATGGATACAAACAAGGTCGTATATCACATTGAAGTACAAATTCCGATTCCTCTTGGCCCCCTGCATCCATGGGAACTCAAGTCTTCCTCTTACAGTCCCTCCCAGTCAACCCAGGGCTTGCTGAGGGGCCACTAGAATGTGTCTGCATGTGTCCTTTCTTGCTGGCTGCCTACTAAGGCACCCTATCCCTGCCACTGCTACCTGGGCTCTCTGTGAGGGCCCCTCAGCCCCGTGGAGCTCTTCCCACCTGGGGCCAGCAGAGGTCCTGGGGGGTCAGGTTGTGCTGAGGCCTGCAGCAGAGTGGTCAGGAGGCAGGATCCTCATTCCTTTCATGCCTCACCACATCATGGAGGCTCCCAAACAACCCTTCCTGAGCCCACAGACTCAGTTTCTCCAAATGCCATCCCTTGATTTTCTCACTCAAATCTAATGGTTCCCAACCTTATCAAACTCAATCCTGCCTTTTAATGACAGATATTTTGTAAGGTTCCTTTTGTTATCCTGAAAAGAAATTTATAACTAATATAACATATATATACACAATTTTTTAAAATTAAAGTACTTAATTAAAATTTTTTGTTGCTTTGAGACAGGGTGTCACTCTGTTGCCCAGGCTGGAATGCAGTGGTGCAATCATAGCTCACTGCACCATCTGTCTCTTGGGCTCAAGCCATCCTCCCTCCTCAGCCTCCGCAGTTGCTGGGACTACAGGCACTTGCCACCACACCTGGCTAACTTTTGTATTAAACATACTTTTTAAAAAGAATCAACAAATGTTCTAACTGTAATATTTAAAAAGGAAAGAAAAATAATATATATAACAAAATATGTGTTTCTATATAAATATTGGGACATGACTGCACTGGAAGACAGAATGAAATAGTCGAATTCTTGCACTGGCAGGTAGGATCCATTGGATTTGGCATCTCGAATGCAACTGATACAAAATGTGGTATTGGGACTCAACTACAGCATTACCACCAGTGATATAATTTTCCAAAATGATGAACAACTCTTAGTAAACTTCTGAACCAAAGCATAGTCTTCCCTCAAAGTACAAGGTAGTTGCATTCTTGGGAAATCCAGTACTTTGGATAGGGTACAGCTAGGATCTAGGCTCAGGATGTTCTTATATAATTACTGTATAAGCTGGTTTCTCACCACATGAATGTTTACCAGGATATTCGAAAGTTGTGGGGAATGTGGGACTCTACAGAGCATTTTGCATTAAAGGCCTATAGCATACCTCAAACTGTGATGTTCAAAATAACCCCCATATTCCAAGCTTGCATGATTATTAGAAAAAAAAATACATGTCCAGTGTGCCCCTACAGAAAGGTACTATCATAATTTGAGGGCCCTGCTCTGACCTTTCTCTTCACAGCTATTAACCAATGAGTTGACCTGCAGTGGGATGAATGCCATAGCTCTGTTTCTTCTTCAAACATCCTTGAACACTATTCCTCCCTCCATAAGCTCTTAGAGCAAAAGCCTCAGGCCATCCACTCTTGTCCATAGCACCCCATTTACACATCCTCACAAGCTCCACAAATATCTAGATTTCAAATTCCAATCTGCAGCCGGGCACAGTGGCTCATTCCTGTACTCCCAGCACTTTGGGAGGCCGAGGCAGGAGGGTCACTTGAGCCCAGGAGTTTGAGACCAGTCTGGGCAACATAGTGAGACCCTGTCTCTCTTAAAAAAAAAAATCCGATCTGGGCTCAGCTGAGATGACATACTACATCAAAATGACGAGACTCTTTTTTCAGCTCCAGTATTTTTATGCCACTAAATGCTTCAATGTACTCAGAGAACTTGTGACTTCCTAACACTAAACCACATTCTAGTGAGGAACTTAATATTTCCCTACATTTACTCTCACAAAGTCTGCTAACCCATAGCAGGCGTGCCCATCCTGAACTCTGGCGACTATGCGCTTTGTGGTCTTTTCTTCATGTCCTCAATATGGACATGAAGAAAGGGACTGAGGAACAGAGACATCAGCAATAGAGCCTACAGGAGAAGGAAGGGAGACAGGTGCTAGAGTAGAGAGAGTCTTAGGGCTAATTCAAGTGGTAGATTGGCCAGGTCCATTTCTCCATCTGGGCCTCAGTTTCCTCATCCTAAATGAAAAAGTGTATTAAGTGATCTGTTAGAGGAATTCCAGCTCCAATAACCTATGATTCCGTAGATCTAGATAAACCCACAAATCATATTAGTAAAGCACAAACTGAAAGATTTCATGTTGACTGCATCTCCTTTGCCAAGGGCATGATGCATCCAGCAGAGAGGCTGCTGCATATAACATAGTGCAGATAGAGAAACCAGCAGACTTTTGTGAAAATCACGTGGCTGCTTGGAATTCACTGTGGTCAGAATTTACCTCATAGAATGAGCAATGTGATGAATTCCAAGCACTGATGTCTTTGTGTCATGTTCAGCGCTGTAACTCTAACTCATAAAGAAAGTCTACCAGAGGAAGGCAGACTGTCTCCCCAGACACCCCGATGAAAGGAGGCATTTTACCTCCTTTTTTATGTCTTTGCTTGGTTTTGTTGTCTCTCTTCCCCAGCGACCACTTTGGGAACCTGAAGAAACTGTGGTCATTGCCTTATATGACTACCAAACCAATGATCCTCAGGAACTCGCACTGCGGCGCAACGAAGAGTACTGCCTGCTGGACAGTTCTGAGATTCACTGGTGGAGAGTCCAGGACAGGAATGGGTAAGTCATCTTTGTGGCTGCTGTCCCCGTGTTTGAGGTGTGGTGCGAACAAATAAAATACCAGGATGATTTGTCCTATCTCCCACAGTGTAACCACAGCACTGAGGTGGGAGAAGAGAGCAGAGGCAGAAGGAAGAGGGAGGAAGAGGAAGTAGTTGAGGCTCATTTTTCCTCTTCTCAGAAGTGGCTCTGAGGCAGTCACTTGCTATGCTTGTTCCCTGCACCCCATCTCAGGCACTCCAGACCCAAACTCATCTAAAAAACCCCCTGGATTTTTCCACTGACATCTACAATTTGGGAGCTTGGCAATTTGTTCTGCAAAGTGCTATTGTTCCTGAGTGTTAAGTGAGGCTGAAGGTACATCCCATTAGGAAGTGCTTATTTTTGGTGAAAAGAAAATGTGTGTATAGAGATGGTACAGATTGATAGTTATGTTAGGACGCATCAGAAAGAAGACACTAAAGATTTAGTTACAATCGCAGTCATTGAACTAGCCATCCACATGACTCAGGGAGAAAATAAGGTTGTACAAATACTACTTTCCCACTATGCAACTTTTGAATGAAAAAAATACCAAGCATGAGATTCACACTGCCTTTTAAGGTTTTTTTTTCCTCTTAATATATCCGATGTATTAACCCATGCTCTGGAATATTTTCCAGAATCTGAGTTCAATAGTTGCATCAATCCAGCCATAAATGTACTCTAAATTGCAAATTCCCTTGTTGAACACTTAGGTTATCTCCAATATTTTGCAAATATTAACAACACTGCAACGAACATCTTTGTATATTAATATTAGGGGTTTAAATGTTTTCAAGGTATGAGGTTATTATTAATTTTAAAGTATAAAAAAGAAAACTGTCCTTGCAACATATAGATCATTTATGTCAACATTTTACTTAACTAACAGTAGAGAGAAATATACATAAAAAATAAGCCACCCTCCATTTGCCCCCACATCAAGTCCAAAAGTAATCACTATTTGGCCGGGTGCACTGGCTCACGCCTGTAATCCCAGCAGTTTGGGAGGCCAAGGTGAGTGCATCACTTGAGGCCAGGAGTTTGAGACCAGCCTGGCCAACATGGTGAAACCCTGTCTCTACTAAAAATACAAAAATTAGCATGGTGTGGTGGCTCAAGCCTGTAATCCCAGCTACTCCACTGGCTGAAGCATGAAAATCACTTGAACCCAGGAGGGAGAGGTTGCAGTGAGCCAAGATGGTGCCACTTCACTCTAGCCTGAGCGACAGAGCAAGACTCTGTCTCAAAAAAAAAAAAAAAGTGATCACTATTAATACCTTCTTGTGTATCATAAATAAAAGTTATACCTGTGCAAATGCATCCTTTTTTCACTTGTACCAAGTGGATCCATTCTGTTCTGCATCTTGCTTTTAATTTTTAATGATATTAATACACATTGAAGATCTTTTCATACCAGCACATGCAAATCTACCTCATTTTTAAAATAGTTGCATGGGCCGGCCGCAGTGGCTCAGGCCTGTAATCCCAGCACTTTGATTGGGAGGCCAAGGTGGGCTGATCACCTGAGGTCAGGAGTTCAAGACCAACCTGGCCAACATGGTGAAACCCCATCTCTACTAAAAATACAAGAAATTAGCTGGGTGTGGTGGCAGGCGCCTGTGATTCCAGCTACTCGGGAGGCTGGGGCAGGAGAATCGCTTGAACCTGGGAGGTGGAGGTTGCAGTGGGCCAAGCTCACACCACTGCACTCCAGCCTGGGAGACAGAATGAGAATCCATCTCAAAAATAATCATAATAATAATAATTGCACAATCTTAGAATGTATGATTGTATTATTAGTATTTAAATAATCCTTTATGGTGAGACATTTAGTTGCCAGTTTATTTGTTTCCTCTGCTGTTTCAAACAAGGCTTTAATGAAGATCTTGTATTCATGTATCTTGGCCATCTTTGGAATACAAACATATATATATGATATATATTTATCACATTAGTTTTCCTTTTCTTTTTTTTGAGACAGGGTCTTGCTCTGTCACCCAGGTTGGAGCACAGTGGCACTCTCACAGTTCACTGCAGCCTTGACCTCTCAGGCTCAAGTGATCCTCCCATCTCAGACCCCTACAGAGCTGAGACTATAGGCACGCACCACCATGCCCAGATAATTTTTGAATTTTTTGTAGAAATGGGGTCTCATTATGTTGCCCGGGCTTGTCTCAAACTACTGTACTCGAGAAATTCTCCCGCTTTAGCCTCCCAAAGTAGTTGGGATTACAGGCATAAGCCACCATACCTGGCCTATATGTCACATTTCTAACTGTGCAACAGTTAAGTCAGAGTATGTGATATCTTAATTTTGCCACATAATTTCCTCACAAAGCTTGCCAAATTTACCTTCCTGCTAACAGAGTTATGGAAGTGCCAAGACTGGGTATCATTGAACTTTTAAAAAAAGTCAATCTGATGGGTTAAAAAAAAAAAAGAGGGGCACAAATATCTTTAAGGATAAGACTTTACCTTTTACATACACCAGAATTTACATTTTCAAGGTGCCTTCTCTTTAAGTAGGCTTATCAACCCCATTACAGGGGGAGGAAAGACAGAAGTGAGACAGGGTAAAACGTGATGAGATTCAGAACCATGGTTTGAGAGGCAGTGTGGTTTGCTAGCTAAGAACAGACCCCAACTCCCCTCGTCTGGAACCTCCCTTTCTAGTTGATTCATGAAGACAATTGAGCTAGTCACATCACCTTCTCTCTGTCCATTATAGACAGGCCCATATCCGAAATAGGTTCAAGACTGTCTACAGGGTCTACAAACACCGAAGGGACCTAGAAATTCATTAGTTCAATCAACTGACTTTACTTAGCACACCTAATGTACCAGGAAATTTGTTCTCCTAGGCCTTACTTCCCCAAATGAGAGTTAAACCCTTCATTTGGTGACCTGTGGAAAGGCTTAACTATGCACTTCAAAGGGCATCAAAGAGGACACCCCAGCAGCCAGTCAGCATTATGGGAATTTCCCCAGTTTGCTTTGTGATAGTGTGGTATAGTGGAAAGCACACAAGATGGGGAGACAGAGGACTTGGACTTTATCAGCTACTCTTGTCATATGAAGCTGAGGATTCACAGATGACCATGTCATATGTGTGACCATGTCATTCACAGATGACCAAGTCACTTTTCCTCTGTGAATCCATTTCGTGAACTGTAAAATGCAGCTGATAATGTCAGCTTTGTCTACGTCACAGTGTTGAGAAAATCAATGAGATAATGGAAGTGAAAGAGCTTTGGAAATTCTACATATCCACATACAACTATGAGAGTTACCATTTGTGTAGATGACCCAGCTTTGGGTGGCATATGCTATTCAAAAGCAAAATATTATTTGATGCATTAATATAATTGTAAAAGTATAGTATGGCAAAAGTAGACATAATTAAGGGAATTCCAAGAGTGATACAGAAGGAATGGCAAATTTCAGAATAAGCTGACTTTCTTCCGTTGGAATGGCTGCCTTGAGCACTGTATGAAGGATGATTCTGAGGGCAGATGTCCAATTCTCCAAAGAAAGTATGCCATGATTGATTAGCAATGTCTGCCAGAGGAGTAAAATATAAGATGATCATCCTGTATTTGGCACCTACAGTCTTGATTTCTTCACTCTTCACAACTCTGAACTGATTACACATTTCCCATAAACATAATCACTAGATTGAAAATTGGCCTTATTATAAGAAAATTAAAACATGTTATGGAATAAAGAGCAATAAACTATCAGGCATCTTTTTTTGTTTTGTTTTGTTTTTTTGTTTTTTTGAGACAGAGTCTTGCTCTGTCACCCAGGCCAGAGTGCAGTGGCACGATCTCAGCTCATGGCAACCTCCACACCACTGCCCCCACCCGCCACCACCCAGGTTAGGTGAGTCTCATGCCTCAATCTCCCAAGTAGCTGAGACTACAGGTGCATGCCACCACACCTGGCTAATTTTTATATATTTTCTAGAGACAGGGTTTCACCATGTTGCCCAGGTTTGTCTCAAACTCCTGAGCTCAAGTGATCCACCCACCTCAGCCTCCCAAAGTACTAGGATTACAGGTGTGAGCCACCACACCCAGCCTATCAGTCATCTTTTTACAGATTGACAGAGTATGGAGTATCTACTTAAACTAGATTTTAAGTATAATATAGTTTAAGCCCTTCATTTGACGGGTATAAAGTCAGAGGTCCAGAGAGTAGAAGGGATGCCGCTTTCACCCTGTGGTATTAAATGAGATAATGAATGTGAAAGTGCTTTGAAAACTACAAAGTTATACACAAATGTAAAGAAGTTTGATATTCTTATTTTGTTTATTATGTTTTTTGTTTATGCACAATTATTAATTCTTGCTCAAAAGTGACTCCTGATCCCCAAATCTAGCCTGGCTTTATCCTTTTTTTCTCGTGTTTATACCGTTCATATCTGAAGAAGCTCAATTAGGGAGGCCTTAAATTAAAAAGCTTACAATGCCAACTGGTAGTGTCTTTTAGAATCTGTGGTTGGAAAGTCATCTTTTATATTTTAATTATTTTGGTTTCCTGACTATAAAATGATAGTACTAAAGTGGAAAAAATGTTGATTATCACACAAAAATGTTTCCTTATAGAAAATAGACACTGAATATTAATCTTTTTTTCCAGTAGAGGAAATTTCACAATGAGGAGAACAGCAAACAGAGCTTTTTAAGTAAAATCGCCACTTCTTTTTTTATTATGTTTCATATTTCAGTAGTGAAATCAACCTGCCTTTAACAGACAAGTTGCTATTATTTTTTACCAATTCCTTTTTTTTTTTTTTTTTTTTTTTTTTGAGACAGAGTCTCGCTCTGTTGCCCAGGCTGGAGAGCAGTGGCACGATCTCGGCTCACTGCACCCTCCACCTCCTGGGTTCAAGCGATTCTTGTGCCTCAGCCTCCCGAGTAGCTGGGACTACAGGCATGTACCACCACACCCGGCTAATTTTTTTGTGTGTGTGTAGTTTTAGTAGAGACAGGGTTTCAGCATATTGGCCAGGCTGGTCTCAAACTCTTGACCTCGTGATCCACCTGCCTCGGCCTCCAAAAGTGCTGGGATTACAGGCATGAGCCACCGCCCCCGGCCTACCAATTCTTGTATTCTAAACTTTAAAATGTCTTATCGCAAATGCCAAATAATGTGATATTCCCCAATCTTTAAATGACTTTTAATGGATTAAACCTATAAAATGATATAAAACTTAGTTCTATGTAAGTCTAAACATTAATTTTCCTTTTAACAGGCATGAAGGATATGTACCAAGCAGTTATCTGGTGGAAAAATCTCCAAATAATCTGGAAACCTATGAGTAAGATATTTTATTTGTTTTTGGAAAATACAGTCCTAAGGAATCCTCCTTAAGTTAGGAATAAATTATTGGTTGACTGTAAAAATACCAGATGATCCCTACTGCAACAGCAATGTTCACACATACCATCCAGCTCTTGATACCTAAATAAGGCTTTCCACTAAAAAAACCAGGACTTTCTGGAGAAAAGGCTTGGGGTAGGGATAGAACAAAAAGGAACTTGGAACATCTTTTTGTGCCAGAAAGTAAAGAAGTACTTAAAAAGAAATTTTTCTTCTTTAATTTTTTTTTTTGAGACAGGGTCTCACTGTCACCCAGGCTGGAGTGCAATAGTGTGATCTCGGCTCATCGCAACCTCAACCTACTGGGCTCAAGCAATCCTCAGCCTCCCAAGTAGCTGGAACTACAGGCACATGCCACCATGTCCAGCTAATTTGTAAATTTTTTGTAGAGACAGGATCTCACTAGGTTGCCCAGGCTGGTCTTTAACTTCCGGGCTCTAGTGATCCTCCCATTATGGCCTCCCAAACTGCTGGGATCACAGGTATGAACCGCTGTGCCCAGACAAAAAGATGTGGGCGTGTCAGATGAGCACAGAAGTTGGCTCTAACAGGCTCCATTTGATGAAATCTGGGACAATTTGAGTATCAAAATAAATAATGACTATTAAAATAAGTAATAGACTACAAACCATTGAATAATATAAGAATCTGTAATAAATAGATAGACTGATAGATAAATAAAGAAGTAAATAAATAAAAAGGAAAGGGTTTTTTCTTATAGTAGAATGCCAACTAATGAATGATAAAGTTTAAAAATCATCATTTTGTAACCCAGAGTATCAACTGATTCAGGCAAGAATCCTCAATGAATGTCACCACTAGCAAGTTAAAGTTTGATGAGCTGTGGCATATTTACATAGTCTCAAAGTATCTCCTCACAAATCACTTGTAATTACAAAGTGGAGGTAACTAGCAGGCCCGTCTGAAACAGTCAATCCAAATGCACATAAATAATGGAGCAAAAAGGTATCTTGTGTCTCCTTATGTGATGCACTGAGAAGGGCACACATCACTTCTGTGATATTCCTGCTCAAAAAATGCACAACATAAATTTACTTATAAGGATATATTCATAAGGATATATTAGACAAATCCAAATTAGGGAATATTCTCTAAAATTAATGTCCTGGGCTCTTCAAAAAAAAATGTTAATATCAGGAAAGACACAACAGGCTGAGAAATTGGTCCACATTAAAAAAGACTAAAGAGGTCGGGCGCAGTGGCCCACACCTGTAGTCTCAACACTTTGGGAGGCTGAGGCAGGTGGATCACCTGAGATCAGGAGTTTGAGACCAGGCTGACCAACATGGTGAAACCACCGTCTCTACTAAAAATACAGAATTATCCGGGTGTGATGGCACACGCCTGTAGTCCCAGATACTTGGGAGGCTGAGGCAGGAGAATTGCTTGAACCCAGGAGGCAGAGGTTGCTGTGAGCCAAGATTGCACCATTGAACTCCAGCCTGGGCAACAAGAGCGAAACTCCATCTCAAAAAAAATAATAGTAATAGATTAAAGACACATGGTAACTAAATACAGTGGTGATCCTGGGCTGGATCTTGACCCATACAAAAAAATATTTTTTGTTATAATATACATTATTGGGACAACCGATACAATTTGAATAAGATCTGCAGTTAAGTAATAGTGTTATGTAGATCTTAAATCTCATGACTTCGGTAATTGTACTGTGGTTAGATAAGTGTATACTCTGTGTCTTAGGAAATAGACACAGAAGTACTTAGGAATAAAAGTCAATTCTCAAATAGTTCAGAAGAAAAGTCAATCTATGTCTATCTAAAGAGAATAGTAAAGCAAATGTATAAAATATCAGCAATTGGCTCATCTGGGTTATGTGTATATGATGGTTCTTTTACACTATTTTACAGCTTTTCTGTAAGTTTGAAATTATTTAAAAATTTTAAAAAATTAATTACTCACTAAATATAAGATACCAGGCCTAAAGAATAAAGCTAATGAGGACACCTATTAACGCATTAGGGTTCTTAATTCAAATGTGGTCGTGTTATTTGTTGCTGAAATTCTAGTAGATTCTTTAGTGAAGAACCGTCATTTTCTGGAGTCTCTCAACCTTGTTTGTTTTGATAAAGTATGTGTGAGTAGCCCTTCCCTCAGTGAACAGAAGGGTCATCAGTTCTAAGAATTTTTGAGCTGAAATAAAACATATAGGGTATATGCTTAAATAAAATAAAAAATCTTTATAGGCAATACCTTTGAAGAAAAAACAATAAGCATTTATTTCAAATGACCACTAGGCTATGTAGTTTTGTTTGTTCAACTTTGCTTTTAATCAGAATCTCTTTGTTTATGATCAAAGGAGCAAACTCAAAATTCCAACAGGATAAGCAATAGGAAATGGTGAGGTCTGGAGCAAATAAAAAAAGTCATTCACCCACCTAAAGGTATTTTAAGCCATTTTAAAAATAAAACACTATACCATGCAAACAAAACAATCTAGTTATACTGTGCACTTTCAGTTTGCATTCTCCAGATTATGAATCTCAGCTGGAAAATAACATGACTTACAAGCAAACATTCAGATATTTAGTATATAACTGGATATATGAAAGATTCCAGTATGATAACTTTTTATTCGTGAACTTAGTGTTGTCTAGTTTCAGGTGAGATCTGCCTAAGTACTTAAAAATGTACCACCTGGTAACATAGTCATGGGTTGGTAAATTGAATGGATTCAGGTCTCCTGCCTTGGTTTGCAGCCATGACCTTGGGCAAGTTACCTCACCCTATTTGAGTTCTGATCCCTTCTCCATAAAATGAATGCTCAGACAAGATGAAGGAAGGCAAATCATGACTCTCTTGCTGGCATTCCCTTCCCATGCACTGAACTCAGGCAGACATCACCCTTTGATAGTGAAGCTATTTACCCACCATGCTGGTGACAACCTTTTCAATGCACAGCTCTAGGCAGCCACTACTATCGCTGATGGCCTGTGTGTGAGATGAAGCCTATATTTTCCCAATCCTCGATTAGATAATCTCTAAGAGCCCATGTTGGTGTCATGTACTGTTCTGTCTTATAATGTTCAAAACCTCTAACGAATCCATGAATTCCTTTAGTCATGGCTACTCTCAAGTAGCCAAACAAGTTTGTTAAGTGGTATTCCTTCCCTACCCAGAACTTCTCTCCTCCTGCATTTATTAATTTTCAAAACTGATTATTAACCGATGATCAGTCTGCCTCCTCTTACCTAAAAAGCAGCCAGAGAGGTTAGGATGTGGCTAAATATTGTTAACAACATAAAAAAAAAACTTCATCCCTAAAAATCATTTATATTCTTCTTTACCATTTTATAGTTGTTTTTCACCAGACAACAAAATTATAAAAATAATGCAATTACTTGGCAGAATGTCTGGAAGAGCAGTCTTAAAGAGGAAAATACTACAGTTGTTTTAAAAGGATATTTGCTAAACTTTCAAACTGGTATTACAATTTTATAGCTGCACTAGCACCCTCCTCCTTATAACGAACTGTCTACTGACTTATGAAACGAAGAGGAAAATTAATGTTTTCTAAAACTTTATTTTAGAAAATTTCCAATGTATACAAAAGTAAAGATAATAATATAATGAATATCCATGTTCCCCAAACCTAGCATCAACAATGATCAGTATTTTGCCAATTCTGTTTCATATGTTTCTTTCCAATTAAACATTTTAATACCTGGAAATGAATCATGCATTTGCTTTTGAGTTTAAACGCACTGGTAGAAACATACGTGTGCAGACTTGTTAAATAAATAAAATACACTTAAAATTTTTTTAAAGCACTGGTAGAAATAGAAAATGACCATATGATTTTCTAGCATTGTCTTTTATAAGTAAATAATGAAACTTTAAAATATGTCATTGACATATGACTTTTCCTTGCTTTCAGGTGGTACAATAAGAGTATCAGCCGAGACAAAGCTGAAAAACTTCTTTTGGACACAGTAAGTCTCCTTAACCTGTCTTTTGACATAAAATAAAATGAATTAAGTGCACTGTCTCATGTCTGGAATCCCAGCGATTTGGCAGGCCAAGGTGGGAGGATCACTTGAGCCCAGGAGTTCAAGGTTACAGTGAGCTATCATTGTACCACTGCACTTCAGCCTGGGCAAGATCAAGACCCTGTCAAAAGAAGAAAGAGAGGAAGGGAGGGAGGGAGGGAGGGAAGAAAGGTAAAAATGAAAGAAAGAAAGAATTGTACTGTTTTTTCAGCTTTGCTGCGTTTTATGCCAATGCAGTGGGTTGACATGTTGGATTAACGATAGTTTTCATGTCTGGTGAAAATATTCTGGGAATTTACAGGACTAGCAAACCACAGGATAAGAAACCTGGGCTTGGCATTGACGTGGAGACATCATCACCGCTGCAGCAGTCTTTGTGAGTGGTGATGGCTGGCCATGGGGTGCCATCAGGGCTGGTCAGTCATGCCTTCTTCTCAGTGTGGGTCAGAGATGTCTGTGACTCTGATTCGGCCTGACTCAGCTGTGAGTCCAGAGGAAACATAGCACTTGTTTTAACTTACATTTCATCAACAGTTATCCTCTAAAGCCATGCAGTGTGCATAGCAGGACCGATTTTACTCAGGGATGTCAAGATTAAGGGCGAAAGGGAAGAGAAAAGTAGAAAAGATGGTATGGTGGGGCAGGTACTGGGCTCTAGTTCCTGTTATGTCACCAACTCATTGGGTGACTTTGGGGACCTCTCTTCTTCCTTCTGGGCCTCGGTTTCTCAGTGAGTAGAAGGGCAGAATTGGATTAAGTCAGGGATCACAGTTACCCAGCCCTCATCCTGCCACTTTCTGCTCCTTGTCCTGTGACCAACACAGCTGATCTCAGTCCATGGCATTGGGACTTTATTGGGAAACAAGACAAATGCAGAAAAAAGAGCAAGGGAATAATCTAAAATAAACTAAGGTAAACTCCAGAGGAGTTGGGAAAGATTCCATGAAGAAAAAGAAGTTGAGCTGAGTCCTTACTGAACTCTGGTCTCTCCTTGGCTCTACATCAACTCAGCACTTAATTATTTCCTGTGGGTTCCCCAAAAAAACACACATTAGAATTGCTGGGAAATGTTCAAAAATACAGATTCCCAGGTCCCACCCCAGATCCACAGAATCAGAGTCTCTAGTGTTAGTTCCCGGGAATCTGTACTTTCTCAAGTTAAATTTACAATGCAAATGTAGCCAACTCAAACCTGGCGCTGCCAGGCTGTGTTATTGGATAACAAAGTAGAACTTGATTAATATGAACTAATTGAGTGGAGTGCAAAATTAGCTAAAACTCTGAATTACACTGTGTTTAAACAAGTATAGTTTTGTTATATTAATCACACATCAGTTAATGACGTCTATGGAGCACTTCAAACAGCCCACATTAATGACTTCTAAAAGATGATTCCTGTATTACAGCAGTTCTTGTGAGGTGCTAAGTGCTAAGTACATTTTGCTTGCTCTGGCAGTTGAAACATTCCTCCTTACTGATACATATATATATATATATATATATATATATATATTTTTTTTTTTTTTTTTTTTTTTTTTTTTTTTTTTGAGACAGAGTCTCCCTCTGTCACCCAGGCTAGCATGTAGTGGCATGATCTCGGCTTACTGCAACCTCCGCTGCCTGGGTTCGAGTGATTCTCCTGCCTCAGCCTCCTAAGTAGCTGGGATTACAGGCATGTGCCATCACACCTAACTCATTTTTGTATTTTTACTAGAGACGGGGTGTCGCCCTGTTGGCCAGACTGGTCTCAAAACTCCTGACCTCAGGTGATCCGCCTGCCTTGGCCTCCCAGAGTGCTGGGATTACAGGCATGAGCCACCACGCCCAGCCTCCTTACTAATATTTTGAGCTACTTTACCAAATTCTCTTCTCCTCCTTAGGTAAATATGAGGGCAAACATCAATGGGTCCCTGTCAGACTCAGCCCAGATTCTGGATAGAATTGAATGACATTTTCTTGCTATTTTTCACTTTTTTTGTGTGCTGTTTTTGAAACAATAGCTGTATTATTTCTAGGTGTATTTAGAGTCTTTTTATCTAATAAGTATAGGACCTTTAAGAGATGAATTCCTGCATAGTATTCCATGGCGTATATGTGCCACATTTTCTTTGTCCAGTCTATCATTGATGGGAATTTGGGTTGGTAAAAGGATGAGTTCATGTCCTTTGCAGGGACATGGATAAAGCTGGAAAACATCATTCTCAGCAAACTAACACAGGAATAGAAAACCAAACACTGCATGTTCTCACTCATAAGTGGGAGATGAACAACAAGAACACATGGACACATCACACACCAGGAACATGGATACATCACACACCAGGGTCTGTCAGTGGGTGGGGGGCTAGGGGAGAGATAGGATTAGGAGAAATACCTAATGTAGATGACAGGTTTATGGGTGCAGCAAACCACCATGGCACATGTATACCCATGTAACAAACCTTCATGTTCTGCACATGTACCCCAGAACTTCAAGTATAATAATAATAAAAAAAGAGATGAATTGATTCATTACACCTTTTTATGAACTAAAACTCCTGGTGTACTGCCCCATACATATTTCGCCACTAGACTATAAACAATTTATCTTGTTCCTGCTGTACTTAGGCACCCAAAAGTGTATCTAGCACCTTGTAGTTGTTCAATAAATATTTGTTGAATGAATGAATGAATACACTGAAGGCTTAATAAATGTTTTTAAACTAACAACTCCACTTAAGGGGGACCTGGGTGATCATAAGCATCACTGCAGGAGCTTTTTAAAAATACAAATTCCTGGACTCCAGGCCTATCCAGTCAGAACCTCAAGAGGTGGCACCCAAGTTATTCTGGGACTTACCTACATTTGGGAGCCACTAAAAAGCATCTCCTAATGTGCCATATCAGTTCTTCCAATGTTGCCTCCTCCCAGAAGTCTCTCATGCCTTCCCTCGCCCTAGCTATGGAACGTGGTTTTTCTTGTCTTTGAACCTTTATGGGTCAAATGTTATTATCAGTATTATTACTTCTCCAGTGGCTCTGTTCTCACTCTGCCTCCAATCTCAGCAGTTTCTCTTCTGTCTTTACCCATCTAGGTAGATGGTAAATTCCTTGCAAGTGGGTAACTCTCTTAGAACACCTTACAACATCTCACACATAGGGTGACCTGAAGTTCAGACATTCTAAAGTGTCATTGAAGACTCAATGTTGACTTAATAATTGGTTTGTTTCAAGAGAAGAAAAGCACCACCTCCAGAATGAAAGATGGCTGTATTTCAGAGACACTCTTAAAGTATAATGCAGCATAACAAGACTATGAATTATCAGTCCATCTGTTCACAATAACTTACCCTGTGTGTTGAGATTATCTTCTGAAAGGTCACCTTCAAATTATATGAACAGAAAGAAAGAAAAATACTCCTAACACAACCAACATGTCTCAGATGGAGACTGACAATGGAATAATTACTTCCAATAAGTAGCAAACTTAGCATGTGATAATAATGGCCAATAATACTCTAATAGTTCTTGTCCTAGTATTGTATTCCAGGAGCAATTCTAGGCACATTACCTCAGTTCTCCCATCAACCTTCCAAAGGTCATTTTACAGATGAGGAAACTGAAGCTCATACAGTTACTCATCTTTATAAGTTCCTTTTAAGGCCAGGCACGGTGGCTCATGCTTGTAATCCCAGCACTTTGGGAGGCCGAGGCAGGCGGATCACTGGAGGTCAGGAGTTCAAGACCAGCCTGGACATCATAGTGAAACCTCATCTCTACTAAAAATACAAAAAATTAGCCAGGCGTGGTGGCGGGCACCTGTAATTCCAGCTACTTGGAAAGTTGAAGGAAGACAGTCACTTGAACCCAGGAAGTGGAGGTTACAGTGAGCTGAGATTGTGCAACTGCACTCCAGCCTGGGTGACAGAATGAGACTCCATCTTAAAAAAAAAAAAAAATCCTTTTAAACCCAGAGATTCTGGAATTCAAACAAATAGCATGGGCCACTGTCTGTGTGTGTACACAGATATGTGCCCACAGGCAAACCATCATTTTAGTTGTGGGATAGAAGGATTTGTGTTGTTGTAGTTTCTATATACTTTGTTCCTTATACTCCAAGTGTATGCCCTCCGCACAAGGATCTTGTCTAACTCTGACCTTTACTTAGGGCCCTCATTGTGACTAAGTTAAGTGAATCATAATATTTGGCTTAACAAATGTTACCAGTGCAAGTTTACAGCGGGGTAGGAACAGAGTGTTAGATAGGAAGTACTTAAAATAGACTTCAGATTTTTTAATTTCCACCAAGAATGAATAAAATGGTATGTCCATTTATTAGTGCTTATTTCATCAGTGCTGGCAAAACTGTCAGGGTGGCGAAAGTTACATTCTCAGGGCACTCCCTTCTTCCCACCTCTCTCATGAAACCAGGAGCTTAATGTTCTTTTTCCTTCCGCCCTGCAGCCAAATTCTCATTCTGGAAAGGGCCTAAGAAATATATTATCATTAAGAGAATCCTTATACACTGTTGGTAGGAATGTTCATTAGTTCAGCCCCTGTGGAAAGCAGTTTGGTGATTTCTCAAAAAACTAAAAATAAAATTATTATTCAACCCAGCAATCCTATTACAGGGTATATACCCAAAGGATAATAAATTATTCTACCTAAAAGACACCTGCACTATTCATAATAGCAAAGACATGGAATCAACCTAGGTGCCTATCAACAGTGGACTGGATAAAGAAAATTTGGCACATGTACACCATGGGGTAACATGCGCCCTGAAAAAGAACAAAATTGTGCATTCTGCAGCAACATAGATGCACCTGGAGGAATTATCCTAAGTGAATTAACACAAAAATGGAAAACCAAACACCACATGTTCTCACTTATAAGTGAGAGCTAAACAGACATCAAGATAGTAACAATAGACAGTGGGGACTCCAAAAGTTGGAAGGAATGGAGAGTGGCAAGGATAGAAAAACTACCTATTGGGTAATATGTTCACTATCTAGCAAATGGGTTCAATAGAAACCCAAATCTCAGCAACACGCAATATGTCCATGTAACAAACCTGCACACATACTCCCTGAATCTAAAAAATTTTTAAAAGTTATATATTCCCATTAAGACACTGATGAAGTTTTCAGGACAGTTTTGTGCCTTTGTAGGGAAATGGAGAAGCAGCTTCTAACATTCTTTGAAAGGAGGCATCCTGGAGTAGTAGACCAAGGCTGGGCTTTGCTCACATACCAGAGTTCAAATCCGAATTCTGTCACTTTCTAGTTGTGGGTCGTGGGAATGCCACTTAAGCTCTCTGGCACTCAGTGTCATTGGCGGTTAAGGATACCAATATCCAGATGGCAATATTGTGGTAAGAGTTGGAAAATATCTGTAAAGAGTCTGATACATGGGGAGCTCTAAAAGGGCAGAGCTTATGTCTCTGTCTCCATTCATGGTTCATGTCAGCATGAGAACAGTCTGGGATCCATGTAGGAGACCAAGAAATATCTACGGAAGGACAGGAGTAAATGAAACGGTAGCCATTCTTACTGAAATCTGCTCTATGCCAAGTGGGCCTACAGTATTTCCTCCTTCTGTGGGCAAGAAAGTGGAGCTGGAGGCATAAGCCTGGTTTCCTGAGATCACTAACTTTCCATTCTTTCTAACCATTCCAGGGCAAAGAAGGAGCCTTCATGGTAAGGGATTCCAGGACTGCAGGAACATACACCGTGTCTGTTTTCACCAAGGCTGTTGTAAGGTATGGAGCTAACTCTGCTCAGCAAAGTGGAGAGAAACACTTCTGAAGTGTGTGAGCACTGGGGAAAAGACAACAAAGTTAGACAGTGCAAGAGGTAGAGGCTCACTAGAAATGGTCTGTTTTCCCTCTTTACTCCGAGAAAACCAAAGCCATGGAGATCAAGGATAGAACTTAAGAGACTTAGAAAGTGACAGAGCTGGGAGTGGATGCCAGGTCCTCTTTCAATTAGCATCTCCAATTTTAGAGTTCTAAAGACATAAAATACTTGGCACTGTATTGGATGAGTATATAATTTAATACATAGAATAACAGAAGAGATATTTCTATCTGGAAGCAAAAATATATGAACTCCAGTTCTGGCTCTGCTCATAAAACTACCTACCATTAACTGAGTCTTTATTATGTGCCAGAAAATATGCAGACCATTTCCAATCCTAAGAAGCCCTGAAGGCAGGTATTACTATGCTCATTTCACACAGAAGAAACCGAGGTTCAGGAGCTGATGGTGCCTCCCTATGGCCGTGGGTCTGAAGGGGCCAAGCCACATCCAGGCTCCAGCCAACTGGACTGCAAGATCCTTCCTGCTTTTCTGCCCCTCTGTACCTGTTTCTTCTCTGTAAAACAATGCCTAAGAACCTATCTAGGTCTCAAATTCCCTTCTAATTAGAACATTTGTTAGAACTAAGCTGTTTGACAATGACCAAAGTGCAGTCAGAATTAAGAGAAGAGACAAATAATTTTTAAGGTGTCTTCGGAAAATTTTTTTGGAAGACTGAGGATGTGAGCAGGACGTGGAGCAAGGGCAGGTGGCAAAGAGGAAGGGCCCGATCCAGGGATAGGAGGGAACACAGTGTACATCACAGAGGGGCCGTGCCTCTACCATGGCTGGGAGACAGTAAGGAGGTGACCTGCAACCCCACAGGTATGACGGAGAAGGGATGAAACAAAGTCTGTGTCGAGGCTCCCCACAACTACCCCCAGCTTCAGGGATTCACTAGGAGGCCTTCCAGGACAAAGACTTATTGAGATTTAATACAGCAAAGTGATACAAAGCAAAATCAGCAACGGGAAAAGACACATGGGACAAAATCTAGAGGAAACAAAACACAAGCTTCCAAGAGTCCTCTCCCACTGGAGCCAAACAGGACGTGCTTAATTCCGCCAGCAACAAGTTGTAACCACACGTTAGCAGTCTACCAGGGGAGCTCATTAGAGACTCAGTACCCAAGGCTTTTATTGGAGGCTGTTTCCACAGACAGCCCCTGCCTAGCACATGCCAAAGTTCCAGATACCCAAAAGGAAAACAAGCGTTCACCATAAAACACATGTTTCTAGCAGACGGTTTAGGTACAGCTCGCCACCCTTATCAGTTAGGGAAAGAGCCCTCCCGAAATCCAAGTTCCCAAACACCAGCCAAGGGTTAACCATGCAAGCAGGTCTTTCTAAGGAGGGTAGTCAGGCCTGTTATGTTCATCCTCTGCAGCTTATTTGACTTATGAAGTCAAATAAGGGTGAAGGGGTCAGAGAGGCTTTCTCAATGTATGCTGACAATCAGTTAAATTCATAGAATAGGCAAGGCAAACACATAGCAAATATTTCCATTCCCTCATTTTGTGGCAATGGAAGAACCATCACCAATCCATCACAGCATTGCTGTCCACTGGGTCCAGACACAACCTCAGAGTCCTTTTTAACACAGTACTGCAGCACCCAGGCCCAATCTGTCAAGACAGACTTATAAGTTGAACAATATCTGCCACCTTGTGAGAGGTTATAAGACAAAGATAATAAGAACTTAATACTCGTAGACTTTTTTGTGTCTCAACATTGCTTCTTAATAATCATTACATTTGTGTTTCATTTGTTTAAGTGAGAACAATCCCTGTATAAAGCATTATCACATCAAGGAAACAAATGACAATCCTAAGCGATACTATGTGGCTGAAAAGTATGTGTTCGATTCCATCCCTCTTCTCATCAACTATCACCAACATAATGGAGGAGGTAAGCTCTAGAGCAGGGGTGGACCCGGGCCGCCCAGCAGGAGGTGAGCAGCAGGTGAGCAAGCATTACTGCCTGAGCTCTGCCTTCTGTCAGATCAGCGTCATTAGATTCTCATAAGAGTGCAAGCCCTATTGTGAACAGCACTTGTGGGATCTAGGTTGTGTGCTCCTTATAAGAATCAAATGCCTGATGATCTGAGATGGAACAGTTTCATCCTGAAAGCAACCCCCTGCCACATCCCTCCATGGATAAACTGTCTTCCACAAAGCCGATCCCTGGTGCCAAAAAGGTTGGGGACTGCTGCTCTAGAGGACAAAGCCAGAGGGCACCTGGGTTAGACTTTTTTGAATTGCTATCAAGGAATACCTGAGGCTGGGTAATTTATAAAGAAAAGAGGTTTAATTGGTCCATGGTTGTATAGGAAGCATGGTGCCGGCATCTTCTTGGCTTTTAGGGAGCCCTCAGGAAGCTTTCAGTCATGGCAGAAGGCAAAAGGGGAGCAGGAGTATCACATGGCAGGAGCAGGAGCGAGGAGGGAGAAGATGCCACAGACATTTAAACAACCAGGTCTTGCATGAACTCAGAGTGATAACTCATTTATTATCACAAGGACAGTGACAGCACCAAGGCATTTGTGATGGATCCCACCTAATGACCCAAACACCACCTCCCATCCCACCAGGCCCCACCTCCAACATAGGGCTTTTCTTTTCTTTTCTTTCTTTTCCTTTCTTTTCTTTTCTTTCTTTTTTTTTTTTTTGAGACAGAGTTTCGCTCTGTTGCCCAGGCTGGAGTGCAGTGGCTCAATCTTGGCTCACTGCAACCTCCACCTCCCAGGTTCAAGCAATTCTCCTGCCTCAGCCTCCTGATTAGCTGGGATTACAGGCATGTGCCACCACATCCCGCTAATTTTGGTATTTTTTGTAGAGACAGGGTTTCACCGCATTGGCCAGGCTGGTCTTGAACTCCTGACCTCAGGTAATCTGCCCGCCTCAGCCTCCCATACTGCTGGGATTACAGGTGTAAGCCACAGTGCCCAGCCAGGGATTACATTTCAACATGAGATTTGGAGGGGACAAACATCCAAACTATATCAGCACCCACACAGGAGACTTAATGAAAACTGGCAAAAGCTCGCCCTGGCTTCTTTTTGACTATAAATAATAAATAAATATACAAATAGAAAAATATGACAAATATTTAATTATATTATATATCTTCTATTAGCAAGCTATCTTGTGGAAATAATGGAATTTTACCACTTGCCCATCTGTGCTTATGATGTTTTCAAGGAGGATATGATATCAATAATTAGGCTTTGGGATTTGTTTTCCAGAATAAAATTAGCTTTTGCGTCTGATGATGATTATTATTTTTTTTAGTGATTTAAGTTAGATGGTTGCTAGAGCAAAGCCCTAACCACTGCTTCTTGGCTTTTCAATCAACCCAGGCCTGGTGACTCGACTCCGGTATCCAGTTTGTTTTGGGAGGCAGAAAGCCCCAGTTACAGCAGGGCTGAGATACGGTGAGCAGTACAATCAGGAATGTAAACTCATGTCCCTAAAGGTCTGGGGCAAATTCTGAATAAACTGGCCATGAGCCTACCTGTTCCTCAGACTACAAATCACCATTAAAACAAGTGTATTATATATCTAGAGATGATGGCACTAATGAATATTTACATTGTGTGTAAGAGAAGTACATATACAAGCACATTTCTCTAGGTCAAACCAGTGGCCATTGGTTTTAGTGAAGAGTTCATTAATGAAGTGTTTATTAAGCACCTACTTTGTACAGAGCACCCTACTAAATGCTATTAGAAAAATATTAGAAAACCATGCCTTAGCACTGTGTTTCCACCTATCTTCTAGAACTTTTATATCATCTAGTTGGTTGAGTAGCAGACTATTGCCAGAACTGCAAGTTGAGAGCATCTAGAAGTGTTTCTCTGCATAAGAGAGTGTTAAAATTCTTTGGAATACCTTTAGGCGTGGCATGATCTCCAGTGCCGCAGCCCCTACTATGTTTTCTTGCCCTACGGAATTGCTTCACTCACTTGGGATTACCTGCCTGGACTCTGAAGGCATTTGGCTTTGCATCCCTTGGTCCCAACTGTGTGCTGCCTGTGGAGAAGGCTGGTCTAATTTTCATTTCTTATCTCCTAGCTTGGTGGTTCTCAAATTTCAGTGTGCATCAAAGTCTTCTAGAATGCTTATTAAAAATGTTGACTCCTGGCTCCTATCCAAACACTCACCAAAACACAATCCTTGATAGGGTCCTGGAGTCTACTTTTTTTTCTGGCATGATCTCCCTCTGTCACCCAGGCTGGAGATGCAGTGGCGTAATCATGGCTCACTGCTGCCTTGACCTCCTGGGCTCAAGCGATCCTCCCACCTCAGCCTCCCAAGTAGCTACTATGCCTGGCTAATTTTTAAAAATTTTTTGTAGAGACAGGGTCTCACTATGTTGCCCTGGCTGGTCTTAAACTCCTGGGCTCAGGCAATCCTCCTGCCTCAGCCTCCCAAAGTGTTGGGATTACAGGCATGAGCCACTGTGCCCAGCTGAGTCTACATTTTAAACAAGCATGCTAGGTGATTTTGATACAAGTGGTCAGAGGGCAATACTTTGAGAACCACTGCCACGCATGGGCTTCTTTATCCCTAACCAGCACCGTGTCCGGCACACAGTAGGTGCTCAATACTGCCTGCTGTTGAGTCTCTGCCTCAAAGCAGTGGAAATCTGGCTGTTTAGGTACCAGACCAAGCACTGGGGAAAGAGTGCCTCTTTAGCCTCCTTATGAAAATAAGGGTATTCTAATAAATGTAGAATCTTGATGTGTCCGTGCTGGATGGGATTTCAGATATTACCTGGTCAGCCTACTCATTTTGTTGGTGAGGAAATTGAGCCTCGGAATCTCGTATTTGTTTGTTAAACATTTCTTGAGAGCCTCCCATGTGCCAGACACTGTGCTAGCTTGTGCCTCTGCACAAATTCTCTTTAAATCTTTCTCTTTAACTGCCCCTCTGCCCCAGTAAGGCCTAATAGGGTTATGTGTATATAGCAGGTGCTCTTAATAGATGAATGAATGAAAGAATGATCAGCTCAATGAAATTTACTTAGTGTGAAAAATGACATAGAAAAATGGGACATTGCAAGAACCCTTTCTTTAATATTTTGATTAATATGGTTTCTTTAATATCTTCATTAATGCCACTCTCCTTCTTTCCATGTTACCTTCCCACACATATTTTCATAGTTTTCTAGCATATCCTATGTTATTATGTGGGAAAAAGATAATTTATTTGCCATCTTTGAATTATATTAACAATAGGCTAAAATTCTAGTTAGGGCTTTATAGTCCCCTGGTATCCCAATACCTTATATCTACTGCTTGCTGACCCCAGAGAACTCTCTCTCTCTCTTCCAGGGAAATGGGTGATCGACCCCTCAGAGCTCACTTTTGTGCAAGAGATTGGCAGTGGGCAATTTGGGTTGGTGCATCTGGGCTACTGGCTCAACAAGGACAAGGTGGCTATCAAAACCATTCGGGAAGGGGCTATGTCAGAAGAGGACTTCATAGAGGAGGCTGAAGTAATGATGTGAGTGCTCAGAACAAGGATATGCAGAAACTCTGGGGGGAACATCGGTTCAGTGTTCTTGAAATGCCATTCAAACGCCAGGGGGTACTATCTCCCTGCGCAAACTCCCAGCAGTGGCTTCCTATTGCACAGAGAATACAATCAAACTCTTCACAGTGGTCTCCAAGGCCCACCATAATCTGATCATGCCCACCTCCCCCTTCTCAGCTCCTACCCATCTCTCCTCCAGTCCATGACATGCCAGCCACACTGGCCTCTGCTCATCTTCACACACACAGCTGACTCCTTGCCATTTTTCAGGTCTCAGCTCCAATGACATGTTTTTGTTTTGGGGAGGGAATGAATATTATTTTCATCCAAACCATAAATTAGACAAAATGACCATTGGCTATTTTGGTACCATAATATTTTCGGCATTTTTGGGAGACTGAGTTTAGGCCATCTCACCCCTTGTCTTTTTCCTCCAGGAAACTCTCTCATCCCAAACTGGTGCAGCTGTATGGGGTGTGCCTGGAGCAGGCCCCCATCTGCCTGGTGTTTGAGTTCATGGAGCACGGCTGCCTGTCAGATTATCTACGCACCCAGCGGGGACTTTTTGCTGCAGAGACCCTGCTGGGCATGTGTCTGGATGTGTGTGAGGGCATGGCCTACCTGGAAGAGGCATGTGTCATCCACAGAGACTTGGTATGAGCATGCAGGGTGAACACCCACAGGTCCAGGGTAAAGGGACAGTTCTCACTGAAATGACTGGGAACGCATTAATAAATAATACATTACAGATAATCTCCTTTCCTTTCTCAACTTCTCCCTTCCTTCACCTACTTTGGGTGGTCCTAGTGGAAAGGGCTTCATGAGGACTTACTTCTGGGCTCTGATCCCAGCCCAAACTCTTTCACCTCCTGCATTTCAGTTTATATTCTTCCAAAATGGAGATAACTGCCACTCCTTCTTAACCTCTCTGTGACTCAATTTCCTCCTGGTAAATTGAGGAAACTGAGTTTGTCTGAAGGTATTATTCAAGGGTCTACCAGAATCACACTGGGGAAGCCCTTAAGCTACTCTCAGAATCTCTGGTGGCTGGGACTCAGGAATATTCATTTTAACACATTCCCCGTATGATTTGTATGCACATTAAAATTTGAGATATGCAGCTGGGTGCGGTGGCTCATGCCTGTACTCCCAGCACTTTGGGAGGCCGAGGTGGGCGAATCACGAGGTCAGGAGTTCGAGACCACCCTGGCCAACATGGTGAAACCCCATCTCTACTGAAAATTCAAAAAATTAGCTGAGCTTACTGGCGGGCACCTGTAACCCTAGCTACTTGGGAGGCTGAGGCAGGAGAATCACTTGAACCCAGGAGGCAGAGGTTGCAGTGAGCTGAGATCAAGCCACTACACTCCAGCCTGGGTGACACAGTAAGACTCCATCTAAAAAAAAAAAAAAAAAAAAAATTGAGACACACTGGAGTGTTATCTCCAATGGCTTTTTCAATGCAACAGTCTATAATACTAATTAGGGGTCAGGTACTCTCCCTATTGAAGAACAGTTTTAAGAGGATTAACAACATCAAAACATTCTTAATTTAGTCAACTGGGAGATGCTTTCTTCCTGTTATCCCTGATGTTAACATTTCCTATCACATCAGGTTGCATTAGAGCCTATCTTTGGTTAGACAACACCAAGGATTTCTAATTAGAACTCAAGAATGAAGATAAACTTACTCATCTTGATAGTGGATCTTACACATTCAACTTTCCAGTTAACTTCCAGCGGCATTTGTGAGGCTTAATTAACATTTGTAAAGCTCCATGATGCCCTTGTATGACAGCACTGCAGTAAAGCAAAGGACTGTGATTATAGGAGACTCCTTAACTACTGATGACTCATCAACAGTTTTCCTCTCCGCCTTTGTTTGCCTGTCTCCTCTCCAGGCTGCCAGAAATTGTTTGGTGGGAGAAAACCAAGTCATCAAGGTGTCTGACTTTGGGATGACAAGGTAAAAGAGGGATGTGGTGCCGGTGAAGTCTCAGGAATGGGACTGAGGCCCCCGGAACATTCTGACCTTCTCCCTCCACTCTCTTCCCAGGTTCGTTCTGGATGATCAGTACACCAGTTCCACAGGCACCAAATTCCCGGTGAAGTGGGCATCCCCAGAGGTTTTCTCTTTCAGTCGCTATAGCAGCAAGTCCGATGTGTGGTCATTTGGTGAGTGTCATGCTGGGCCCCACTGCCCCATGATCTGGGCTTCAGGCCAGCTGTTTCCTTTATCAAATGCAGACAACCCTACCCACACTGAACCCTGTATCATATCATGAGGGTGTCCCACTGGAGGGTTGTGTAAGAAAGGCCCCGAAAACTATGAAAGGGCCTTCATCATTTTGTTTGTTTTTAGAGATACTGGACATGGTGGTGGGAGTTAATTAAAAGTGGAAACAAGAGTTCTGGTGCCAGCTGCTGTGAAGTCAAAAGCTGGAGAAGTCAGGAGATTCAAATATGAGCCCCTTGAAGGCAGGGACCATGTTTTGTCCAACACTACATTTCCATACTTATCTCTCAATAAGTATTAATATTTATTCATTCATTCAACAACAATTAACTGATCATCTATTCTATGCCAAGGGCTAATCTAGGTGCTGAGGATGCAGTGGTTCATAGAACAGAAAAGACTTCTGTTCTTTTGGAACTAAATTTGAGATGGGAGGGGAGACAGAAAATCACAAAAGATCATAATAACAGTCATAAACAATAATAATAATAAACAAGCTAAGGGATAGAAGATAAAGCCAGGCAATCATAAGTAGGTGCTATGAATAAAATAAAACAGTAATGGGGCAGAGTGACTAGGATAGAGAGAGGGTCTGCTTTGAATAGTGTGGTGTGGGAAGGCCTTTCTCAGAAGGTAATTCTTCAGCAGAGACTTGAATGATAGGAGGGAGCTGTCACCATTTGAAGAGCCAGGGAACAGTGTCCCTGACAGAGGGACCAGCAAGTGCAAAAACTTGGTGCATCCAAAGAACAAGGGGTACTGACTTATTGGGAGAACAACAGGCAATGAAGCTGGTAGGCCATCATAAGGAATTAGAATTTCTAAAAAGTGCAAATGGCCATGAAGGGATGAATGATGTTGGTATTGCAGGATGTGCCAAATGTTCTTGCTGGATTTGCCATGTCACCTGAAGTCATAGTTTGTGCATACTAAAGTGTGCAAAAAAATATACCAGACAACCTCTTTGATTTGGATTACAAGAATTATACTGTGGACAGAAACTACTTGAAGATTGATTTTTGCCATTCGGTATGAAGGAAGGGTTTGACAAGGGCTTACTAGTAGTAGAAACCAGGGGGGAGTTTGGCTAGGTAAATCTTTTAGGAGAAGAATGAGTGTTAAAAATCTTCTGCAGCATTTTAGTCTATCCATCTCTAGGAGCCAAGTGGTTTGTTCATTATGAGTCCTACCTATTTCTTAAAACAGTACCCTATTAACCAACCCTTGCAGCTACTTTGTTAACCAGGTTTAAGTTACAGAATGGACTTGAAAGAAATTGTACTAACAGCATTTTTGGATGACTCCCCTCTCCCCAGTGTGTATAACTAGGAAGGTTGGGGCTGATGTGCAGTCATCTCACTATGGGTGATGAAACTGATCACACTGCACCAAGCAAGCAAGGGCCCCACAATGAGACATTTGGAGCAATGGCCACTTTAGCACATTCACCTTCTGACTCTGAATGGGGTTTATTCAGCCAAAGGGTGTCAGCCTGGGAATTTCCTGGGGCATATTACCATTACAGGGTTGGGCTGAAATTAGTCCCTGTCTAGGATATATTATCTGAAGAGAGTCCAGAAATGAGGTTGATGGATGGATGCAGAATTGAGAGATCAATGGAAAAAAGTGTGAAAAAACTGGGGGTACCAGCCTAAGCAACAGAAACCTGGATGAGCTGAAAACTCCATGCCTGCATCAGCCCATTGGACTTTGTCCTACGTTTTAAGTTTCTTTGCCCTAATTAGCAGTGTGCTATTCAGAACAAGTCAACCTCTTTGTACTTTGCTCAATTTTTTTATCTATACATTTCTCATCTGTGTATTAAAGCAATCATTCTGAAACCATGTTTCAGCATCGGCACATTTTCAAAAAAATTTTCACTAAAAATTATGGTGTCTTGGGGTGATAAGCATTCTTATTTAGGGTCAGGTTCTGAATTTCCAACTCCTGAGGCACCTCTGAGTAACATCTAGAGATTCTGATCCACTGGGTTTGGGCTAGGGCCCAGGAATCTGCCATTTGAACAAGACTCTGAGATGATTTTTATTCAGGTGTTTTGGGGATCATGCTTTGGGAATGTCTACTCTAAGATTCTCTGGAACAACCTTTGAAAAGCTCTGAATTAGCTGATTTGCAAGCAGCCTTCTTGCTCTGACAACCTGTGAATATATCAGCACATGATAAAGACAAAGCTAGGTGTCACATTTCTACCAAGGGCAGAAGAGGAAAAGAAAGGGATTAAATCAGAGGTCAAAAATAGACAAGCAAAAGATGTGTTTTGCTTGGTCTACATGGCATTTTTTAAATTCAAGAAGTTCAACTCTTAATTTTTGACGTCTTTTTTAAAAAAATCAGAAAATGTGCCAATTCTGATCCCTCATTTTCATGTGCCATACTTTGGTTGGAGTCAAATCATAGCTGTCTCCTTAAGACAGAACTGTTTATCTCATTTTCCACAATCCTCCCCAATCCCAATAGTGTCACACCTCCTGCACTCCATTCATTTACATCCTGCATCTTGGCATTTGAGTCTACAACTCTTAGTTGTAGCATTTGAGTTTGGTACAACAAAGGGTCCATCTTGAAAATCCTTCTCCACTACAAAGGTTGGGAAATTTCAGTTCTTTAAAAATAGGACAGGCCTAATAAGCCTCAGGTAGACTTGATGCACTTCTGGAGGTAGCACATGAATCCTAATGCAAGGAGTCTGTAATTTCTAGAGGCAGGTTGGTTTGTTTGCTGTCTGTGGGCTTTGTCATTCACTGTGCTGTGCTCACCATTTCTTGTAGGTGTGCTGATGTGGGAAGTTTTCAGTGAAGGCAAAATCCCGTATGAAAACCGAAGCAACTCAGAGGTGGTGGAAGACATCAGTACCGGATTTCGGTTGTACAAGCCCCGGCTGGCCTCCACACACGTCTACCAGATTATGAATCACTGCTGGAAAGAGGTCAGTGGAGGAAGTGCTTCCCCATGCATTGTCGTATACAATTTGAGGACCTCCCTCCTTCCCTAGAGAAAGGAACCCTCTCAGAAGGATGAGGCAGGAGGGATAACTAATATAGATTAGCAACAACATGACTTTGAGGATCTGTTAACGGGATAGATCCCCCATCCCTAAAGGAGCTGAAGGCGACCTTAAATATTATTTGGTTTGCTACATAATGTCACAAGCTATAAGCATAGCTTCAGAGAGGAGGATGGGGTGTGGCCTATGCCAGCTTCCTTCTCGATTTTCTGAGAAGAGAAAAAAAGTCTGTAACATCATAAAACCATTAAAAGCACAGGAAGTTAGTTCTATAACTTGGGGAACAAAGTTCACTTGCACTATGAAAATATTAAAATGGCTTAATTTGAGTTCATTTTATTCATTCTGCATTTAAAATGGGGAGCCAATTCCTCTGTACCCGCCCAGGTGGCTCATTTACCCCAACCTTGGATTGCAGGCCATGGCTTGAGCCCCATCACTATGAGTCTTAGTCTTTGCTGTCTTTGCTGAGTTAGAAAATCATACATTTCAGCCAAAGTGGAAAGTTGCTGAAACAGAGAATTAATAAAAATTCTGATCATTGTACGACAACAAGGTGGAATACAAAAAATTTGGAACACTAGGATTTTGTCTCAGCTTTACCATTTATTTGCCATTAATCTTTGACAATTCTCTGAACTTCCTTTTTCTTACTGTTAAGAGAATTAAATAATGCTTGGTCTGTGAGTTCATAGAGCTTTTATAATCAGAAACAAAGAAACAATAGAGACATAAAGGAGGGCATAAAACAAATCTTATCCACTTCATAAGGATTAGCTACAATAATAATAATGATGGCTGACATTCAGTTGGCACTTTTTCCCTCTTTTAACCATCATTTATTGATTTTTTTAAATTAATAGTCTTTATTTTTTAACAAAGAGTACAGAGTTCTCATATGCCCACCTCACCTGAACAGTTTCCCTGTTCACTAACATTTGGCATGAGTGTGATACATTTGTTACAATTAGTGAACCTCTATTCATACATTAACTAAAGTTCATAGTTTACATTAAGGTTCAGTCTTTGTGCTGTAGAGTTCTGTAGGTTTTCACAAATTCATGTATCCATCATTATAGTATCAGACAGAATAGTTTTACTGCACTAAAAATCTCCTGTGCTTCACCCATTTATCCCTCTCCTCATCCCCAAACCACTGGCAACTACTGATCTTTTCACTGTCTTCATAGTTTTGCCTTTCTCAGAATGCCATATATTGGCATCATACAGCATGTAGGCTTTTCGGACTGGTTTCTTTCATTTAGTAATATGCTTTAAGGTCCCTCCATGTCTTTTCGTGGCTTAATAGCTCATTTCTTTTTGTTGCCAAATAATATTCCATTGTATGGATATATCATAGTTTATTTATTTACCTACCAAAGGAAATCTTGGTTGTTTTCAGTTTTTGTGTTTGTTTGTTTGGGTTTGTGGGGTTTTGTTTTTTTTTTTGAGATGGGGTCTTACTCTGTTACCCAGGCTGGAGTGCAGTGGTGCAATCTCAGCTCACTGCAACCTCTGCCTCCCAGTCTCAAGCGATCCTCCTACCTCAGCCTCCCAAGTAGCTGGGACCACAGACATGTGCCACTAGGCCCAGCTAATTTTTTGTATTTTTGGTAGAAACAGGGTTTTGCCATGCTGCCCAGGTGAGTTCAGGCAATCAATCCACCTCAGGCCTCCCGTAGTGCTGGGATTATAAGTGTGAGTGCTCAGGCAGACTGGTTTCCTTCACTTAGTAATATGCCTTTAAGGTCCCTCCATGTCTTTTTGGCTTGATAGCTCATTTCTTTTTATTGCTAAATAATATTCCATTGTATGGATATGCCACAGTTTGTTTATCTATTTACCTGCCAAAGGAAATCTTGCTTGCTTTCAGTTTTAAACAATTATGAATACAGCTGCTATAAATGTTTATGTGCAGATTTTTGTATATAAATTTTCAACTCAATTGGGTAAATGCCTAAGAGTATGCTTGCTGAATCATATGGTAAGACTATGTTTAACTTTTTAAGAAACTGCCAGAATGTCTTCCAAAGTAGCTGTATTATTTTACATTCCCACCAGCAATGAGAGTTCCTTATTAGCATTCATTGTTTTGGATTTCAGTGGTTCTAATAGATGTGTAGTCATATTACATTGTTGTTTTAACTTGCATTTTCCTAATGACATATGATGTTAAGAACATTTTCATATGCTTATTTGCCACCTGTATATCTTCTTGGTAATATCTATTCAGATCTTTTGCCCATTTCTCAATCAGGTTGTTTGTTTACTTATTGTTGAGTTTTAAGAGTTCTTTGTATATTTTGGATACAAGTCCTTTATCAGATATGTGTTTTGCAAAATTTTCTCCTAGTCTGTGGCATGTCTTCTCATTCTCTTGACAGTGTCTTTCACAGAGAAGACTTTTCAAATATTTTAACAAAGCTCAACATCAACTTATTTATTCATGAATTGTGCTTTTGATTTACATCTAAAAACTCATTGCCAAGCCCAATGTCACCCAAATTTTCTCCTATGTTACTTTTTATTTTATGGAAGTTTTATAATTTTGCATTTTACATTTAGGTCTATGATCCACTTTGAGTTAATTTTCCTGAAAGGTGTCAGGTCTGTGACTAGAGTCATTGTTTTACATATGGATGTCCAATTATTACAGCCCTGTTTGTTGAAAAGACTATACCCTTTCTCCTCTGTTCCTTTGTTAAATGTTAGTTTACTATATTTATATGGATCTATATCTGGGCTGATCCATTAATCTGTTTGTTTATTCTTTCACTAGCACCATCCTCTCCCATTACTGTAGCTTTAGAGTAAGTCCTAAAGTCAGGTAGGGTCAGTCTTCTAGCTTTGTTGTTCTTCTTCATTATTGTATTGGCTCTCTGGGTCTTTTGCCTCTCCGTATAAATGTTACAGTCAGTTTGTCAATATCTAAAAAAAATAACTTGCTGAATTTTTATTAGGATTATATTGAATCTATAAGTCAAGTTGGGAAGAACTAATATTTTAACACTATAGTGTCTTCCTGTCCATGAACATGGAATATCTGTCCATTTATTTAGATCTTCTTTGCTTTCTTTTATTAGAATTTTTAATTTTTTCTCATTTAGATCATGTAGATATTTTCTGAGATTTATACCCAGATATTTCATTTTTTGGTGTTCTTTAGCATTAATTTCTTGATATATTTTTATATGTGATTTATTGAATTCTCAAAACAATTTCATGAGGTAGATACTATTATTATCTCCATTTTACAAATGACAAAACTGAGGTTCAAAGAGGTTAAATAACCTGCTGAATGTCACACAGCTAATTAGTGGTAAAACTGAGATTAAACACTAGTCCCTTGGATTCCAGAATACCTGCTGTTAACAACTAGGACAATGTATATGGAATACAGTCAACATGGAAGCACATACAAAAATCCACAGGGGATGCTGCTATTAAATTCTGGTTTGTTTTGGATTTACCTATGACGCATAAGTACAAGGAACTTACAGAGTTCTTTTTTCCCTCTCCAGAGACCAGAAGATCGGCCAGCCTTCTCCAGACTGCTGCGTCAACTGGCTGAAATTGCAGAATCAGGACTTTAGTAGAGACTGAGTACCAGGCCACGGGCTGCAGATCCTGAATGGAGGAAGGATATGTCCTCATTCCATAGAGCATTAGAAGCTGCCACCAGCCCAGGACCCTCCAGAGGCAGCCTGGCCTGTGGCATCAGTCCCTGAGTCACCATGGAAGCAGCATCCTGACCACAGCTGGCAGTCAAGCCACAGCTGGAGGGTCAGCCACCAAGCTGGGAGCTGAGCCAGAACAGGAGTGATGTCTCTGCCCTTCCTCTAGCCTCTTGTCACATGTGGTGCACAAACCTCAACCTGACAGCTTTCAGACAGCATTCTTGCACTTCTTAGCAACAGAGAGAGACATGAGTAAGACCCAGATTGCTATTTTTATTGTTATTTTTAACATGAATCTAAAGTTTATGGTTCCAGGGACTTTTTATTTGACCCAACAACACAGTATCCCAGGATATGGAGGCAAGGGGAACAAAGAGCATGAGTCTTTTTCCAAGAAAACTGGTGAGTTAAGTAAGATTAGAGTGAGTGTGCTCTGTTGCTGTGATGCTGTCAGCCACAGCTTCCTGCCGTAGAGAATGATAGAGCAGCTGCTCACACAGGAGGCCGGATATTCTGAGAAGCAGCTTTATGAGGTTTTACAGAGTATGCTGCTACCTCTCTCCTTGAAGGGAGCATGGCGAGACCCATTGGATGGATTGGGGTGAACAGTTCAGGTCCCATGCTTGGAGCATTGGGTATCTGATGTCTGCACCAGAACAAGAGAACCTCTGACGGTGGAGAACCATGTGGTGCAAGAAGAGATCTTAGGTCTCTTCTTTTATACCAAGCTCATCTTTTATACCAAGCTGTGCAGGTGACTATGCCTCCTCTTCTGCACAGAATGCTTCCACCAGCATCCTGAGAAGAAATGATTACTTCTGAAAAACATCCTTTTTTCCAGCCTCTGGGAATCAGCCCCCCCTCTCTGCACTATCCGATCCTCATCAACAGAGGGCAGCATTGTGTTGGTCAATGTTCCCTTGGCGAGCAATTGAAACTTGTTTAGGCCCTAGGGTTGAGCAATTTTAAGGTTGAGACTCCAAGTCTCCTAAAATTCTAGGAGAGAAATAAAGAGTCTGTTTTTGCTCAAACCATCAGGATGGAAACAGTCAGGCACTGACTGGGGTGCTTCCAAGAGGCATGAGAGTGCCTACTCTGGCTTGAGCACTTCTATATGCAAGGTGAATATGTACTGAGCTAGGAGACTTCCCTGCAAAATCTCTGTTCACCCTGGGTTCACATCCCCATGAGGTAATATTATTATTCCCATTTTACAAATAATGTAACTGAGGCTTTAAAAAGCCAAGACATCTGCCCAAAGTGATGGAACTAGAAAGTCTAGAGCTGGTATTCTAGCCCAAATCTGTCTGACCGCAATACACAGATTCTTTATTCCTATTCGACACTGGCTTCTACTGAAAATGAAACGGATTGCAGAGGGAATAAATACAAAGATGGAAAGCCAGTAAAGAAGTCAGTATAGAACCACTAGCGAATAGTGTTGCTCTGGCACAGACCACTGTGGTTGATGGCATGGCCCTCCAACTTGGAATAGGATTTTCCTTTTCCTATTCTGTATCCTTACCTTGGTCATGTTAATGACTTTGGAGTTATTCAGTTAATGACCCTTTAATTCTCACAACCAACCAGTCATGTTGCTTGAAGCCATTTATAGACGAGCTTCAAAGCAACTTTAAAAGATTCTTCTGTAGAAGTATGAGTTCTTCCTTTAATTATCATTCCAACTTTCAGCTGTAGTCTTCTTGAACACTTCATGAGGAGGGACATTCCCTGATATAAGAGAGGATGGTGTTGCAATTGGCTCTTTCTAAATCATGTGACGTTTTGACTGGCTTGAGATTCAGATGCATAATTTTTAATTATAATTATTGTGAAGTGGAGAGCCTCAAGATAAAACTCTGTCATTCAGAAGATGATTTTACTCAGCTTATCCAAAATTATCTCTGTTTACTTTTTAGAATTTTGTACATTATCTTTTGGGATCCTTAATTAGAGATGATTTCTGGAACATTCAGTCTAGAAAGAAAACATTGGAATTGACTGATCTCTGTGGTTTGGTTTAGAAAATTCCCCTGTGCATGGTATTACCTTTTTCAAGCTCAGATTCATCTAATCCTCAACTGTACATGTGTACATTCTTCACCTCCTGGTGCCCTATCCCGCAAAATGGGCTTCCTGCCTGGTTTTTCTCTTCTCACATTTTTTAAATGGTCCCCTGTGTTTGTAGAGAACTCCCTTATACAGAGTTTTGGTTCTAGTTTTATTTCGTAGATTTTGCATTTTGTACCTTTTGAGACTATGTATTTATATTTGGATCAGATGCATATTTATTAATGTACAGTCACTGCTAGTGTTCAAAATAAAAATGTTACAAATACCTGTTATCCTTTGTAGAGCACACAGAGTTAAAAGTTGAATATAGCAATATTAAAGCTGCATTTTAATAAATATGGTGCATAGGGCCTCGGTTCCATATTTATTTAAATCGCAAACTCTCAGAACTTTTCCTTAAGTAAAAATGGTTACATTGTTTCATTTTCCACAGACAATTAAAGATTACATATCATTGAACAACATTCATTCAACAAGTAAATATCAAACGTTCCTATGGTTCATGCACACAGTTCAGTGTATGCATCCTCATGAAAACAAAGATGGAAAAGTCATAGTCTTTACTTCTAAAAAATTCCTAGTCTGATTGAAAAGGAAAACATATGAAGAAATAAAATTATAATAGAACAATTAGGGCAACAACAAAAAACTGTGGTCAAAGAAGAGAAGAGCCCAGAATAAGTGATGGAATCTATCAGGGAAAGGATGACATCAAGGGAAACTTCTTAGAGCCCTGCTACTCAAAGTGTGGTCCCTGGACCAGCAGCAATAGCATCACCATGTTGTGAAAAATTCAGATTCTCAGGCTTCTTCCTCACCTACCGAGCAAGAATTGTCATTTTAACAAGATCTGCAGGTAATCGTATACACATTAAAGTTTAAGAAGCACTGTCGCGAGGATATACTGTCTAAGCCAGTTTTGAAGATAAATTTATGAGTTATAAGGTAAGTAAGTGGGCAGAAGTAAGAGACATACTTTCCAGGTAGAGAGAGAACAGGAAGTATTGGGAAGCTATTGTCAGTTCACTATTGCTGGAGCATGCGCGCATGCGCGTGCGCGCTGTGTGTGTGTGTGTGTGTGTGTGTGTGTGTGTGTGTGTGTGTGTGTGTCTATTTTCTCAGCAAGGGTAAGGATGATAGAAGAGGTGGGTAAATTGAAACTGAATCTATAAATCTATGAAAGAACTATACTTTAAAAGACCAAGAAGTTGGAATTTCACCCTATAGGTAGAAAAGATGTCATTGCACAGGAAGAGAAGGTCAAATTTGCGATGTGTTTAAGAATATATTCTGGCAGCAGCATAGTGAATGGATTTGAGAAAGGCAAAGCCAATGGAAAAGAAACTAATTTGGAGATTATCTTTGCCTTGTTCACAGTACCATATTATTTTTCCTAATCATTCACTGTCATCTGTTGTGTGGGTGACATATGGAAATTGTAATTTGGAGTACGTCATTCACTTTAGATAGCAATAAAATAGCTTTCCTTCTTAAAACCCCAGTAATATAAAGGCTGGGTGGTTATAGTTTTGGTGTGCTGAGCACTCTGTGCCTTTCAGTCCACCAAATGCCCAGCTCCATTGCAGGAGCCAGGTCATGCGCCAGTCAACCACTGAGCATGGAAGAGAAAGCCCAAGGCTTCCATGCAGTCCTTCCTAGAACTCACCTCTGTGCTTGAATCCCACTGCCAAATCATCCACATGAGAAAGTCAAAAGCAGATTGGAGGAACAGATCTGCTTCTCAGAGGATTTTTCCTGCAGACCCTGCTCTTCTCAGAATCTCCCAACACCTAAGGCCACCCTTTTGAGGAAAAGACAGAAATACCTCATTCAGCAAGACAGGGAGTATGTGCATCATCAGGTGCAGAAAGAGCTGCAGATTCCCAATTAGAGGGCTTGGGAAGGTGGCCTGGTCAGGAACAGAGGGCTAGGGGTGGAAGCTGCATTTGAACAGTAAGCACATGGTTTTACTTTAGAATAGATATTAATTTGCGTGGGCTTTAATGGGGAAGGTGCTGAAATTTTGGTGCACTGAGGCTCACTTCCCAGAGCCACCCCTTGGTACCAGCACTAGGGGTGTGTGTATGGTTGTGTAAGAGTGTGTCTGCAATGACTTTGAGATTCTCCCCAAGGTACAATGTATAGTTGGCTTGTAGTATAACAGAGTCATACAGACAATGAGTGGTAGACGGAGTTTTAGAGTTCATTTACTTATTTCATAAATGGTTACCATTCATCTACTATGACTCTTTGTTAGGTACATGATCTAAAAAGATGACTAAGATATCTCATCAGTTAGGGACCAAGCACGTCACAATCAAATTAGTATAATTCGAGGAGAGCTTTTTGACAAAAGGACTATTTAAAACTGTGTGGTTCAGTTTAGGAGAACCTTAGAAAGTGGTACAGAGGAAAACCACAGCGGGGCACTCATGCTATGGTTTGAATGTTTGTGTTCCTCCAAAATTCCTATTGAAACGATCTCCAGTGCAATAGTATTAAGTGGTGGGGCCTTTAGGAGATGATCAGGCCGTGAGGGCTCTGCCCTTATGAATGAGATTACTGCCCTTATGAAAAGGTTTGAGGAGGTAGTCCCTTTTTGCCCTTTACCCTTCTGCCATATGAGAACACAGCAACAAGGTGTCATCTATGGAGCGGAGAGCAAACCCTGACCAGATACTGAATCTGCTGGCGCCATGGTCTTGAGCTTCCCAGTCCCCAGAACTGTGAGAAATAAATTTCTGTGGTTTATAAATTACCCAGTCTAAGGTATTTTGTTATAGCAGCTTGAGTAGCTTGAAACAAGTAGTTATCACCCCCTAGGCCTGAAGGGATAACAAGGGAGAGTGGTCATTTAAATATGGAAGGAGAATATTGGAGAGTGCTGCCTTAAAGGAGAAGACCTTTAGTAAGGGACAGAGGAAACCCAAGGCAACATCACAGGGAGGAAGCCAGGGGCATCAATACTCTGCCTCACTCTCCTTCCTTTCTCCCATCAACTGGGTCTTCTATTGGTCAAATCCCACTGAACGCAGAGGACAAGGGAGCCCTAGTAGGGTAGTCCATAGAGGTCAGTCTCCAGGACCAGAGTGCAGGGTGAGAGAGTGGAGTGGATCTGGGGAGACAAAGAGAAGATACCTAGTACAGACACCAATCCTTCCTATAAGAGGGCTCAGCCTAGTGAAAAAGCTCAACACATAAACCAATGCAATCGATTCTCATTGCTTGTAGATTCTGTATTGGTAAATTTGTCTACTGGATAAAATTTGTTTATAACCCTAAAATCAATCCTGGAGGCTTTTCCTGCAGTCATTCATGACATGCCAAAGTGTGGAGCAGTAAAAATTTTGCGTTGCTCCATATACACATTCCCAACTGAGGTCAAACAGAGTGGCGTTCAGCTCTCATGCTGCAAACAAGTGGCTTTTCTCAGTCTATTTAGTGACACATTTTCTGCATTTCTGTACTTTTTTTCTGGTGATTTTGCTGTTTAAAATGGCCCCCAGCCAGGCACAGTGGCTCACAACTATAATCCCAGCACTTTGAGGGGCTAAGGTGGGTGGATCACCTGAGGTCAGGAATTTGAGACCAGCCTGGCCAACATATAGTGAAACCCTGTCTCTACTTAAAAAATACAAAAATTAGTTGGGTGTAGTGGTGCATGCCTGTAGTCGCAGCTATTTGGGAAGCTGAGGCAGGAGAATCGCTTGACCCTGGGAGGCGGATGTTGCAGTGAGACAAGATCCCGCCACTGTGCTCCAGCCTGGGCGACAGGGCAAGACTTCATATAAATAAATAAATAAATAAATAAATAAATAAATAAATAAATAAAACGGCCCCCAAATGTAGTGCTGACATGCTGTCTAGTGTTCCTAACTGCAAGAAAGCTGTTAGTTCAATAAGTTTAATGAGGGATGAGTTATAGTACTGTTGACTGTGAGTTCAATGTTAATAAATCAATAATATATATAAATAAGGGTTTTTTTTAACAGAAACATGCATAAAACAAGGTTATGTATTGATTAGTTGACAAAAGCGTGGTGAGCAGGGGCTTGTAGGAACCTAACCCTTTATTTCCCCTAGAAGCAATGGTTCAGTATTTGTTAACTTAGTGTTCACAGCAACTTTATAGAACATAATTACTGAATAATAAGAACCAACTATAATTGCAAAGAGCTGTTGTAGGTTATGCGATGTAGCTATAGTCACAGCACAGCAAGAGCACAGAGAATTAAGTAAACACATCTAAGGGATCAGGAAGGGCCTCACAGGGGAAGTGAAGTTTGAGATGTGCATTGAAGGGTAAATAAGAGTTCCCAAAAAGGAGAGGGTCTAGAAGGACATTTCAGGTGGAGAAATCAGCAGGCATAAAAATGCATCTTATTCCAACTTCTTCTCCTGCATTATTTTCATGTTACGTCTAGGACCCTTGAGGCCCAAACCAAGTGCTGGCCACAATCACGAGAGACAACTGAAGGAGTCAAGCACAGTTGACCTTGAACAACATGGAGGTTAGCGATCTCAACCCCTTGCACTGTCGAAAATCCACGTATAATTTTTTAATGCTCCAAAAACTTAACTGCTAATAGCCTACTGTTGACTGTATGCCTTACTGATAATGCAAACTGTTGATTAACACAATTTTGCATCTTATATTTATTATATACTGTATTCTTATAACAAACAAAATAGCTACAGAAAAGAAAATGTTATTTAGAATATCAAATGGAAGAGAAAATATATTTAGTATTCATTAAATGGAGGTGGATCATCATAAAGGTCTTCATCCTCATCGTCTTCACATTGAAAAGGTTGAGGAGAAGGAGGAAAAGGAGAGTTGGTCTTGCTATCTCAAGGCTAATAGAAGCAGAAGAGGTGGAAGCGGAGGCAGGAGAGGCAGGTACACTCAATGTAACTTTACAGAAATACATCGTAATTTCTGTCTGAATTTTTGCCTTCTCATTTCTCTAAAAATGTTTCTGTATAATACAAATCCTTCTTTCACTATTTGCCTTAGTTTCAGTGCCCACATCATAGAAGGGTCATGTCATAAAAGAAGTCGAAAGTCATCTTGAGTAACCAAAACCCTTTGCCAGATTGTCTAACATCAATTTGTGTTCTGATATTGCCTCTTCTACATCTTCCTCATTGTCTGGCACTGGTTCAGTAGCACTCATCTCCATCAAGTTGTCATCTTCTGTTAATCCCTCTGGAGTGGCATCTATTAGCTCTTGATTTCTCCAAGATCCATATGTTGAGACGCTTCACACACACCCCTCACCCACCTTTTTGCCATATGCTCAATCTCTTTCATGATTTTCTTGATTGACTCTGCTGTAAATCCTGTGAAGTTATGCACAACATCTGAACACAGTTTTCTCCAGCAGAAACTTGTTGTTTTGAGATTGATGACTTTAATAGCTTTTCCTGTAACAATGTGGCATCTTCAACAGTGTAATCCTTCCAGACTTTCTTGATGTTCTATCAGGGTTCTCTTTCATAGCATTGACAATCTTTTCCAAAGAGTACCATATATAATGGGCATTAAAGGTCCTTATGACCCCCTTATCTAGAGGCTGGATTAGAGATGTGTTTGGGGGCAAGTAGACCACTTTGATGCCTTCAGTGTTGAACTCATGGGGTTCTAGATAACCGAGGGGCATCCTTCAATATCAAAAGAACCTTGAAAGGCAGACCTTTAGTGGCAAGGTACTTCCCGACTTCAGGGACAAAACATCAATGGAACTGATCCAGAAAGAGTTCTCGTTGTCCAGGCCTTCTTGTTGTACAACCAAAAGACTGGCAGCTGGTGTTTAACATTTTCCTTCAAGGCTTGGGGGTTTTCAGCTTTATAGGTAAGGGCAGTCCTGATGATAAGCTTAACTGCATTGCACAAAACAGCAGAGTTAGCCTATCCTTTCCTGTCTTAAATCCTGGTGCTCGCTTCTTTTCCTTACTAAGCAATGTTCTTTGTGGCTTTTTTTTCCCCCCAGAATAGGGTACTTTCATCCAAATTAAAAACCTGTTCAGGCAATTAGTTATCCTTTCTCCTCCATGATTTTGTTAATGGCATCTGATAACTTGTCTGCTATCTCTTGGTCAGCAGAAGCTGCTTCTCCTGTTATCGTGACATTTTTTAAGCCAAACCTCTTTCTAAAATTATCAAACCATCTTTGCTGGCATTAAATTCTTCAGCTTTAGATCCTTCACCTTTCTTTTGCTTTAAATTGTCATATAATGACTTCACTTTTTCCTGACTTATATTAGAGTCTATGGGTACGTCTTTCTTATAGCAATCTTTATAGCAACGCACCCACCTAAAACCTGCATTTTCAATATGAGCTAAAATGGTATTTAACAAAAAGTGCAAGGTTTTCATACCTGCTGGGAGCCGCAGCTACGGCTTCATGAATTTTCTTTCCTTCTTTCTCTCTTTCTCTTTCTTTCTTTCTTTTTACAGTGGTCCTTATGCTAAATTCATTCATCTTAAAATGATGGACAACTGCAGCTGCAGACCTCAATCTATGGTACATATCAAGAAAATTCAGCTTTTTTCTTGTAATGTTATGACTTTTCTCTGCTTTTTGGGAACACTTTCAGCATCACTAGTGTCACTTCATGTGGGTTCCATGGTGTTATTCAAGGTTTGCTGTATTACACTAAACATGATGAAAAATGTTTCATCATGAGAGATGAATTGCTCACTCAGAGATGATTAGCATCACACAGCACTTGAAGTGGATACTGGCAACACTTGAGTTCACCACAATAGCAACAAGAGATGGCCACAGGCCAGGCGTGGTGGCACACACCTGTAATCCTGGCACTTTGGGAGGCCGAGACGGGAGGATCACCTGAGATCAGGAGTTCGAGACCAGCCTGGCTAACATGGTGAAACTACATCTTTACTAAAAATACAAAAATTAGCCAGGTGTAGGGGCACATGCCCATAATCCCAGCTACTCGGGAGGCTGAGGCAGGAGAATCACTTGAACCTGGGAGGCGGAGGTTGCAGTGAGCCAAGATCATGCCACTGCACTCCAGCCTGGGCGACAGAGTGAGACTCTGTCTCAAAAAGAAAATCATAATAATAATCCCATTTTTGAGCATTTATTATGTACCAGACTCTGCTTAGTGTGTTACATTATCATTTCATATAACCTTCACAAGAATCTAAGGGATATACTTTTTTGTTTTGTTTTGTTTTGCTTTGTTTTGATACAGTGTTTTGCTCTGTTGCCCAGGCTGGAATGCAGCCGCACCATCTTTGCTCACTGCAACCTCCACCTCCTGGGCTCAAGCAATTCTCTTGCCTATAAAATGAGGCAATTTTGAGCAAGTGGTCAGGTTCTATCTACAGAATGGCCAATGTAAATTCTGTAACTGACCATCAAGTTTATCTTTTCCTGCCACCCACATAAATACTTAGAACCAAATGTGTTAGCAAGCTCATAGCAGGTAGAGCTGTGATTGATTTTTGTTTTGTTTACATTTTGGTCTTATGTACATTCGATTCTCCATCTCATCTCTCTACTCTTTTCCTTCTTTTTAAAAAATTTCTTGCTGATTTTTAATTTTTTAACATAATGTATTCCTGTAACTTACATTTAATATGTTTTTAGAATAAGGTAGCATATTAGTAAACAAATGGACTTAGCTTGGAAGAGGGAAAGTGAGGCTGTATGAGATTGTGGTAAAAAGCATGGGTTTGACTTCACTACCTTGGGCAAATTATTAAACCTTAATTGCCTCAATTATAAAAATGGGAAAAATGATTGTATTTTCCTTATAGAAAAATTACGAAAAATTAAATGAGGTAATGTACTTGGTAAATGTTAGCCATTATTATTATTATCATTATTTATGTTTTCCCTTCATGCCCATTCCAGATACTTCATTACTGGTGTCTATAAAGCAGGGTCTCCTGATAGTTTTAAAATACATATATATATATATATTTTTTTTTTTTTTGAGACAGAGTTTTGCTCTTGTTGCCCAGGCTGGAGTGCAACAGTGTGATCTCGGCTCACTACAACTTCCACCTCCCGGGTTCAAGCAATTCTGCCTCACCCTCCTGAGTAGCTGGGATTACAGGCGCTCGCCACCATGCCCAGCTAATTTTTTGTATTTTTAGTAGAAACTGGGTTTCACTATGTTGGCCAGGCTGGTCTCGAACTCCTGACCTCAGGCAATCCACCTGCCTCGGCCTCCCAAAGTGCTGGGATTATAACTTGAAGCTTTTCTAAAACACAAGGTAATGTTGCCACATGGACAACATGTGGGCCACAGCTTTGCAAGTACCAAAGCAATTCTTATTGATATCCTCTACCATTTCATTGCTGATGCACAGCTTGGGGTTGGATGTGAAGGAAATCTGAAGGCAGTAGACAGACAGCTATACATTTCAGTGGCAAAGTTTAAAAATGTCACCTATGGGTGTTCATTCCATCCATTTTTACTGAACTCCTGTTAAGTACCAGGCTCCAAGGATGCAATGGGAAAGCAAGACAGACATATCCCTGCTCCCTTAGATTTTATGGTCTCATGGTGGAATACAGGGAAGTGTGTTGACAATTATAATGCAGACTAATACGTGGGGTGATAGAGGGAGCCCAGGCAGCTAAGGACACATAGACAACTAATCTCAAGCTAACCCAGACATGTAGGAATCTTGGAGGAAGCGACATCTAGAGGAATACCAGGAAGATGAACAGAACTTCATCAGGTAAACTGGGAAAAAGTGTGGAATGTGGAGGGAGGGAATGGGGGGACAGAAACTGCCATTGAAGAAGCCTTGCATGTACGAATGTCGAGCACAACAGAGAACACAGCAAGTTTGAGGAACTAAAAGCTGTTCCTTTTAGCTGAAGCACAGCAAGCTTGTTCACATGGAGAGATAGCTGCCAGCTCTTAAAGACCCTCTCCGGCCACTGGAGAGTTTGGGCTTCATCGGGGGGCAGTGGGGAGCTAGGGAAGTGCCTTAAGCCTGGGAGGGACGTGCCCTTTAACTCATGTAATTTTCCACATTCAGAGGGAAGTTGGAGAGCATCCAACTTACTTCACTTAACAGGTGAGGAAACAGGGGTGAGGCTCCTTGCCTAAGATCATTCTTCTGTTAGTTGCAAAACTAGAACCAAAAGGCAAGCCTCTGGATTTCCAACACAGTGGCTTCAAAAGACCATACTGCTCTCCTTTATACACAAATAGAACTCAGAGGTCGGAGTTATTTTTGCCTAAGATCTAACCAAATATATATGTAATAGTCTTTTCTGTTTTTAGGCAACTTGTTCCTGAAGGTGAAAAGACAGGGAAGGAACAACAGGGAGAAATACGTCTTCCAAAAAACTATACCATCTGCAATAATATGCCCCTTAGAATGAAAATCTGATTTATTGGGATTCTCATTGTTAAGTATTTGTAATCACTGAACTTGAAATCCCAAGGATCACGGTGGAAAATGAAACATTTTTTAAAAAGGAAACCTCAGTTCTGTTTTTAAACCCATCCTCCACAAACACCCCCACAGCTTTTCACACTGAACCAGGGAAGAAATGTATGTGTGTGTATATATATATATATATAAGTCATTTTTTTCCGAAATAGCAATTTGAATTGGAATTAGCGATTTAAGATCAAACCACAAGGAATTATGGATTCTGAGCACGTGGGAAATAAGGTGAGATCAGTAAAGGAAAGCAAAGGCTTCCACAAGTCCTTTGCTGGAGCTTGAATAACGGGGCTCCTCCACAAATTGCCCTTATTAGGAACAGCTGAGTGATTAAGTATAAATTTGTGGGCCTTAGGAAACCACTCCTTATATCTACATACACTCCACAATGTCTCAAATGTTTTCAAATTATTTACCCTGTAAGGTATAAAGGGCAACTGTTATTCCCTGTGTTGCAGATACGGTGACCTCTGTGGAGCAGAGTGGTGAAGTGACCTGCTCAGGTGTCTCAAGGTTAGAATTTGGTGCAGCCTGACTTCAGCCTGGTCTGAAGGCCTACCAGGCTGGATTTCAATGAGAATTGTTTCTTTCTCTTTTTCTTTTCTCTCTTTCTTTCTCTTCTTTCTTTCCTTCTCTTCTTTCTCTCTCTTTCTTTTTCTTTCTTCCTTTCTCTCTCTCTCTCTCCCCCCGTCTCTCTCTTTCATTCTTTTTTTTTTTTTTTTGAGACAGAGTCTCACTCTGTCACCCAGTCTGGAGTGCGGCGGCAGGATCATAGCTCACTGTAGCCTCAATCTCCCAGGCTCAAGCAATCCTCCCACCTCAGCCTCCTGAGTAGCTGGGACAAAAGGTGGATGCCACCACACCCATCTATTTTTTTTTTTTTTTAATTTTTAGTAGAGATGAAGTTTCGTTGAGTTGCCCAGGATGGTCTCCAATTCCTGAGCTCAAGCAATCCTCTCTCCTCGGCCTCCCAAAGTTTTGGTATTACAGGTGTGAGCCACCGCTGGGCAGATAATTGCTTCTTTAAAGAGCCCGACACGGCAGATAAGCCTTGAAGAGAAAGGTACCTGTCCTCTCAGTGCTTCCTGCCACCTATTTGTCCGTTAGGCAATTCTTCCAGAATGAAGTTGAGGCAGGCCCCTGTAAAAGAGGTGGCAGCTTCAGGGACTCTTCTCCAGGGAACTGGAAGGGAGCGGAAGAACTTATTCTTAAGCGAAGGAGCCCTATCAGCGACCAAGCTCAATTGGTGGAAGGCCCCTTCCCCTAGCCCCAGTTGCATCTTCTGTCACTTCACCCTGCTCCTTCTCCTCAGAGCACTTTGGGCTGTAACTGGACGTTTGCTAGGTTAATTTACACCTGTTTCTCCTGGCAGGTGATAAAACTCCAAGGGGGCAGGACCCTGTCTTTTGTACACCAGTGCACACCCAAGTCCTGGCACGGTACTTGGAACAGGATAGGTAATCAATAAAGACTGGGTTGATAAAAGAGCACTTGGAAATCATGTGGGGCCAATAAGATCCGAACGCGGCCGAAGCTCTCGTCCTCGGGTTGCTGCAGGTGTGGTTCCCGGTGATGGAGGCCGTGGAAGAAGCCTTCCCTCCCTTTCCCGCCCCCAGGGCAGGAAGCCTGGGGGCTGAGCGGTCCTCCGAAACCGAGAGGCAGGTCCTGGGTGCGCCGGCGGTACAGCGGAGAGCGTGGAGAGACCCTCGCCGCAGCCATTTCCTGCCCTTTGTGTGACAGCCGCTGCGGCGAAGGGGCGGGCGCTGGGTGGGGGCGGAGCCGCGGCGGGCGGAGCAGCGGGGCCGGGGCGGGGCCGAGCGCGGCGCAGCGGAGCGGGGCAGAGCATCCTGCGCCCCGGCGCGGGGCCCTGCGGTAGCCTCAGGCCCCTCCCCTGGACCCGCCGCAGAGCCAGGTAAGCGGCCCTCGCAGGCCTCGGGCCGGGCACGGGGACTAGGATGCCGCCGGGGACGGGGATGAGGCCGTGAGGATGCGCGAAGGGCCGCCCCCTCTCCCGGCCCGCGGGGGGCGCTCGGCGCTGTGCCCGGGCTAGCCCGAGGCCCGGCCTCAGGCCCCACGCGGCCCCTTTCCCCCTCGGACCCACCGTGCGTCCCGCGGCACGGACCCTCTGCCCGGGAGGCGCGGGCACATCGCGGAGCTCCGGCGCGGCGGCGGGGGAGCCGCAGCAGCAGGTGCGCGGCCTGGGCCGGAGCCGCCAGCCCGGGAGGAGGCGGTGCTAATCTCAGGGACCGGAGACACCTGCAGCGGCCGCGAGCCCGGCAGCGGCGACATCCTCGAGTCCAGGTACTGCAGAGCGCTGGCCCCTGCCTCTGCCGCCGTGACCACCGTCACCTCCCCCAGGGCCAGCGAGAGCCGCCTGGGCCCGCCTGGCAGCCGCCTCGGGCACACAGAACGTGTGATGGGTGGGGCGAGGGGCGCAGCGTCGATGTTTGGGGGCGGAGGGCTTTGATGAGAGAGGAGCAGGTCTGACCCGCTTGGAAGCTTTCTGGCCTACACTAGCATCGCTCACCAAGCTGGCTGCGGGCACGGTGGAAGTGGGGGAAGGGGATGAGTGGGCTGACTCCTGGGGGAAAAGGTGGTTTTTTTCTTGAGCTCTGAAGAACCAGGAAGATGCTTGCCTGTCTGTTGTGGCGTCTACTTTTCAGGTCAGCCCTACCCCTCACCCCAAAGAACAGCCCACCTATGTGCAAAAGAAGAGGAGGAGGTGCTCTCTGCTTGGGGATGGGGGCAGGTAGCATGTTCCACATAAGTATGGCCCTCTATATCCAGAACCCGGCTGGAAAGGACACTGACAGCCCAGGTGCCTCCCCAGCACAGGGAATCTGATTTTGACCTTTGCTTGCCTACTTTCCCCAGCACAGTGGAAACACTCACCAGGGCTGATGAGCCATCAGCTGTCCTTCCAGCTAGGCCAAGAATGGGACAAGGATCTTTTTCTGCTAGTTCCTGGGTGCCTGTGCCCTCAGCATGGGCAGGGAGACGGAGGCAGGCCTGCTGGCAGGAGGGGCAAATCAGGAGACTGTCGGTTCCTGTGTTCCCATTTCCTGCCTCCTGTCTGTGTCCCAGTTAGGGCAGTGGGTCTCACCTTACTCTTGGATACAGGCTGTGCCAGCAACCTGGGTCCCTGAGATCTTAGAGGGCAAAAATCAGGTCCATATCTTTGGGCAGGCCTGTGAAGGCCTTGATGGTTGCTTTCTCCACCATTAGACCCTCTCTCTGTGGCCCTCCTGGTGGCCTCCCACCTCCACTTCCATACAGTGCCCTGCCCTTCCCCCAGTCTCCAGTGTCAGAAATGGTTTTCAAGAAAGGAGCCAATGATTGTGTTTATCTTGAAGAGCTAAATACAAAAGAAGTTCCCATTTGATGCAGAGCAGGTGCTTTACAAGTCATTTGACCGGAAAAGAAACAGAGGATGGAGGCATTTTAATGGGAAACAAAGCTTTAATGGGAAACACTGTAGAAATATTTGCTATCACTAATGGTAGAATTTCAAACAGTGGGCTGGAAGTGGAGGTGGGGAGCTGGGTAGTTCTTTTGGGAACGGGTCCCTGAAATGACAATATCTAGCAGCTGTCAGCTCTGTATTTGGCAAGGGCAGCTTTGGCCCTGCAGGCAGGAATGCTGTAAGAGTGTGTATGCATGCATGTGCATGCGTGCATGTTTGTTTGACTGGTCAGGTGTTACTGTCACCAGAAGGCATTTTTTGAGCACCCAGTGTCCACTTTCGGGATGAGAAACTTGTGTACACAGGGTTCCTCGTTGGCATTGGCTGCCCTTTGCCAAGGCAATTATTAGACCTCAAGAAGATAGTGTTGTTGCTTACAAAGTCAGTGCCTCTAGCTAGTTGTGCGCACTGAGCCTCTGGCTGGGGGCATTAGCTCTCTGCTCACTAAGCTTCTTTATTATATTTCCTGGCCAGTTCTGACCGGTTCTGTAGGCACCCAAGGCTGCCTTGTTCAGTCCCTGCTGGAAAATGAAAAAGGAAAAACTTGCTTTAGGCATTAGGCCAAGAGTCGGATGTACAACCCAGTGGGGTTGGAGAGTTTTACTCAAATCAGATGCTGGCCCAGAGAAGGAAGTAGACATGAATTCAAAAACCGGTAAAAGGCCCTGGTAGAACACTACATGACCCCTCTGATAAATCATGCCCTCTCTGATGTTCAGTGGCCTCTGCTGCTGTCATCAACCAGAAAGCTGAATGAGATGATGAATCGGCTACAAGCTAATTAACGGGAAAAGCGCTCCTGGAAAACAGTACGGGTCCCAGTCCCTACGTTTAAAGATTGGACTACACTCTCAACGCAGCTTCTTTGGACCACTGTTGGCCCCAGGGGTCCACCAAAAGCGTCACAAAATGGCCTTTTGTAGCCTCCATGTGGCCACCGTAACAATGAGTCTATTTCTTTACTGGCAAGTATTAATTATTCACTTGTAATTGACAAAGCCAGACATCAGTCACCTCACTGGAGTCTTTATGAAAGGCTTTTGGTCCTGTCATTCTGAGGAGCAAAGCCATGCCTAGGGTCCAGGGGATGGCCCCTGCATCAGTAGTGAGATGGTGGGAGAAGGGGGGCAGGCTGCTGCCTTCTTGGCAGTGAATGGAGGCAGGGGAGGAACTAGAATATCTTTGGATGCTCTTACTACCCAAGGGGTGCATGAAAGTGCCGAGCAGAATGCTTAGCACATAGTAAGTACTAGCATATTTATGTATTTATTGTTATAATGTATTAATTACATAATCATTAAGAATTTGGCTTATGTATGTAATCAACCCTTGGCTATTACCAGCCCCTCTCCCTCCAGAGCTTTCCTGAATTTTGCTTTTTTGAGGGAAGTTGGTCTCTGTGACCAGTAAACCCAGCCCCAAGTTTACCGGCCGAAGGAAGGGAAAGTTAAGAGTGATAGGGCATGAAGTGAAAGGCTTCAGGTGGGAAGTGCTCTTAAGTAGCACAAGAGAGGTGGGTGGAACCTGAGTAGGTAGGGAGAAGTGGGAGGGAACAAGCCAAGCAGAAGCCCAGGGCCATTCTCACATTTCAACACGTAGAGTTAAGGAAGGGCCTCTTCCTCTGTGAGAATTCAGCATTTTGCAACCATCCAAAAATGTTGAGGGCATGCTTTGCTTCCAGGGCAGACAGAGCAGCACAGTGAGCATGGGACACAGGATCCCTGACTTGCTGTGTGCCCTTAAACCAGCCACTACCTCTCTGACGTTCAAAATTGAGCAATGGAAGGCAGCCTGCCCAACTGTTACCTGCCTGTCATCATGAAAGCCTGCGGATGAGGTAATGTCTGTAAATCCCAGTCTGAGAAAAAAAAGCCGTGGAAATAGAGAAGGAGCCTCCTGAATGTGTGACTCTTTTGGGTAAATGCCCTCCATTCCTTAAGAAACAATTTATTAATTATATATTGTGTGTCACTTTAAGAAGATGGATCTGTGGCCTCTCTGTACTGTTGAGCCAATGGGAAGCTTAAAGGCACTTTGTGATTCACAGATTCTGTCAAGGCCCCTGGATGGCCTTGTCTGTACAAAGACACTTCAGAATTCAGTCAGTGGGTATGGGACGCCTCCCAGGATGCAAAGAGCTTAGATATTGGCTTTCTAGCCATGGGCATTATGCTAAGGGCTGTGTGTGATGTACCTCAAAAAATAGCCATTTAAGCCATACTTGGGCCCTGGCAACAGAGGGTGCAAATTCTTGAAAGAAATTGTTTTGAGAAGGCAGAGCTTGAGTTCAGGCAGAATTTCTTGCAGGGATCATTCTGGTTGCGTGGCATTTTGATAGACTTTGGGCAACTCAGATACAGGCAGTGAGAGAGGGAAGTAAATAGGACCTTCTTGCGAGATGCCTGAGAAAGACCCAGTGATGACTTCATCAGTAGACCTTTTGATTCTGTTTGCGTCATTATTTGGTCATTGTAGAGCAATGGTTCTTAGGCTTTAATCTCTAGGTAAAACAGAGGTGTGTTTAGTCTGTCCATGTTCTCTGTTTTCTAAGTAAGGCAGGAGGTGAGGTCCTCTGCAGGAAATAAAGGTGATGGACTGGTTAGGAAACTTCAGGAGACTTCAGGGTTTGGAACAGTTGCCTATGTGGGTGGAATAAGAAATAAACTGGGGAAGAATGAGAGAATTGTCTAACTTCACTGAAGGCCTGGCTGAGATCAAAGAGAATTTGCAGGGCTGACCCTCAGAGAAGACATGCAGTAACTCTTAAGGAATATCCGAGAACTATTTTTGATTTGTGCTTTTAAAATATGATGCTTTAAGATTTGTTTTGGCAAGATATGAATGGCAAGATAAGAATTCAGAACTAGAGGTCAGCCCCCTATCTCCAAGTCTGTTATACTTCCATATGGGAAAGAGAAATGAGGACCTGCTTCTTAGGGTTTGAAGTGGAAACTATACGACAGAAGGATTTTCTAAAGAACTCTCCTCAGATTCTTATATTGACAAGGCAGCCTTGGATATGGGACCTTAGAGAAGCATGATATTTTAACTTTCTTGTTAATTTTTTTAAACCAGAAGTTAAGAATTTTGGTCATTGGCTCATGCAGTCAACAAATCATTCATGAAGTATTAATTAAGCAAGTAATTCCTGGTGTGTGCCTATCTCTGTGCTGGTTGCTATGGGTCAAACTCAGATAAGATGACTATCCTTGGCATTCTTAGCAATCCAAAGAATTAGTGAAATATAAAGCAGTTTGTCGTGCAGTTAAAAACTGTGGACTCTAGACTGTGAGTGCTAAGGGAGTGAGAGAAATAAAGGTCATTAAGGGGCTTGGCTGGTCAGACCTTTGTGGAAAAGGCATGTCTTCGTGTGGGCCATGATAGATCGGTAAGATTTGAGAAGGGAAGAAGACAGTCCATAAGGGAGTGGAGACAGTTTGAGCAAAGGCACAAAGGAAGAGTATCCTTGGACAGGTTTATTATGCCCTGTATACCTTGGCCACAGAGAATGGTCTGCATGATCCTTAACACATGTCTTTAAGGAAGCCCTTTGGATGGAATGTCTCAACTGTAGTCATGGTCATTTGCTTTAGTGTTGGGAGGGTCCTGAGAGAGGCCCAAATCCAGTGATTCTTAACTGGTTGCTGTTGTGGTTTTTTTAGTACACAAAATGGACAATGTTGACATGCTGAACACATCAGCCCCCACAGCCAACCCCCCAACTCTGCTCCATTCCTGCCACTCAAGGGAAGAGATGAACATGCAAGCAATAATATCACACAGAGATCTTGAACCCTCGCCTCACATACAATAAAATGTACCTTGTTTGCAAACCTCAGTGCTTAAGCTATTATTAGCACAAGTTACCCGCAATAACCTTCACAAGGCAGGTTTGGACATCATGGTTGAGAGAGAACCAAGGCTAACCTCCACATTTTACAGACAGAGAAATTTGCCCTTTTAGAGTGAGTGAAAATGTGATTTGGGGGCCTTTGTCTTCATACTGAGCCATGTTCGAGTTGTGGTTTCACATCGATGGAGCTGAGTTCCACGTGCTCCGATCTGGTGGCCAGACCTGAAGCCCTCCTCTTTGTTTCCGTAGCAGATGCATGGCTTCCCTTGTGAGTTTTAGCAGGTGCATCTGAGAGGCAGCTCCTCTCCCCACATACGCGTCATGTTGGTGTTCCTCATATGACAGCCCCAGGGCCCCAGCAGGAGCAAATCAGCAAGCCACCTTGGTGGCATGACTTCCCCTCCTGAGAGCATGAGGCCGTTCCCCTGAGCTGCTGGTAGCCTGGTTTGGTGTCACCACAAAGGCCACCTCAACCTTAACAACACAGGAAGCAGCTGGGCAAAATGGCAAACGAAGGGGAAAGTCCTTTAGCCCCCACCAAGATCTTTTTCTCTGTCTACTCAGTCTACTCATAAACAACGAGGAGGATAGGCCTTCTCCAGTGGCCCAAGTCGAGGCTGACTTGATTTCTCGGCTCTGACTGCAGGTCCCCTGTGTGGAGAGAAGCTGTAGGTGATAGGGCCTCTGGTCCCGGAGGACAGGAGCAGGGGACTGAAACAACAAAGACCACCTTGCCAGTCAGTGCTGGGTACCGGCCAGGTGTCTGAACTGCTAACAAGGAGACTTTGGGTGGTTGTCTTCTAAAGCAAATTATTAAATTTTGATCAAAACGATATATACAAATGTTTTAAAAAATCAAATAGTATTGAAAGCCTTATAATGAAAAACAACCATCCAGCACCCACCCTCCCCTAGAGGCTGCCACTTTTAACTCACTGTTTCTTCTAGTAGCTGCCTCCAGATCTCTAAATGATATGCTTACACTGCTGTTTCTCGATTTATCTATTCTGCACGTTGTCTATTTACTTCCTGCTGTGATGGATGGAGATTTCACTTTCTTACACCATCTCCCTCCCTCCCCTGCCCCCGTCTCTCAAGATAGGAAGAGCTCTATTTTAACCTAAATCAGGTTTAAAGTGTCTACATTATTAATATATATAAATGATGATCACAGACAGCCAAGTAAAGTCCTTTGATTATATTTCCTTTCTTAGAGGGCTTTTCATTTCGCTGCAGAATTTTTGTTGCAATACTTGTCTTTTTATTTATCTATTTATTTATTTTGAGATGGAGTTTCACTCTTGTTCCCCAAGCTGGAGTGCAGTGGCGTGATCTCAGCTCACTGCAACCTCTGCCTCCCAGGTTCAAGCGATTCTCCTGCCTCAGCCTCCCGAGTAGCTGGGATTACAGGCGTGTGCTATGACACCTGGGTAATTTTTTAATTTTAGTGGAAATGGGGTTTCACCATGTTGGTCAGGCTGGTCTTGAACTCCTGATCTCAGGTGATCCACCTGCCTCGGCCTCCCAAAGTGCTGGGATTACAGGCACGAGCCACTGTGCCTGGCCCTGTCCTTTTCTTTTAAAGCTCTGTGTCATATGAGTTATTCTATTGCAGTCCCTTGTCTTCTCAGGAAGTGCAGTGTTAACCCTAGCTCCACCCCTAACTAGCCCAGTGACCTTGCACAAGTCCCTTCTCTTTTCTGAGCCTTGGTTTCCTCATCAGTAGAAAGAGAGCTAGGCTCCCTTCTTGTTCTCATTCTAAACCTCAGAACCTATCACCCCACCCACCTCACAGGCAGTAATATTATTACTCCTCAGTTAATATTATCTGAGAAGTCTTTACTCCAGGGTGGGGCAGCCCCAGGACCTGACAGATGGCAGAGAAACCAAAACAGGCAGGGGCAGGGGGAGGGAACAAACAAGCTAGCTGGGCCTGCCCTGTATGGTCTAGTTCACCCCTGCAGTTTAGGGGGCTGCTCTGTGGGGTGGTATGGTTGTATCTATTACTCTTTTCCTCCCCTGCTATCCCCGTTGGTTTTTGCTCTCCACAGCCTCTGCTTGTAGGGGCATCATTTACAGTCCCCAAACTCCCCAAGCTCCTACTCTACCCCCAGCTCTCTTTGTACCCCTTCTGCTTATGTTACACTCAAAGTTTCCCAAAAAGTAGTTATAAAAATACTAACTTTTGGTAGCAGCTTTATTGAAATATAGTTTGCATACTGTACAATTCACTCATTTAAAAAATATAGTTCAGGGCAGGCATGGTGGCTCATGTCTGTAACCCCAGCACTTTGGGAGGTCAAGGTGGGTGGATCACCTGAGGTCAGGAGTTTGAGACCAGCCTGGCCAACATGGCAAAACCCTGTCTCTACTGAAAATACAAAAATTAGCCAGGCATGGTGGCAGGTGCCTGTAATTCCAGCTACTCGGGAGGCTGAGGCAGGAGAATCGTTTGAACCCGGCAGAGGTTGCAGTGAGTGAGATCATGCCATTGCACTCCAGCCTGGGGAACAAGAGTGAAACTCTGTGTAAAAAAAAAAAAAAAAAAAACCGTTCAGTGGTTTTTAATATATTCACAGAGTTGTACAACCCATAATCGTAGTCAGTTTTAGAGCATTTTAGCACCCCAAAAAGAAATCTCATGGCCTTTAGCACCACCACCTATTTCCCCCAACCCCACCCCTTGGCAACCATAGATTTGCCTATTCTGGGCATGTTTAATAAATGGAACAATACAATACGGGGTCTTTAATGATTCGCTTCTTTCACTTAGCATAATATTGTCAAAGTTTATTCATGTTGTATCAATATCAGTACTTAATTACTTTTTATGGCTGAAAAATACTCCATGTGGCTATACAATTTTTTATTTATCAGTTGATGCATATGTTAGTTCTGCTTTTTAGCTATTACAAATAATGGTGCCATGAACATCCATGTACAAGTTTTTGTGTGGACCTGTATTTTCATTTCTCTTGGGTGTATGCCTAGGAGTAGAATTGCTGGGTCAAATGGTAACTGTGTGTTTAAAAATTTGAGGAAATACCAATCGATTTTCCAAAGTTGCGGCACCATCTTACATTCCCATTAGCAACGGTATTCTCAGTTTCTCCACATCCTTGCCAACACTTGTTATTGTCTGTCCTTTTCATTATAGCCATCCTAGTGGGTGTGAAGTGGTATCGATTTGCATTTCCCTAATAACTAAGGTTATTAATCTTTCTGTGTGCTTATTGGCTATGTGTATATCTTTGGAGAAAAATCTGTTCCTTGCCTATTTTTAAAATCAGGTTCTCTTTATTAATGAGTTTTAAGAATTCATTTTTTAAATTTATTTTTATTTAAAAAAATTTTTTTGTAGAAACAGGGTATCACTCTGTTGCCCAGGCTGGTCTTGAACTCCTGGCTTAAGCGATTCTCCCATCAACCTCCCAAAGTACTAGGATTACAGGCATGAGCCACTGTGCCCAGCCAAGAATTATTTACATATTTTATATACTTAGCAAATACATGATTTGCAAATATTTTCTTCTATTCTGTGGACTTACTTTCTTGATGGCGTCCTTTGAAGCACAATTTTTTTTATTTTGATGTTTAGTTTATTTTTTATTTTGTTGCTTGTGTTTTTGTTGTTATTACATAATTCAAGGTCACAAAGATGTACTCTTATGAGTTTTATAGTTTTAGCTCTTACATAGATCTTTGATCCATTTTGAGTTAATTTATTATATATTACATTATTTATACCTCACACCATAAAACAAATTTTGCATGTGGGTATCCAGTTGTCCTAGAATCATTTGTTGAAAAGAATATTCTTTCTACATCTCTTGTCAATTGACCATAAATGTGAGGATTTATTTCTGGATTCTCAGTTCAATTCCATTAATTTAATCATTGTTCATTGTCTTCATGGTAACACCACACAATTTTGATTACTGTAGTTTTGAGTATGTTTTGAAATCAGGAAGTGTGAGTCTTCCATTTTTGTTCAGTTCCTCCCACCCCCAAGATTGTCTTGATTATCCTGAGTGAGTCCCTTGAATTTCCATATGAATTTTAGGATCAGCTTGTCAATTTCTGCAAAGAAACCAGATGAGATTTTCATAGAGATTATGTTGAATCTGTAGGTTAGTTTGGGCAGTATTGCCGTGTTAACAATATTAAGCCTTCCAACCTATGGACATGGGATATCTTTTTATTTATTTAGGTCTTTAATATTTTCAACAAGGTTTTATTGCTTTCAGAGTGTATGTTTTGTACTTATTTTGTTAAGTTTATTTCTAAGTATTGTATTATTTTTGATGCTACTATAAATAGAACTGTTTTCTCCATTTTATTTTCATATTGTGCATTGCTGGTATATAGAGATACTACTGATTTTTATATGCTGATATTGTATCCTACAAACTTGCTGAACTTGTTTATGACTTTCAATAGTTTTTAGTGGATTTTTCTTGGATTTTCTATAACAAGACTATGTTATCTGCAAATAGGAATAGTTTTACTTTTTCCTTTCTAATCTAGATGTCTTTTATTTAATTTTCTTGCATAATTACCTTGGCTAGAACTGCCAGTACAATGTTGAATAGAAATGCTAAGAGCAGACTTATTTGTCTTGTTCTTGATCTTGGTGAGAAAGCATTAAGTCTGATATTAGCTAAGAGTTTTTTGTGGCCACTTATTGTCAAGTTGAGGATATTCTCTAATCCTAGTTTTTTGAGTGTTTTTATCATGAAGGCGTTGAGATTTTGTCAAATGCTTTTTCTGTGTGTATTGAGATGATATGGTTTCTGACCTTTATTGCTATAGCTTATTACGTTAATTGATATTCTGATGTTAATGTTAATCCAATCTTAACATTCCTGGGATAAAT